>NC_000010.11:93324913-93627943 GCF_000001405.40 Homo sapiens | reverse complement strand
CGGCCCCAAGGTAAGTGCTTTCTGAGAATAATTGAATGAACCATGTCTACTATTTTTGTAGTACTCTTACACAGAAAATGCGAGAATCTTTCAAAGTTTTTATAAGCATATATAGCCTAAGAATTTAAGGAATCTTTCATGCCATGCATTAATTTCATGATCTAACTTGAATAAATTACATCATTTGATGGGCTGAGCACCCTTCAACTGTGTTTTTGAAGAGGCAAAAAGCAGCCTATTCTTTTTTAAACTTTTCATCAGCAATTATCTGTTTTAGTCCTTTCTTTGAAGAACATTATGTTCTAAATGTTATAAGAACATTTACAGGTGGGTCAAGACCTTAGAGGCCCAAGCTTTTAACTCAATATTGAAAAGTTCCACATCCCACACCATCCCCACCCCATCCCCCATATTTATGCTTTAAAAAATTGACTGATGTACTTGAGATAGAATTAAACCCAGTCATTAAATCATAGTCATTGGATTCCAAAGGATATCTGAAATGTGTGTGGCTGCAGAATAAGAAATTGAGGGATGGAGGAACCTTTCTCATGCTGACTAAATATTTCTGTGTAGAGTTCAGAAGTCTCCAGTTAACCTACATTTGACTGTCAAGATTCTTCTCTCCTTTGTCCTATGCCAAAGGAAGTGATCATCTAGCTTTTTTTTTTTTTTTTTTTTTTTTGTGGAGTTTCACTTTGTTGCCCAGGCTGGAGTGCAATGGCGCGATCTTGGCTCACTGCAATCTCCACCTCCTGGGTTCAAGCAATTCTTTTGCCTCAGCCTCCCAAGTAGCTGGCATTACAGGCATGTGCCACCACGCCCAGCTAATTTTGTATTTTTAGTAGAGACGGGGTTTCACCATGTTGGTCAGGCTGGTCTCGAACTCCTGACCTCAGATGATTCGCCCGCCTCAGCCTCCCAAAGTGCTGGGATTACAGGCATGAGCCACCGCGCCCGGCCCATCTAGCTTTTATTGGATGCATTCTTGCTTTCACAATTGTATCTATCTCTTAGCTAATAAGAGTTTCTTGCAATATTATTTAAAATTTGAATTTGTTCAATAACTTACAAATCCATTTTCAGCAACATATGTTGGCAACCCACTAATGAGTGTCCAGTGGTCTGCAGGAGGCGTCCTTGGGGAAGAGAAGAAAAAAAATCATTGCAATATAGAGAAATGCAATATGTGCAAAAATACAACGGCAACTGCGGCAGCAACTTCCTGCCAATACTCACGGAATCACTTTGATCTCTTCTTTTCCATGTAAAATGTAATCAATGATTTTATAAAAGTTGACTTCCTAAGAAAGAAAGAGGATATTATGGGAATAATGTTATTTCCCAAAGAAATCATTTTTCATTGGGGAACTTGTACTTTAAAACTCTTACAAATAGAACCTTATTTCCCAACCACATTATATTATAACATAAATTATCAAACTACTTATATCCTGACTACAAACTTATAATAAAACCAGAAATATTATTGGCTGTTTATCTACATGCACAGGCTAAAATAAATTTTGTTTTTAAAAAGTTGAATTGCCCCCAAACAGCTTTTGGGGTGGGGGGGATCTTTGGCTACCAAATCATCAGAGAGTCTGTTTTTATTTTCAAGTGATCCCTTTTGTTGTCCAGAAATACCTGACATTAATAACTTCACTAGAACAAATCATGTAATTTCTTAACTGTAGTCAGTTTTACATTATATATAGTGACCCGTACCCTCCTTTCATCAGTGACTTATCTGAACAGGTGCCTCAGAAACAGGAGGTTTCACTGCCAAAGCTGAAAGGGACTAGAGAATTATTCTCTCTGTTTCATGGGGCAGATGATGAATCTGAGGCCTGGACACAATCCATCCCCTTCTCTTTCCTGTGTGCTATGGACACAGGGGTTTCTGCCTTCATGAAGCTTGCAGTCAAGGGGGAAAGTAAACCTAACCCAACCCTTCCTTAGAGATTCTAATCCCACATATCTGAAGAAGGGCCCAGGTACTTCTTTAAAATGTTGTGCAGGTGGCTCTGATGCATCCCTTCCAGTTGAGAACCACTGGTCTACCAAGCCCTGGCTTTATAGAAAAGGAAACGGAGAGGTTCAACAAGGAGTTAAGGCAGGGGCCAATCAGCTCTAGCTTGGGGCATAGCTGGGACTAGAACCTCAAACTCCTTGTCTAGTGCTGTTTCTACTACTCCAGGTCTTCCCAGGCCAGTGCTCTATGCACTGTGGCCTCTTAATTTTAGCACCTGACACCATGCACAGATGGCATCAAGGAAGACATTTGCACGTACCCTGCCATCAGGTGTCTTTGGACCTTTATAAGGCTCTACTTCTCCAAGCTTGATTGGCCATTCATCGTAGAATTCCTGGAGGCAATCAGATTTAAGTATCATTAAACACACTGTTCCATGACCTACCATATCTTATATGAATTTTATGTGTTTGTATATTTTATGTTAATCTACGTAATTCTGGAATTTTAGTGCTGAAAGATCTACAATTCCCAGCAATACTGGTTAGGAATTTTTGACTGTTAACATGTTACTTAACCTTTTACATCTGTAAAATAGGGATAACAATAGAATTTGTACTAAAGAATTGTTGTGAGGATTAAATGAATAATACATATGTAACATCTACCCTGGCACATAGTTCAAAATACTCAATGTATAGCAATTCTTTCATAGACAATTAAGCTAAATCTGGTAAAAGGCTTGGCCAAGGTCACACAGAGTGGCAAAATGTTGGTTGCTTTACCCAACATTCATTCTCTGTCTTTTCCTTGCTAGCATAACCTGATGCGATTTGAGTATCAGGTGGTAATTTTCCATCAGACCACAGCCCATGAGTGGTCTACATGAGGTGCCTAGATCAGTTTAAGGGCAGGTATGTGGCCCAGATCTGGACATTGAAGAAGGGGGAGAAGTCTGCTGAGGGACTACTGGCAAAAGGTATTCCTCAGATAAAAGCTGATGAGAGTGACATTTGGAGAAAATGCCTCCCAGTTGTGTCATGCCTATGTGCCAATGATTTGAGCTGCAACAGCCATCTTTCCACCATAAGAGGAGGCCTCACCAGCACGCTGCAGGTAGCAGAGACCTTGCCAGGAAGAAAGAGAAAGCACCTGGACTTTAATGACTGCACTGATCTCTGAATCAACCAGTACTAGCGCTGCCCTACCTTGTTAAGTAGGAGAATAAATATCATATTGTTAGAGATGCTTTTAGCTGTGTCTGATGTTTCTTATAGCCAAAAGAATCCTAACCAACATACTCAGCTACAAAGTCCCAGAACCAAGATCAGAACCCAGCTCTCCTAGTGCTTCATCCTATGTTTATCCACTTAGAACAATTACTCTGAAAAAATAACTTCCAATCACATGAATATGAAGAAATATAAATAAGGCCAGGTGCGGTGGCTCATGCCTGTAATCCCAGCACTTTGAGAGGCCAAGGCGAGCGGATCACTTGAGGACAGGAGTTCGAGACCAGTCTGGCCAACGTGGCGAAATCCTGTCTCTACTAAAATACCGAAAATCAGTGGACGTGGTGGTACAGGCCTATAATCCCAGCTACTGAGGCATGAGAATCGCTTGAACCTGGGAGGCTGAGGTTGCAGTGAGCCAAGATCATGCCACTGCACTCCAGCCTGGTGACAGACCAAGACAGAGTCTCAAAAAAAGGAAAGAAAACAAAAGAAAAAATATATAAATAATATGGTATCGTTAGTTATTTTGAACTAGAAGGGTAGCAACAGAATTAAAGAAGATGACACAAGGGCATTATATTGTGAATAATATTACATGTTTCAATATTTCTACTTTAATTAAATTTTTTTAGAATACAAAAACCTAAAGTTGGTAAAGATAATATTGATTATCCACCTACTGTGTAAATTCTAGACACTATGTACATATAGTGTTTATATATATAAAAAAATATATAAAATCTCTAATTCTCACAATTGATAAGAGAGATGTCCTCATTTTACAGATGAAGAAGCCAAGAATCAGGTAGGTTAAAAGACTTGCTGACAAGAAGAACAAAATCAAAAAGCTGACACTACCTGACTTAAGATTTGCCATGAAGCTGCAATAATCAAGACAGTGTGGTATTAGTGAAAGAATGGACAAATGAATCAATGAAACAAAATAGAGAACCCAGAAATAGACCCTTACAAATATAGTTAACTTGGACAAAGGCGCAAAGGCAATGAACAAAGGATAGTCTTTTCAACAAATTTTGTTGGAACAACTGAACATCTACATGTAAAAAAAGTGAATCTAGAAACAGAACTTGTACCTTTCACAAAAAATAACTCAAAATGGATTATACACCTAAATGTAAAACACAAAAGTATAAAAATTCTAGGAGATGACATAGAAGATCTAGGTGAACTTGGGTTTGATGAGGCTTCATAGATACAGCACCAAAAGCACAATCCATGAAAGAAAAAATATAGAAAAATTGGACTTCATTAAAATTAAAACCTTCTGCTCTGCAGCAGACACTGTTAAGAGAATGAAAAGATAAGCCACAGACTGGGAGAAAGTATTTGCAAATCACATATTTGGTAAAGGACTTGGACCCATAATATACAAATAACTCTTACAATTGAATGATAAGAAAACAACATAAAAAAATGTGGGCAAAAAATCTGAGCAGCTATCTCTCTAAGAAGATATACAGATGGCAAGTAAACATATGAGAAGATGCTCAACATCATATGTCATTGGGGAACTGAAAATTAAAACAACAATGAGATACCACAACTGATACCCCAAATACTAACATCAGCAACTGCTAATACCCAAAATACTGACATTAACAACTGCTGGTGAGAAAGTGCATCTGGTAGACATGCAAAACAGTAAAGTCACTTTGGAAGACAGTCTGCCAGTTTCTTACAAAGATCAATTTGTCTTACAGTATAATCCAGCAATTGCCCTATTCGGTATTTACCCAATTGAGTTGAAAACATGTAGACACACATAAACCTACCTACAATGGTTATAGCAGCTTTATTCACAATCACTAAATATTAGAAGCAACCAAGATACCCTTCAACAGGTGAATGGATACACAAACCTGCCATACAGTGGAATATTATTCAGTGATAAAAAGAAATTAGCTATTGAGTCATGAAAAGACATGGAGGAAACTTAAATGCATATTTCAAAGTGAAAAGCCAGTCTGAAAAGCTACATACTGTATGATTCCAACTATATGGCATTCTGGAAAAGGCAAAAACTATAGAAACAGCAAAAAAAAAAAAACAACAAAAAAAAAAACAAAAAAAAAACCTGTGGCTACCAGGAGTTTGGAAGGGGTGAGGAAAGGTTGAATATGTGAAGCACAGAGGGCTTTGAGGCACTGAAAGTAGTCTGTCTGATACTGTAGTAGCAGATATATGACATTACACATTTGTCAAAACCCAGAGAACTGCACAAAGGATGAACCCTCATGTAAACTATGGACTTTAGTTAATAATAATATATCAATATTGATTCATCACACCACACTAATGCAAGATATTAATAACAGGGAAACTGGGAGAGGAGATTGGGAGGGAAGAGGAAACTCCGTACTTTATAATCAATTTTTCTGTCAATACTACTCTAAAAATAGTCTATTAATTAATGTAAAAAAAAAACAGACTTGCTGAAAACCCATATTACTAGGAAGTGGAAAAACCAAGATTCAAGCCTACATCTTTTTTGCTCCAAGACACACACTTTTACCTCTGTTCTTGTCATCAATCATGACTAATTATTTACATAGTGTATCTGTTTTTTAAGGATCACATTTCCTGTGGTGTGTGTTATATAGGCGATGTGAGATGAGACAAAATGTGTAGAATAATAAGAACCTTCTCCTTGGTCATGTCCAGCAGTCCAATGGAGTATCGTTCACAGTTCAGATATGATCTAACCGTGTAGAGCGCTTTGTGAAACTGTCGCTCAACATCTGTGAGTTCTTCAAATACTTTATTGGCTGACCACATAAGGATCTGAAAGTAGGTATCAAAAAGAAAACAGTTAGAATAAAGTATGCTATGGAGAGATAGAGCATTCACCACAAGAAAACATGAGGTGCATCAAATAAAATAAATGCATATCATTGGAAAGTGCAATTCTGATTTTGAACATGTGTACATCCAACAAACTACTCAGATCCTCTAGGTGAGATGATGAGTAGACTTTTGCAAGGCTGCGGGTCTATGGAGAGAGAGAAGCTATGATTGGTTCCTGTGTCTAGATGTTTTGGCTCCAAAGGGGAAGTGCCCTGAAATGGGATGCAGGGATGGTCCCTGGACGGAGAATCCAGTATCGGTGGCCCACTGGCTCCTGCTGGCCCTGATGTGGAGAGAGCCACATACCTCCTTCCATGCATCCTGAGATAGTCAGAGGTAACCTTACCTGGAGAGTTCAAACGGGAAGGGACCTCCCTCTCAACCTCTACTCGTGCATTGTACTGGTGAGGAAACTGAGGTCCAGAGAGTGGGCCAGACCTAGGTATCTTAGGTACTAATAGTGCCCTTTATCCCTCTGTCTCATGGAGTTAGGAATAATATGCTCCTCAAATTAATAGGTTTACTATGACCCAGGAATTTCTACAAACTTTATTTGAGAGCTAATCGCTAATAGTCACAACAACCATCTGAAGTAGGTACCATTATTGTCATCACCATCTCATAGACAGAAATGCCAAGTCCACTCGGGATCTAGACTGAAGAAAGCCAAGCCAGTTGTGTACACAATTGGAGAGCTTGGGGTGCAGGGGAGTGTGTGTGGGGAGAGTGGCGGGAAGATCATGAGAGGACACGTGGGACTGAAGTTTGGGGATCTGTTCCACGTGGCTTACACCCCCAGGAGGAATAGGAGGGGTCTGAATTTGTTGTCTCTGGGCGGCTTTGTCAGAATAGGTCAGCATGGAATGACTAATGCTGCCTTCCTTTTACCTGGCTTCTTCGGGATTCAATATTGTACATGTAGCTGGTGTGATGAAGCCTTAGGATGATAGACACAAAGTTGAGGTATTTGGAAAAGACCTACAGACGGCAGAGAATAACAAGTTATGGTTGTGACATCTTTTCTTTGGTTATACAACAAATAAATTTCCTGAGCCTCCAACCAGATGCCCAGGGTTAGCATTACCTCTTCATCCTGTTTGGAAAATTCAGATGCATTTACTTTGTTAACTGCCATGATCACAGCAAGAACCTCCTTGCCCACCACGATCGGGGTTGCCAGCAGGTTCTTAGTGACATACCCAGTTTGCTTGTCCATGAAGTCAGAAAAATGGCTGTTCTGAAAGAGACAGTCACATATTTGTCAAAGTGGCACAAAATCATAGAGTGGTAGATCTAGGGATGATGACAGATCATTCTCTCTCATTTAAATGCTACCAACAGATAACCAGGGCTCCAGTACAGTGGTCCCCAGTAAACAATCCCACTCCACCTGCCATCCTATGACTGCATAGAATGGAATTGCCCATTTCAGAATAAGCGCTGCCAACCTGAGCTATGGCCTATTTAGGTTAGGCTGAGGTTGGGCCAGAAGAAAAGAGGTGATCAGACAGCCAAGTGGAAAGTGAGGTGCTAAGAGGAAGAGAGGGGAAGGCACAAGGTTACAATAGACAGCAAGTACATGCAGGGAAGGAGAGCACAGCTAGGAATACAGACACAGTTCATAGAGCGCTTCTCTCTCATTACAAAGGGAAAACATGCACTTGAAATCATCAACCCATATGTCATAACATAAAGCAAAAATTATCATTGCCCCCAGTTCCTTCCAATCTAGCCTACTAGAAGAAATCCGTGCTAACTGCTGGTGTGTCTCCTATGCCTTTCTCCATGCTTGAACAAAGAGTTTTCTATTTTTTCTAAAATTTCCTTTTCTAATTGCTTATAATAGTTTCATCACTTAACAATGTCTTAGGGACTTCCCTGAAGACCAATGCATATGGATGTGAACTCACCTCTTAGATTTGTGCACACTACTCCACCCTGGGTGCTTTATGATCCACTCAACTGTCCTTTACTGATTTTGCCTGTGTATAGTTTTCCCCACTACCAACAATACTGCACTAATCCTTCTTGCTTTTATTTTTATGTGACAGATTCCCAAAAAAGGAAATCCCTTTTGCTGGATCCACAGGAACATACAGTTTTTCTTTACATAGATTACTTTGATGAAAGGTTCACATTCTGAGGCTGGGCGGGGTGGTTCATGCCTGTAATCCCAGCACTTTGGGAGGCCAAGGCAGGCGGATCACCTGAGGTTAGGAGTTCGAGACCAGCCTGGCCAACATGATGAAACCCTGTCTCTACTAAAATACAAAAACTAGCCAAGCGTGGTGGCACGCCCCTGTAATCTCCGCTACTCAGGAGGCTGAGGCAGGGGAGTCGCTTGAACCCGGGAGACAGAGGTTGCAGTAAGCCAAGATCGCGCCATTGTACTCCAGCCTGGGCAACAAGAGCAAAACTCTATCTCAAAAAAAAGAAAAAGAAAAAGAAAGGTTCACATTCTAACTTCCACTGACCCTGTGTGAAAGGACCAAGGACTACCCTCTTGCCAGCATCAGATGCTTATCAGGTTTTTAATGTTCTACCAGGCTTATGTCTTCCATTCCTATTTTTTTTTCTTTCTCTGGGAGAGAGGAAAGTGGATCTTCCCAGATTCAGACCTCATAGAGTAGATTCGAGAGATAATTCTAATCCACTGGCCATAGCAGAGGCTGAGTAATGAGTCTGGAGAAGCGCACAAATGGAAGGGCTTGAGAAAAAGGTCAAGGAAGGCAATTATCTTATTAGTTATCATTTCAGAGAATAGCCACTCACGGTGGGTTTAGACCCAGCCTTCCTTGGGTCATGACATTCTTCCCTTTGAACCTAGGACTTCTTCAATTAGAACTGAACTTCAGCCTTAACTCTGAGACTCGTTGGCCAAAATTAGTGCGGTATTCCTTCCACAGTTGTATTATTTTCATTTCCCTGTGTTGGCAGTGCTTCTAAAAGCAGCACAAACCTTGCAGACTGGATTCTGTCTGGTTTCCCGTAGAAAAAAATGTGAGAATTTTCTGGGTGTGTCATTTCCAGGCCAGAGTTTCCACCAGGGAACAAGGGCTGGTTGGCCAATAGAACTCACAGAGCTCAAATGAGATTAGCAGTCCTGAGATATGCCTCAGAATCACCTGCAGATTAATGCAGCAGATGCACTGAATCCTAATCTCCTACAGTGGAACCTGCACTTTTACGTGGCCCAGGTAATTCTTAGGCTCAACCCAATGGGGAATCACTCCTGCAGAGGATCACCAGAAATGGTACCGCTCTCAGAGGAAATATGTGATGTAAAGGGGATAAAGGCAGCCCCTCACTCCAGATCTCTTCTATACCTTTCCCAAAGTGGAAACACACAAACCAACTCTTGAGGCATCAGCATTGCATAAAGGCAAGGAAGGTATTGGAGTCAGACTTTCTTGGCTGAAACTGGGCCCCAGTGTACTAGCTGTATGGTCCTGGGCGTGTTACTTACCTTCTGTGTCCTCGTTTTGTAATCTGAAAATAGGGGTAATGCTTCCATCTACTGCCTAGAATTCCTGATGTGAAGATAGAATAACATAGTATAGGCTGAGCACTTAGAAAAAAAAAGAGTGTCTGGCACATAGTATTCAGTAAGTACTAGGAAGAGAAACTTAGTACTTTTCTAGGCTTTCCTGAATGAGAAGTAGTTCTTTTGCAATTACCATTTTGCTTCTAGTTTTAATTTTTCTAGCCAATTCAAATCACTGAAGAAATCAGATGCCCATAGCTGGATGTAGGCCTCCCATACCGCGGAGCACCCTTCCTCCAGAAGGCCAGCACACTCCCTCACTCATGCCACCAAGAACCACATTTCTTTTCTATCCATTTTATCTGTTACCTCTCTCTGGTTCCCCATAGCATCTTCACCCTCAGACCAAAGTGTCTGCAGTTTTTGTTAGATTCTTTCTCTTAATCCACTGCTTGTCTAGGCCAGCTCCCATTGTTTCCCTTCCACCCTGTTATCCATGCAGATCACATCACCTTCATTTACACAGCCTGGGCACTAAAGGAATCATCGAAATACCAGAAATGTGCACCATGGGGTGAAGTTAGCCAGGACTTCTTTCTTTCTTTTTTTTGAGACAGAGTTTTGCTCTCGTTGCCCAGGCTAGAGTGCAATGGCGTGATCTCTGATCACTGCAGGCTTCACCTTTCAGGTTCAAGTGATTCTCCTGCCTCAGCCTCCTAAGTAGCTGGGATTACAGACACCTGCCACCACACCTGGCTAATTTTTGTATTTTTAGTAGGGACAGGTTTTCACTGTGTTGGCCAGGCTGGTCACAAACTCCTGACCTCAGGTGATCTGCCCACCTCAGCTTCCCAAAGTGCTGAGATTACAGGTGTAAGCCACCATGCTTAGCTGGCAGCACTTCTTTGCAAACACATTTCACTCTGCAGCTTCAAACTTAATGCCATTTTATTCCAGATTCTAAACACAAGGAAATGTTAAGTTCAATGGACTGTTTTGAGAAAATGGCTTGTAAGTTTCAAAATTTGATACTTGCTTATTATTGCATCTGAAAGCCCTAGATAAACCAGCCATTAAGTTACAGGATGGGGATGGGGGAGGGGTTTTTGTGTTTTATTTTCACTAGCTCAAAAAATCCTTAGCGAAGTTTCTTTGCATAAATCCTGCGTGTGTCCCTTGATGGTTCTTCAGAGAAGCCCTTGAAGGCAGCTGGAGAACATTGTTTAGAGCAACAGGAGGCCTGATCCCTCATCAGATGTCAGTATTGCTAAATCCTGATTAAACACCCTTAACCCCTGAGATCCAAAGCAGAAGTAGAGGAGGAAAGGAAGAGAGAGGAAGGAGGACTTTTAAACCACAGTCAGAATCAGGATCACCCATAGTTTATGGACAGCTTTCCGAATAGAGAAAAAAACAACTTAAAGAGGATATCTCTCAGTTTCCTGTTCTTAAAAGTCTTCCTCTCAGCACTTTGGGAGGCCTATGTGGGCAGATCACGAGGTCAGAAGTTCAAGACGAGCCTGGCCAACATGGTGAAACCCTGTCTCTACTAAAAATACAAAAATTAGCTGGGCATGGTGGTGCATGCCTGTAATCCCAGCTACTGGGGAGGCTGAGGCAGGAGAATGGCTCTAACTTGGGAGGCAGAGGTTGCAGTGAGCCGAGATCAAGCCATTGCACTCCAGCCTTGTGACAGAGCGAGACTCCGTCTCAAAAAAAAAAAAAAAAAAAAGTCTTCCTGCCTTCAACTTGTTTTAAAACAGGCAATAATCATTGACCATTTTTTGGCCAACCATATCCAGCTCCTAAACGCCTACTGGCATAATGACAATATTATCACAGCTATCATTTATTGAGCATCTACTATGAGTCAGGTCCTTTATATACATTTAATCTGTACATTTGCTTATCTCCATTTCTTAGGGGTAGAAACTCCATCACACAGTTACTACGTCACAGACATGGATCTTCACCCAGGTCTGTCTGATGCCACAGCCCTCTCCCTATACTAGTGGCTTCCCTGTTACCTTCATGGACCCTCCAAGGTTGGGAGTATGTAGTTCTGTACCTTTGTCTAGGTGTGAGAAGTCTTTCCCTCACCTGCGCCCACACTGCTAGCCAGAGGAAAGTTGTGTGTGGTCAGGGATATGGTAGAAAGAGGGAGGCCTCCAAGACCTGAGTTATTGCCCCAGATCTGCCACTTCCTGTCTACCTAACTTTGAACGATTCCTACTACACAGGCTGGAAATAAAAATATGACCCTTGTCAGAGAATGTTGTTTAAATTGTCAAGTGCAATGAAAAGAGGAAGAATTAATCAGATATTTCATTTGAAACATTGGTTTCTACTTCCTTTCCCGTTGCAAATCTTACTGCAGCGGCTAAAGCAAGTGAAACTGCAGGGGTGTAAGGTAGGCAAACAGCACTGGACACATACTCAGCCACCTCCGTTCCAACCCTCCTCATCCACAGACACACACCATGGACCCGGGGGATATACAACTCCTATGGCCTCAACTTCCTGTCCTCCATAGGACAGAGTTGGGCTAAAGACTTCATAAGCCCCTTCCATCTCTAATATTCCACAGCTGATTTGAAATTCACTTCCTCCTCCTGTATCTGCTTACCCAAGAGACCAGTGGTTTTCAACATTGGCTGCATATTAGAAGTAGCTGGGGGAGCTTTTTAAAAATACCAATGCCTGGGCCGGGCGCAGTGGCTCACGCCTGTAATCCCAGCACTTTGAAAGTCCGAGACAGGTGGATCACCTGAGGTCAGGAGTTCAGTACCAGCCTGGCCAACATGGTGAAACCCCGTTTCTACTAAAAATACAAAAATTAGCCAGGCATAGTGGCGCACCTCTGTAGTCCCAGCTACTCAGGATGCTGAGGCAGGATAATTGCTTGAACCCGGGAGGCAGAGGTTGCAGTGAGCCAAGATAGCGCCATCGCACTCCAGCCTGGGTGATGGAGCAAGACTGTCTCAAAAATAAATAAATAATAAAATAAAAATACTAATGCCTGAATTCTAATCTTTGAGAGTCCGCTGTAACAATAAAGCCACCAATATGGTTTTGTGGATTGTGTTTATTTTTTGAGACAGGGTTTCATTCTGTCACCCAGGCTGGAGTGCAGTGTGTGAACACAGCTCACTGCAGCCTTGGCCTCCCAGACTCAGGCCATCCTCCCATCTCAACCTTCCAAGTAGCTGGGACTCCAGGCACACACCACCATGCCTGGCTTATTTTTGTATTTTTGGTAGAGACGGGGGTTTCCCATGTTGGCCAGCCTGGTCTCGAACTCCTGGGCTTAAGCCATCCACCCGCCGTGGCCTCCCAAAATGCTGGGATTACAGGCGTGAGCCACTGCACACAGCTTAATATGGTTTTAATGTACAGCCAGAGTTGGAATCCCCACTCTAGAGAGAAAAAAATGTGAAGAAGCAGTTGAAATGAAGAACCAATGAGGTCTCTTTCTCGTGAGCACAGAACCGTAT
Source organism: Homo sapiens (assembly GCF_000001405.40). Lineage (NCBI taxonomy): Eukaryota > Metazoa > Chordata > Mammalia > Primates > Hominidae > Homo > Homo sapiens. Next base: position 93,614,890 of record NC_000010.11, on the reverse strand, counting down.
CTGTCTTCAACACACATTTCTCTGTGTCCCACCCAGAACAGCCAGGAGTCCTCCAGAGAAGAGAGGAGAGACTCCCCACTCCCAGATGAAGTGCTCCGTCCATGCCGTGATGCTCACCATGGACAGCCGCAGACCAAAACCACCTCCAAGCAGCTCCATGCTCTTATTTCCTTCTCACCACAGAGAACTGGGCTAATCAAAGTATAACAGCAGAAATCATTTTACCCATCTCTTCTTTAAAAGCCTTTCAAAAAATTGCTGAATGTCACTTTTTCAAGTTTGATGTGCTAGCAGGGATGGGCTCAGTTGGGGACCCTCAAGGAGCGTATTCCCATGAGAAAAACCTCAGGATGTGCAGACATTGCCTTCCAGTTGGTTGTCTAGAGAACTTTGCCCTAAGGATGAGCATCCATTTAGACACTTGAAGCAGCTGCAGTCAGGCTCAAAAGCAAACTTAACCCAGCTTAAACTTACTGAAAGGAGGAATTATTCAGGACTGAAGCCCTACCAGGCCCCATGGTAACCCTTGCACCTGAGCGGTGTTCTGTGGTTGTTTGCAGAGAGTCACTCGTGTTTGATGACTTCCACACCTCTTGGGTCCGTGTGACCCTCCCCCTATAATCAGCTTCAGGAGGCATTTAGGAGATTATCCTCCTGCCTCTCCAGCTGCCCTATACACCCCTGCACAGAAAGCATTTCACAAGTTGTTCCCATTCAACTCTGTTCCATCATAATCCACTTTTCCCTTTTTGTTAATGGTAAACTGTAATAATGGACCACATGTGTAGAGAAGGAGCTGCCAGGAGAATCTCCAAGCTGGTACCCTTGATTATTGCTGAGGGGAGGGATGATGGGTGATTAGCATTTCCTCCTCTGGTTTATTTGTATCTTATAATTGTTTAAAAATGAACATGTACTCTAATGGTAAGAATAAAGTTTTTCTATTTCTATAAGGGGCATCTCAATGCCTTGTATTTGTGCAGTATGCTGTTGGTCTTCAAGAGGGTCCAAATGTCCCACTTACTTGATTGGAATTCATTCTTGAAAGATCTGGGTTATGGAGCAGTGGGAGTGGTCAATTGCACTTAACCATCACCTAAATTCACATATGTAATGAATTCCAAATTTGAACATCTGAACTTTCAAATGGCATCATTTTTTCTCTTTGCACATTTGGTCGATAGATGAAAGAATTGATTTACTAGCAAATCCATCCAAAAAACCTGAATGTTTTCGAAGGACTGTGAATGAGAGGCATGGGGAGCAGTTCACAAGTCTTGGCATCTGGGCACGTTGGCCCATCTCCCTAGTGGGGTAGTTTGTTTTGCTGGTGTTGCTGAGAAGGAAAGTCCCCCAGAGCACTGGAGGAGGCGTAAGGGAGGGTGTGTGGAATGCACCAGGGCCAGGTAGGATCACCTGATAAAATGCCAAACTTTACATGGGACATACTTATACTTCAGAAAATAATAATTCATTGTTTATCTGAAATTCAAGTTCAACTGGGCAACTTGAAATTTCATTTGCTAAATTTGGCAACACTAGGCCTGGGTGATCCTCTTCCCTGCCACCCACATTCCCCCGGTTATTGCCAAACTAATGCCACAAGGATAGCACTATCTCTCTTTCCCATTTGTTCCTCCCTGACCCTGCCAAGACCTCTGCCCCACTGTCATAAGGCCACCTACCTTTTTCACATCTGGGACATTATGAGTTTTCTTCGTGTGAGCAGCCCAACCCACTATCCCAATGTCCAATGGAAACACAACTTCTTTGTCAGGGCCCACCAGGTTGTCCTCAAACTTGGAGGTGGGGGTGACATCCAGCAACCTAGAGGCCACCTCAGGTATGCCGTTCCGGGACCGGCACAGGAACATGCTGCAGCGGTCAGCCTGGAGCAGGTGGGCCAGCCTCTGCAGGGCCCTGTGAACCCCCTGCTCTGGGGTGCCCCCCTCCTCCTGCACGGTCCACAGCAGCTCCAAGCACAGGGCTGACTCCTCCACCTGGGTCAGCTCAGAGAAGGACATGCTGGACTGGACTGGCACCTGGCTGTTCTTGAAGATTTCTCCCAGCACCTCCACCCGCAACTTCCTGTCAAAGTACTCCTTGGCAAACTGAGGGTTCTCCTCCAGGTATTTCTCCACGGCAACTTGGTTGATCTCACCCATGGTGTGGCTTGCTTTGCTGCGTTTGTTCAGAAAGGACGACCTTCAGAGCACTACCTGAGGCAGAGTGATGAGAAGGAAATTCATCCTGGTGGAAATTACTGAGGAAACCGTAAATGGTCCCTCATAGGACTTCCAAAGGTCAAGCAGAAAGCAGAGCTTTCAAACTGCCTGTAACTCTTGGGATGTGACAGAAGGCCCTGGCTTAGGGTGGGATTCAGGAAGCACAGGATTAAAGAGTTCTTCAGGACACTAAATCCCTGAGCATTAGTAGCTCATAAGTCCCTAGCGAATCTTCAGAGTATCTTAGATCAGCCCAGCAAGTAGCAAGCTGAGGTGTCTATTCCAGAAAAATAACTGAATGTCGGCTGCTGTCCACAGCAAGGAAGAATCACTGACATATCCATGAATGACACGACATTGGCAACAATTGGCACTTTGAATCGTTCTTGTATGATAGCTATAGGAAGTAAAACTATTTAGACCTCGGAAGTGCTTGGATTTTTTTTGTTTATATAGCAACTGTAATGAACATCTGGGAGATATGGAACAGTTTGCATCACTGCAACATAAAGGTGAATATTAATCTTTCCTTTTCTTAAAAGTCTTTTGATCACCAAGGTTGCTTGGCCTCCTCTTTCTCTAGAACCTTCACCTCTCAATCCCTGTCACTTCAGAAAGCTTGACCTCAGAAGTGTTTTAAAGGAGTAAACCTCAAGCTTATTACTAAAGAGGTGAACATAGCAAAATATTTGCCAATGATCCAAACCTAATCAAGTCATGAATTGAATAATAACCCTTGTCGAGAGACTGTAATTACAAAAGGTAACCTACATAGTTGCTGGCTGGGTTTTTCTGCTAAGTATCTTAGTTAGGATTTTGTTTTCAATAGTAATAGCCAGAGGTCATGCGATTTTGCTACAACATACAGTCTACTAAATCTACTAGATGATAGATATCTTGTCTGTTGCTAGGATCCTTAACGTCTCAGGGGCTACTGGCATAGAAAGAACACTTACCACTACTTAGTTTTGTTTAATGTTCACTTTACTAAGCTTTTACATCTATTAAACACATTTCCTCAAATATTTAAACACTATTATGCAACTAATAATTCAAACTATTAATTCATGAACCAATTGCCTTCGATACTTAAATGTTGGTTTCAAACTTAGTCAAGGTGTTTTAAACACTTCAATAAAGCTACAAACCTAATATGACAAATTCTCTTAAGTGGAAAACACACACATGTTACAGTGACTCTAAAAATTATTGTTACACCCACATTTAAGTTTGCTTCAAAAATAGAAACCCTATGAGTTTCATTGAGTTCTCTAAGATTTACCTCTCTAGATAGTAATCTTTTTCTTTTTTTTTTTTTTTTTTTTTGAGACTGAGTCTCGCTCTATTGCCAGGCTGGAGTGCAGTGGTGCGATCTCAGCTCACTGCAACCTCCGTCTCCTAGGTTCAAGTGATTCTCCTGCCTCAGCCTCCCGAGTAGCTGGGACTACAGGTGGGTGCCACCACGCCCAGCTAATTTTTGTATTTTTGGTAGAGATGGGGTTTCACCATGTTGGCCAGGCTAGTCTTGAACTCCCAACCTCAGGTGATCCACCTGTGTCAGCCTGAGAGATAGTAATCTTAATAGTCACAAAAGAAAGAGAGATCCGTTGAGGTTGCACATTCCCTGTCATGAATTGAGAGATTCTTGGTGGGAAACATGGTTTTCCCAGGGGTACAGAAAGAGTCATTTGTTGAGTTATGCCACTTCTTGTGATTGAGCTTCACCTGCTACCTCAAAGCACCTTGTCAGGTGCACATATTTTCTTGGACTGTCCTATGTCACACTCAACTCTACTCTCAGGAGGTTCCTCTTTGGGTGACTATTTACTTCATAACACCCTGTTATTATAAATAGGATAATGCAGAAGTGTATTTCCCAGGAGAGAGTTGAGTCAACTGAGTCACCCCTCCTATGGGACCATCTTCCTTATCTAACAATTTTGGACACTCTTTTTTACCTAGTTATTTTGTGTGACTCATGGTACAGTTCCTACTTCTCCTGTAAGTATGTGGTGTGCTCACGATTTCCTGGTTTCATCCTTCCCTCTTGAAACAGAGAGGGAAAAACACATATTTGCATTTCATATACAGACTTATACTTAATAGAAAAAGAAAAAACAAAATGCCCATATATGTTCAACTTTCATAATCTTTTTTTTTTTTTTTTTGAGACAGAGTCTTGCTCTATTGCCCAGGCTAGAGTGCAGTGGTGCGATCTCGGCTCACTGCAACCTCTGCCTCCTGGGTTCATGCCATTCTCCTGCCTCAGCCTCCCGAGTAGCTGGGACTACAGGCTCCTGCCACCATGCCCGGCTAATTTTTTGTATTTTTAGTAGAGACGGGGTTTCACTGTGTTAGCCAGGATGATCTTGATCTCCTGACCTCGTGATCCACCCGCCTCGGCCTCCCAAAGTGCTGGGATTACAGGTATGAGCCACCGTGCCCGGCCCATCTTTCATAATCTTATAAAAGTGAATATTAATTTGAAAAAGAAACATCCTATTATAGTCAGCATTCTTTTGTTTTTATAACTAGTTAGAGATTCATTCATTTGTTCATTCTTTCTTTCTTTTTTGTTTTTTTGAGATGGAGTCTCCCTCTATTGCCCAGGCGCGATCTTGGCTTACTGCAACCTCCGCCTCCCGGGTTCAAGCGAATCTCTTGCCTCAGCCTCCGGAGTAGCTGGGATTACAGGTGCATGCCACCATACCTGGCTAATTTTTTTGTATTTTTAGTAGAGACAAGGTTTCACCATGTTGGCCAGGCTGGTCTCGAACTCTTTAGGTAATCTGCCCTCCTTGGCCTCCCAAAGTGCTGGGATTACAGGTGTGAGCCACTTCACCTGGCCTCATTTGTTCATTCTTTCAACATTTGTCTATTGATTGTCTGTTACAAGCAAGGCACCATTCTAGCTATTGTGATAGAGACTTCAAGTTCCCCTTATATTATATGATTGTTTCCTTCTCCCAGTTACATGGGAAGATTACTCTTCCTCCCTCTGGTACAGCCATGTGACTGATTTTAACAAATGGTTTGTGGGCAGAAATATCACTTTCAGACAGGAACAATTAATTGCCAACGGGAGGCTCTCCAGGTCTCTGTTCCCTCTGCTGCCACATCAGTTTCAGATGAAAGGGCCCCTGAATCCCAGAGTGAGGATGTCATGTAACAGAGGCCCCTGGATGACCCGAGATGGACATGTAGCATGATGAGAAATAAACTTGTCTTGTTTTCAGCCTCGGAGACCTGAGGGTTGTTGTTACTGCAGCATCACCAAGACAATTCTGACAGTTACACTTCTACTGTCGGGGACTCAGGGGGTGGTCCCAGCATTACAAGCACTTGTGGTGTGGGAAGGGAGGTAAGACTAGTGCGTAAAAAGCCCATGAGACATAGAACAGAATACAATTAATGCTGGAAGTGAGGCACATGTACATGGCTATCGGAGTTCACGAAAGGGATCATATCTAGTGTGGCTGAAGACAGGGTAGAAATCAAGAGTGTTCAGAAGCAATAGCATGGGGTGTAGGGTAATACAGGGAGGACAGTGAGAGGTGACCCTGAAAAGGTGGGCCGGGCCCAGATTAGAAGGGCTTCAAAGCCTAGACTGAGGATTTTGAATCCTGGACAATTTTTGAAGTGGGAGGCAACATTATTAGTGTTCTTCTTTACAAACTTAAGGAGGAAGATAAGTTGGAGGAAAACAGAATACTGGACATTGGGATACAGATTAAGATACTTTATTGCATTTGGCTTATTATCAAACAACCTAAAAATGTGTATAGGCTTTGACCCCACAATTCTGCTTTTATGAATTCATCTTAGAGAAATAATTAAGAATGTATGTGATTAATATAGTTGCAAGGGTGCTTACCATGAGTGTGGGTATAAAAGTAAAAGATCAGAAATAGCCTAGACACTTAATAGTAGGAGGTTGAGTAAATAAATGGTATTAGATCTGTAAAATAGAAAGCTACGCAGCTATTAGGTTGGTACAAAAATAATAGCGATTTTCCCCATTACTTTTAGTGGCAAAAACCGCAATTACTTTTGTACCAACCTAATAATATTGTTAAAGTCTATTGACATGAAAAAATATTTATGATATGCAGTTAATTACAAACAGTATTGCAGCATAATTCCATTAATATGCACAGACAGAGGTATATATACCAAAATATTAAGTGAAATTATTTCAAGGCAGGACACAGTGGCTCATGCCTATAATCCCAGCACTTTGGGAGGCCGAGACAGGCAAATTACTTGAACTCAGGAGTCTGACAGCAGCCTAGGCAACATGGTGAAACCCCGCCCTACAAAAAATTACAAAAATTAGCTGGGCTTGGTGGCACATGCCTGTAGTCTCAGCTGAGACTGGGACTGAGATGGGGGGATGGCTTGAGATCAGGAGGTAGAGGCTGCAGGGAGCTGTGATCGCACCACCGCACTCCAACCTGGGCGACTGAACAAGAACCTATCTCAGAAAAAAAAAGTTATTTCAAAGTGGTGGGATTCAAGACATTAATTTTTTTCTTCTTTTTTGCTTACCTGATTTTTGTAAAGCATCTACAATGAACATATATACTTTATGTAATAAAGAAATTAAGTCATTCATAAACAAAGATTTTGAGGTTATCTCTGCAGTCTATGGGTGAAGTTGCTTGGGAATGAAAAAGAAAAGGACAAATGTGAGACACAATCCAGCAAATGTGTCATGACAATTGACAGGACGAGGCAATTGATTAGTTAGAAAAAGCACACAAGAGAAGGGGTCACTGTTAACTACTTTGAGTGTTGAGCGAAGTTATGGACTGAACGTTTGTATTCCCCTAAAACTCATCTGTTGAAATCCTAACCTCTAATGTGATGGTATTAGACGGTATGGCCTTCAGGATGTGACTAGGTCATGAGGATGGAACCCTCACAAGTGGTATTAGTGCCCTTATTAAAGGGCCCCCAGAGAGCTCTCCAGCCCTCTTTCTTCCATGTGAGGATACCAGGAGAAGATGGCTGTCTGTGACCTGGAAGAGGAAGATGGCCATCACTGAACCTGACCATGCTGGCACCCTGACCTCAGACCTCCAGCTTCCAGAACTATGAGCCACTCCTTCTATGACACTTTGTTATAGCCACCTGAACTAAGACAAATGACATTTTATCAAAGATTTTTAAATGGGTAATATTAGAAGCCTCCTTTTAGCACACACACCAATAGCCTTTTCTTTCTTTCTTGTTCTTGATGAAGTCCTGTGATTTCCATAGCTCTTCCTCTTGGGATAGTTCTTTGCAGAGCTTCTTGCCAGTGTTAGCAAGATCTTTGTGTCTCTTATTGGCTGTCTGCTACTAGGCACTGAAAAAAACAAAATCAATTTCAGAAAATAACATATTTTATTTTTTAAAATGTCTGATTCAGGTGGTACACGTGTAGGTTTTTATATGGGTATATTGCATGATGCTGAGGTTTGAGCTTCAGTTGAACCCATCACCCAGATAGGGAGCATAGTACTCAATACGTAGTTTTTCAACCCTTTCCTTTGTCCTTGTGGAGGCCCCAGTGCCTATTGTTCCCATCATTGTGTCCATGTATACTCAATGTTTAGCTCTCACTTATAAGTAAGAACATGTGGTATTTGGTTTTCTGTTCCTGCATTAATTCACTTAGGATAATGGCCTCCAGCTGCATCCATGTTGCTGCATAGGACATGATTTTGTTTTTTGTATGGCTGCATAGTATTCCATTGGTGCATATGTACCACATTTTCTTTACCCAGTTCACCGCTGATGGGCACCTGGGTTGATTCCATGTCTTTGCTATTGTGAATAGTGCTGTGATAAACTTGTGAGTGCAGGTGTCTTTTAGGTAGCATGATCTATTTTCTTTTGGGTTTCTACTGGATAGACACCCAGTAATGGGATTGCTGGGTCAAATGGGAGTTCTATTGTTAGTTCTTTGAGAAATCTCAACACTGTTTTCCGGAGGGACTGAACCAATTTACAATCCCACCAACAGCATATGAGTGTTCCTTTTTCTCCACAACCTTACCAACATCTGCTATTTTTTGACTTTTTAATAACAGCCATACTGTCTGGTGCGAAAGGTTTTGATTTGCATTTCTCTAATGATTAGTGATGTTGAACATTTTTTCATATGTTTGTTGGCTGCTTGTATGTCTTCTTTTGAGAAATACCTGTCCCTGTCCTTTGCCCACTTTTTAATGGGGTAATTTGTTTTCTTCTTGTTGATTTGTTTTTTATAGATTCTAGATATTAGTCCTTTGTCAGATGCATAGTTTGCTAATATTTTCTCCCATTTCGTAGAGTGTCTGTTTACTCTGTTGATAGTGTCTTTTGCTGTGCAGAAGCTCTTTAGTTTAATTAGGTCCCACGTGTCAATTTTTGTTTTTGTCGTGTTTTCTTTTGAGGACTTAGTCATAAATTCTTTGCCTAGGCTGATGTTCAGAAGAGTGTTTCCTAGGTTTTCTTCTAGGATTTTTATAGTTTGAAGTCTTACATTTAAGTCTTTAATCCATCTTGAGTCAGTTTTTGTAGCTGGTGAGAGGTAGGGGTCAAGTTTCATTCTTCTGCATATATTTAGCCAATTTTCCCAGCACCATTTATTAAATAGGATGGAAAATGACATATCTTAAAATTTAAACTTACCAAACAGATCACTTAGAATAAATTTTTAACATGACAAAATGTTGACTTCACTGTTTAATTTTTACCTCAGTGCTTCTGTTTCATTCAAAGCATAGATTTGTTGTTTGTTTTTTTTGGATAGAATATTAACTGATGGAGAAAATGAAGGAAAAAGTCAAAATCTTAGGTGCTAATATTTTTTAATGACAAATTTATTTAGATAAACTCTGAAATGATAACTAAGTCAATGTGAAAACTCCACTGCATTTACATAGAATTTTTTTAAGAAATGTAAACCACCTGGTAATAATAAAAGGATAATAAGAATAGATAACATACAAAATATATACTCTGTGACAGGTACCCTCCTAAGATCCTTACATATATTATCTTATTTAATTTTTGGGGCGTTTTTTTGAGACAAAGTTTCACTCTTGTTGCCCAGGCTGGAGTGCAATGGCATGATCTCCGCTCACCACAACCTCCACCTCCCGGGTTCAAGTGATTCTCCTGCCTCAGCCTCCCAAGTAGCTGGGATTACAGGCATGCGCCACCATGCCCAGCTAATTTTGTATTTTTAGTAGAGACGGGGTTTCTCCATGTTGGTCAGGCTGGTCTTGAACTACCGACCTCAGGTGATCCTCCCACCTCAGCCTCCCAAAGTGCTGGGATTACAGGAGTGAGCCACCGTGACTGGCCTATCTCATTTAATTTTTACAATCTTATAAGGTAGGTACCATTATCATTTTACAGGTGAGAAACTGAGGCACACAGAAATTAAGTTAGCTTGCCCAAGGTCATAGCCAGCAAGTGATAGTAACCTACTCTAAAACTACCAGTTTAAATATGGCTCAATTAAAAAATGTGCACATGAGGTGAACTAGACTTCGTACTTGATGCTAGAGGGAGATATACAAAGACTCTTTCTTTGAAGATTTTGAAATCTAGACAAATATCATAAAATGTTAAATACTAATACAAGAGTGAAATAAAAATTCCAGACAATCTTTTTAAAAATCCACAAAGAATGATTTAACTTCCTTAAACTTTCTGCTTAAACAAGTTTTCAGTAGTACTCTACATAAATGAGCACGCGTAATTTCTAATTCCATCATTGTTAAATTTTTTTGCTGCAGTTAATGACTTCTACAGGAAGTTATGCTTATACAATAGCCAAAACATATGCCTACGAGGTAGAAGCACCAACACAGAAATCAACAATATCCTGGGCTAATTAAGTGTATTTCACATTATTATACTGAACCCACTCTTCAGTTCCACCTTAGCCAGATTATCTGTTCCTATAATTACCCATCATGGAAAGGACCCCCTGTAGGTAGGAATTTCAGGCACATCTGGCAGCCAACTGCACAGGACCCTTCCATCTGCACATTTGCTCTCATGAAAGCCCTGTGCCTGCACTTAATTGGGGGTATAACCAGGTATCTCAGAGACAATTTGGTTGGTGAAAACCATATTATTTTTATCCAAATTGATGTGATGGTCTGATGACTGCAACCACTGAGAACACCGTATTGAAAAAATTAATTTATCTCTTTGTACCTGAAAACATGGACTGACTAACCTTTCCATTTTTCAACCAATTATTTTGACATCTTTTAAATGCAGTCAGAAGATAAATGCTGCTCCACTTCCTTGTTTTTCATTTTTCTTGGCCTCGGTCCAGATGTGGGTATAAATGTTACTTTGTATAAAATGGAGCTGGTTGCTAGTGCTTAATTTTCATGAGGGTAAGGACACAAATGTCTTGCATTAGTTCTGTGAGTTATGGTAAAACCCTTTTCAGTCTTTTTTAGGAGTTAGTGATGTGTTTGATGCTGTGAAGGTTAAGGTAACAGCAACTTCTGTTACAGGTAACCTCTCAAATCTCAGTAGCTTCATCCAGTGGAAGCTCATCTCTCATTCACATAAAGTCAGTCACCAGTGGGGACCCTGGCAGATAAGAGAAGAAAAGAGAGGATGTGAACAATTGAACGGGCAGCTTTTCTGAGCTCTGCCTGGGAGTGACACAGCCCCTTCCGCTGGCCAGAAGGCTCGTGGCCTTACAGAGCTTCGGGAAGTGGGGACGGGGAAGGCAGGGGCTGGCAGACTGGTAGTCCCCAACTTTACAACATGGAAGGGGACTGCAAATTTTCTGGTGAAAGGCCAAGTAGCCACCTGTGCTACAAGTACTAAATCCTGAGGAATTATATATTAGAAAGGGTGAACTCTGAACAGGTCTTTAAAAATAAATGTTTTATGGAGTTTGCATAGAGTGACTAATTTCAGTAAAAGAAATTATATCTATTGATTAAGCACCTACTATGAACAAGTCTCTTGATATACCCAGTGGAAAAGTGGGGAGAATGGGGACAGGTACAAAGATGAATGAAAGAAACATGGTCTGTCTCTCCATGAAGCATGGCAAGGAAATGAATGAAATTTTGTGTACATTATATACGATCTATAAGATGTAATTTAAAACATAATTTTACCTACAGGAAAAGGAGCAAGAAAAATATTTGTAAAGGAAATATTTGCTTTATTTTCTGATTCACGTTTTCATCATAGAAAATTTTAAAAATACAAAAAGGCGCAAAGAAAAAATCTTTCAGCGTCCCTAATCCTATCTCACAGAGATATTCACTATGAACATTTTTCCTTTTGACTTTACATATACACATATTTGAAAAGTTAATGTATGAGGATTTTTTCCAAAGTACTGAAGTTAAGAACATCAGTTGACCTGAATTAACTTATTTGTAATCATGAAGAAATCCTAGAAAGAATGCCAAAGTAAACTGTTTTCCTCTGCTGGTATCTGGAGCACTAAGGTCCATGATTTATCATTAAAAGAGGAGGGGCAGAGGAATGGTTACACCAACTTTCTTTTTTCTTTTTTCACCTCAAATTTTTACTCTGAAACAACCTTTAAACACCCAACAAATAAATGAAAACTTGTTGCTGCATCAAAACCATCATCGAAATGAACTGAAATACCCTTCATTATTCAACCTACAGTGTGTGCAAGGGCCACCAGAATGTGTTCTAGGAGAAATGGCTGCAAGGCCAGGGGGTATTAGGAGAACGTTTCTGGCAGGAATAACTGTCCAAAGGCAACTGGGCTAAGCTAGGAGCTCTCTATCACTAAAGAACCTGGAGCAAAAACTGGAAGACCTCTCCTCTGGAATGCCGAAGAGGGGATCCAAGTATTGGGCAGGAGATAGAGAGGTGCCCTAAAATCCTTTCCCACCCAGGGTGCATAGATATATACCCCATAGGGTCCTGCAGGAGACGATCTGAAGCAGAACTTATTTGAGCTGTTTGGGATTACACAGTCTTCTATAAAACTGGCCCAATCAGAAGATTTCCTAGTCAGCTTGTTGTCCAGAAACAGGCTTTCCTAGCTCTGCGGCGGTTAGGAGTTAAATGCATCACCGTTGGCTCCCCAGACACTGCTGGGACTCAAATGGGTGCAAGAGTGAAGGGGAAGGTGGGAAAAAGATGGAGAAGCAGGGGGGAAGGAAGCCACAGATGTCATCTTTTCAGGATGCTCAGAATTAGCCCTAATGCCCTATAGATAAAGGATTGGTCTGAGAACCAATCAACTCCTTATTTCTGTTTGGCAGCCACCTTCCTCTTCCCCGATCTCCTCTTATTTCAGGTCGGGCTGCAGCAAAATGGCCCAAATTGATCTCGAATCTTTCCAATTTAGGCCATGGAGACACAATCGATATTGTATGGAAAGAATCTCAAGAAGAGATACTTCTTTGCCACATCATGAATTCTCATTCCGTCATTCTCATCCTTTGATTGGCTGCTTTGATCAAACGAGTGGAACTCTAACTTCGAACAGAAAGAGAAAAACAGGGTCAGTAAATTGTGCCATCACACAGGAAAATACCTAAACTAGTCACACTGTTTTGATTCAATTGGCTACTGAAGTTATAGAATGTTGTTTACTCTTCTCTCCTTTGTCTACTCCCCAGCCAACAAAACAACCGACCTTAGCTGTTTTGAAAATAAATGAAAATTCCAACATGGGTTTGAAATAAAATTGCATCATAAACAATCGGTAGGTGTTTTTCAAAGTGGTTTCAGGGAAGTGCCACGGAGTAAGCAGGCGACCACCGAGGCTGCTAAAATATTTCCTGTCCTGACCAGGGTTGCGTTTCTGGAGAATATTTAACAGGGAGGGTTTTAACGCTTTTAAAGATGTTGAAACTAAAGAACAAATATTGACCAGAGGGCACCACAACGCTCCTGAAAGAGAGTAAAATACATCCTTTATAAAATGAAAAACTACTTGGATGAATTATTCCAAAATTCCTGCACAAGTGGACCTCAGAAGGCAGACGGAGGCGCCAATTTGGCATGGCCAGGGCCTGGGCACTCACGCACCAGGGAGCCTCGCGGGTCCGCTCTCGCTCTGTGAGGCCACGGTCTTCCCGCCAGGTTGACTCGAGCCTCCTGCCAGAGCCACTGGCCCCGGAGGCCACCCTAGACCGCAGCTGGCGGCCGCTGGCACGAGTGCAGGGTAACTGAGCCAGGGCCGCTGGCGCATTTGGCCTGGCCGAGGCCACCCCGCGCGGCCGCTCCACTGTGCCCGAGGCTGTCCTGGAGGTGAGGCCGGCCCACAGGGACCCTGCCCGTGCCCGGGCTCCGGTGAGTCAGGGCGCGTTATGCAAGTGCCCCCGGCGCCTCCCCTTCGGTCTTTCACCCCGCGCGGTTACGAAAGCGCGACCCCCTCCCCCCGGCGCTATAAAGCAGCGGGGCGGCCGCGGCGCGCTCGCCTCCCTCGCTCCACGCGCGCCCGGACTCGGCGGCCAGGCTTGCGCGCGGTTCCCCTCCCGGTGGTGAGTCGCGGCCGGGGCCTCGGGGCCGGCGGCGGGATGGGCCGGGGTGGGGTGGGGTGGGGTGAGGTGGGATACGGCGGCGGGGGTCGGCTGCCGGGCACTGACGGAGGCGCGTCTCCCGCAGGGCGGATTCCTGGGCAAGATGAAGTGGGTGTGGGCGCTCTTGCTGTTGGCGGCGCTGGGCAGCGGCCGCGCGGAGCGCGACTGCCGAGTGAGCAGCTTCCGAGTCAAGGAGAACTTCGACAAGGCTCGCGTAGGTATCGGCCCAGGGGGCCCAGGCGGCCCAGGTCCCCACCCCATCCCCGCCCTCCCCGCGGCCCGCCGTGCGCCCCCGGACGCCAAACCCCTGCTGTCATCCTTCTCACAGTTCTCTGGGACCTGGTACGCCATGGCCAAGAAGGACCCCGAGGGCCTCTTTCTGCAGGACAACATCGTCGCGGAGTTCTCCGTGGACGAGACCGGCCAGATGAGCGCCACAGCCAAGGGCCGAGTCCGTCTTTTGAAGTCAGTGGCCGCCGGGGCAGCTGCGCCCTTTGCGCTCCAGGGTTCCCCAAGGGCCCTGCCTGCTGATCGCCACGTGGGCATTGTGAAGGGAAGGGAGCACCGAATGGGTGGAGGGAGGGAGGAAGCCCTTTGCCCGGCTTGGCTGAGGATCCCCTTGGCTTTTGCAGTAACTGGGACGTGTGCGCAGACATGGTGGGCACCTTCACAGACACCGAGGACCCTGCCAAGTTCAAGATGAAGTACTGGGGCGTAGCCTCCTTTCTCCAGAAAGGAAGTGAGTAGTCAGCTCTGTGGGACTGTCTTGGGAATGGGGCGCCTACCGGGCCAAATCGCTGGGTTTCTTCTCCAGAGGTACCTACCCTTAGGAAGAATGGCCTGCGGAAAGGTCTGGAAGTGTCAGGAACCCGCAGCACCACCTGAGGTTAGGGGAACAAGATTGGGAGCAGCTACCTACCCCCTCCCCAAACCTCAGCTCAAGAAACCTGGCCTAAGCTCAAAAGGACCTTTCGGTTTGTCAGGTGTCATTTTCCCCACCAGCCACTGTGCCAAGGTGTGTGCTTTCTCCATGCTTTCTCCTCCTGTCTTTCACATCACCACTCCACCTAGCTCTGCATTTCCTCCGTCTCTTTGGGCTGAATCCCTGAGACAGCTTGACTATCTGGGGCTCCCACAGAGGCCGAGAGAGCCCTATCCAAGGACGGAGGGAACACTGTGCATAGGGGTGGATGCCTCCCAAGTGCCTGGCCTGCTGATGCTGAGATTCTGAGCCAGGCACAGTGTGCTGTGGCTGTGGCCTCTTCCCTTTCCACTAAGCTGTGAAAATCAGATGTGGAGGGGAGTGATGTTGAGGACTTGTAGAAGAACATCCTAAAATTTGGCCTAATCATGAGAAAACAGTGTCTACATGCTCTTTTTCCCATTTTTTTCCCCATTTATCCTAAGTTTCAAATCAGGAATCTACTTGGTAGCTAGAGAATAATGCAGGCCAGGGGACACATATCATGGAATCTTAGAGAGGGAGAGTTAACCTTTTGGAGGGGGTTCAATATGTAGATGAATAAACTGAGGCCAAGAGAACTTTGCCCAAGGACATGCAACAAGTTTGTTAGAGCCAATGTCAGAAGCCAGGCTTCCAAATCTCAGGCCAGGATCAGGTGGCCCTGAACTGCAGGGACTCCTAATCCAGACCAGCTTTTGCAAAGTATTGTTTGAGCTCTTCTGTGAGATAGGACCAAGGGTTGTTCAGGGAGACTCTCTCTGCTCGGTGATCCAGGGTAGAAGTGTCCTTTATTGTAACCCTTTGCTCTCCATATATGGCACACCACCCTCTTGGACTTCCTCTAAAGTTGTGTGTTGGATGAAATTGCATTTTTAAATTTTATTTAATTTTTAATTTTAATTTATTATTATTTTTTTTTTAGAGACAGGGTCTCACTGTCACCCAGGCTGGAGTGCAGTGGCGCCATCATGGCTCACTGCAGCCTCAACCTCCTGGGCTCAAGCCATCCTACCACCTCAGCCTCCTGAGTAGCTGGAACTACAGGCATGGGCCAGCATGCCTGGCTAATTTTTGTATTTTTTGTGGAGTCAGGGTCTCCCCAGCTTGCCCAAGCTGGTCTTGATCTCCTGGGCTCAAGCCATCCTCCCATCTCGGCCTTCCAAAGTGCTGGGATTACAAGTATGAGCCACCATACCTGGTAGAGAAAAAGCTTAGAAGCTTTATTTTTATTTATTATCCTTGGAAATAATAAAAATTATTTCAAATAGTGCAGCAAAACATCCCAAAGTGATTTATTTAGAGTAAAATATACTTTTCTGATAATGGATTACAAAAATCAATACCAGAGGTACAAGATTATTAATTTTTAGAAAGAGGAAACACATATGTTCTATAGCATTTTGAGATGTGCTCCTTAATGGACTAGGATTCTGTTGGCAATGCCTTTAGGCACAGGGTCAGAGAGGACCCAATGAGAAGGGAGCATTTTGTTTCTTGCCTCCTCCCCCTATCAAACCAGATTAGTTTGCTTTTGTCTCTTGTATATTGGTATTTTATCAGGATTTCATTTGGAGGGCGAAAAAGTACTGCCATCTTGAAAGTGATTGCTATAGATATTAAGTGAGATGACTATAATATGGAAGGCTTAAGGATAAATTCCTTCTTAGGTTACATTTCAAAAAAGAAGCTGTGCAGTGTTGTAGTTAAGCCCGCCCGGTTAAAATTAGACCTCCTAAGTTCAAATCCCAACTCCACCACTACTTGTGGAACTTTAGATATGTTCCTTCACTTCTCTGTGCCTATTTCGTCATCTGCAAAGTGAAACGATCATAGAACCTACCTCATAGAGTTGTGTTACAAGATGCAATGAGTCAACAGGCAGAAAGCACTCAGAACAGTGCCTGAGACATGAGTTCTTTGTAAGTGTTTGATATGATGGCTGCTTAGTTATCTCCCTGGTCGTGAAATCATAGCTTTAGATTCTGGGTCTAGAATGGGAGGACCCATGGAGACCACTGGGTTCAAGTCTCTTGTTTTAGAAGTGAAGAAACTGGGGCCCATAGAGAAGTGACTGGCCTAGGGGCACAGGGTGAATTTTTGGCACTTAGTGACACCTCTTAACCCATGGCTTGTAAAAAGGCACAAACAATGCCTTTGTTTTCTGAGTATCTCGCAAATGGCATGGCTTGATGCACCTACCTTGTTCTGTTTTACATGCTTGTTTTGGGGTCATCTTAACAAACTCTACTTTCATTCCTCGTGCCAGTTTCTTCCCTGACCATGGTCTTGCTTTAAACACTGACTTGGACAGAGGGATTTGAAGGCCACTCCAAGAGTGGGCTGCATCCTCAGCCTCTCCCCTGCTCCACACACTGCATCTCACCAAACGGATGTGTTTAAAATGAGGTGCGCTTATGGAGAGAAAGTAACTCAGGGCCAAGCGATCATGAAATTTGTTGTCGAATTATTTTAAAATTAAATGTGATCAATCTCTACAGTTGAATGTCAGTGTTAACAGACTGATGTGGCTTGCTGCTCCAGCCTTGGGCATGCTCCATACTGGTCTTCCCTTCTGGCTCCACCAGCAGCAAGCAGGATGTCTCAGGGGTTGAGGATACTACCATCAGCAGGTCTTGGTTGAATACAGGCTAGCCTCCCTGAGATTTGACTTCCTTCACTATGAAATGGGGATAAAGAATAGTTTCTATTTCATAGAATCATTGGAAGGACTAATTAAGGTAATTTGTGAAAATGCTTAGCCTAGTGCATAGTAAGTGCTCAATAAATATTAGTTATATCATCATTGTTTTGTGCTCTTGTAGAAAGACCTGGACAAAGACTCTCCTTGTGTCCTTCTGTCAGATGAAGTCTGTCACTCTGCTAGTAAAGGGGCCCTTGTCAGACTGAATAACAATGCAAGCCTGAATGTTTACATTAGTGTTGGTCAAAGTCAGGGTTCCTGCTCCATCTATATCTAAATACACTAGGGTGCTTGTTAACAAATGCACATTTCTGGACTCAAACCCAGAATTATGGAGTCAGAAATTCTAAGGGCACGGCCCTGGAATCTGCATTTTAAGTATGCTCCTTGGGTATGCTGTTTCTGCACAATGAAGTTTGAGAACCACTGGTCTAGATAATTCAATCTGAAGAGCTTGGCTTACTCAGGTATCAAGGCCTCAGACTCCACTCACTTTTCTGGGGCCTGTTGGGGTATTTTGACAATGCATCAGAAATAGCATTGAATCTGTTGCCTGGCTGGCTCAGCTGGACTGTTAGGCCTGAGAACCACAGGGAGCTTCCCACCTGGTCTTGCTGCTTTAGATGATTGGAGCATGCAGGTTTAGGGAGCTGAAAGGACACATGCCAGGCCCACAGCAGTGAGCAACAGAACAGACCAATGGAACCAGGTTGCCTGAGACAGCGCCCTCTACCAAGCATTTTCTTTGGTTTTGGGACTGGCAGTCCAAACCGCTAAACCAGTCTGTGTAGGTACAGTATACACACAGCTGCAGCATGACCCCACTTCCTAGGATGGTAGAGGGGAGGCAGGGGCTCCCAGCCACACAGCCACTGCCTCCAACGCTCTCTGTCCCTAGCTCCACTGCATGCGGTTAGCTGGAGTCTGGAAATGGCTGGGGGTGTCTGGTTCTCCAGAGGAGCCCTGCCCAGCTGCCGGGTGTGAGGAGGTTAGAGAACCAACCTCATTCTCGCAGTGCTCTGGCAGTTCATCTCTTGCAAATACTCTTAAAAGGGAGAGCCTGGTCAAGGTCACTATGATTTAAATTCCTCGTCTTTGAATTATTCAGCCAAAAGAGCCTGGAGATTAACCAAACCAACTTAGGCCTTCTTTTAAAGTCAAGAACAGTAGCCAATTTTACTAAATCCAAGTATTGAAAGTTACTTAATTCCTCTGTCAAAATTTAAATGATGGCGACCATTTTGGAGGAAAAAAAAAAAAAAAAAGTTAAGCTGCCGATCGGCCAAGCTAATAGCTGCCTGGATCATGAGTCGAGGTAACATTTCAAAGGCAAGTGTTTTTGTGTCTGAGGGTGCCTGTGACAGACACTGTGATCCTCGTAACCAGGGAAAGAATGACTTCATCCAAGGATGAGGAAGACCACCCAGATACTCTGGAGCCTGTGAGGGGAGTCAGTGGTTAGGGTGAGGCCCAGCAGGCAGCCCTGTGGCTTCTGTTCCCAGCCTTTCTGCTGAATAACTTTATGGTTCCTGCTGAGCAGTCATGGTTCTGGAACATCTCCTCAGCCCCACCTCTGACACTGTTACCCTGGAACAGCCTCAAGGCACAGGAGTGGCTCATTCTCCTGGCAGGCCTAGGGTGAGTTGAAGAGAGGGGCTCCACACCCACTCCTGTGACAGCCCCCCTGCAGAGCCTGGGTTTGGGCTGAACCCCATCCTAGGCTGGCACTCCAGGGGTTCTCAGAGAGGCACACCCAGAGGCAACTTAGGACCAGCATTCCAGGTGGCCTTACACCCTCTAACGCTGGGGGATCCAGTTCCCTCTGCGCTTCTCCAACTGGAACACTGCAGAGGGAGCATCACCCCTTGCTCCAACACCTGAGCCTGAGATGGAGACACAAAGCCTTTTTGTTTCTTGCCCCTCTCCCGTCAGTGTACTGATTGTCTGGAGACAGTGTGGTGTAGAGGTGAAGCATGTGGGCTCTGGGATCACACTCCCTTGCTTGAATCCCAGTTCTGCCCTGCTCTTTGTGACCCTAGGTGAATTATTAAGTATCTCTGTGCCTCAGTTTCCTCACCTGTAAAGTAGAGGATGATAGTGTGCAGTTTTGGATCAATGTGAGAGGTAACCGAGAAAACAAATGGGAGTGTCCATACAGTGACTGGCACATAATTAAGTGCTCAGAAAGTCCCAATCATGGTATTGTGTCAACAAGAAGGTTAAATTAAGTAGAGATGTGGCACTTTTATCTCAATACAGGGTGACACTGTTCTTTCTCTGTGGCAAATCGCTCACATACATTCTTTTTTTCTTTCTTTTTTATTTTTTTAAGACAGAATCTCACTCTCACTCAGGCTGGAGTACAGTGGTGCAAACCTAGCTCATTGTAGCCTTGACCTCCTGGGCTCAAAACGATCCTGCCGCCTCAGCCGCAAGTAGTGGAGACCACAGACGCATGTCACCCCACCTGGCTAATTATTTTCATTTTTCATAGATACCAGGTCTCACTATGTTGCCCAGGTTGGTCTCAAACTCCTGGCCTCAAGTTACCCTCCCACCTCAGCCTCCCAAAGTGCTGGGATTACAAGCACGAGCCATGGTGCCCGGCCACACATATACTCTAATTAACATTCTTTCCTCTCCTGCCTTCGTTGATATTTTTACCACTTTCATTTACTCTTATTCTTCATGGCTTACATTTCAGCCTTGAGGAATACATATAATCTAAATTCAGTGGCTCAGCTCTGCCTCTGTGAGTTGTGAAGAGGACAAGGTCTGAGAAGGAATATCTGATGCCAGATGGTGGGCCTCTTGTGTCCTCAAGGCAAAACCTACTCTTTGCCGGCACAAAGAAGTGAGTAGCATTAATAAGCAGAATTAGGATGGAGCCAGAGAAGCCGTGACCATGGGCGTGGCATCCTCCAGAGGACTGAGAGAGCGGGGGGCAGCCCGGTCAGTGAGTTGATTAGGAACCAGCGATAGAGATCGAGAAAGACATAAGCCAATATTGGGGGTAACATAAGTTGGTGGCCATCAGATATTAGCCACAAAAGACACAGATATTATTGGAGAGTAGATGGTGAAGCGACAGTAGAACGGTTTATTCTGTGGTTTTGATGAGCCCACATTCTTGGTGGTTCTTTGGAAAGATGCTGTCACATTATGCTGACATAATCACAGGGACAGATGATGATTGAAGTGAATGAGATTTCCCTGACTCCAAGATTTTTTTCAATAAAGGAGAACAAGATCCTTTCTGATTTGCCAAATTTTATAAAAGTTGTCAGAATTCTCTGAAGTGTCCTGCTTCCTAAAGAAATAAAACCAGCTTCTGGAAGTCACTGTGTTCTCAGGCCTGGTCGTGAGTTTCTCCGACATCTGAGCCCATGAGGGAAAGGCATTGATCGGCATGGTGGCTTTCTGGCTTGCAGATGATGACCACTGGATCGTCGACACAGACTACGACACGTATGCCGTGCAGTACTCCTGCCGCCTCCTGAACCTCGATGGCACCTGTGCTGACAGCTACTCCTTCGTGTTTTCCCGGGACCCCAACGGCCTGCCCCCAGAAGCGCAGAAGATTGTAAGGCAGCGGCAGGAGGAGCTGTGCCTGGCCAGGCAGTACAGGCTGATCGTCCACAACGGTGAGTCAGGAGCAGGGTGCCTTCTGGCTCTTCCTGCAGGGCAGTGGGTTTGGACTAAGGGGCCCACGTGCTAGTGAAATTCATTTTGTCCGTACCCCAGAGAAAACAGGGGTTCTTGGGAGCCCCTTTCTGAGGCCAAATCCAGATCCTGCTTGGCCAGATTTTTCACTGGCCTTCTCATAGGGCTCATGCAGGTGTGGGTAAAGGCCTTTGTCCAGTTCACTGGCACTAACACTGCCGTGGGCTCTCTTTTCTTTTTATTCTGCTTCCTCGGGCCATTTCTGTGGTCACCCCTGGCTACACTGCCCCAAAAAACCATTGTGACTGAATTAAGATTGTTTGGGATTGAGCAGCCCAGTAAAGAGGTGGGCAGTTCATGTGGCCATTGACGTAAAAACTCCACAGGGGGCATCAATGTAGTAAGCTCCAAAGAGAATGATTTCAACGCACCTTCTTTTTTCTATATGAAACCAAATAGCCATGACATTGTCTAGCTGGGTTTCCTCAGTTGGGGGTTTTGAGATTCTCTGGAACAACCATAGGATCTTTTAGGAGATATTACCCTTGTCTGATCTTGATTTTAAAGCCAGGAACATTGTGCAGGAAAGAGCTCCATTTAGTTTGAGTGGACACTCACTCATTGCTATGGGATACTGGGTTTCAAAATCCAAATACAGTAATGCTAAAATGTAGAGAAACAAAATGGGCCAGGCATGGTGGCTCACACCTGAAATCCCAGCACTTTTGGAGGCCGAGGTGGGCTGATCACATGAGGTCAGGAGTTCAAGATTGGCCTGGCCAACATGGCAAAACCCCATCTCTACTAAAAATACAAAAATTAGCCAGGCGTGGTGGCATGCGCCTGTAATCCCAGCTGCTCACGAGGTTGAGGCAGGAGAATTACTTGAGCCCGGGAGGCGGAGGCTGCAGTGAGTTGAGGTTGCACCACTGCATTCCAGCCTGGGCAACAGAGCAAGATTCTGCCTCAAAAAAATAATAATAATAATAATCAAACAAAATGGAGCATTTCTGTTGGTCACGAACTGACCCACTACACCAAACAGATGGGAACTTAGACCAAAATCAAATTGATTTTGAAGCTTCACCCTTCAAAATTAAATGTAGGGCCAGCAAGGATTCCACCACAGCAGGGCACCGTAGGAAGCAGATTATGCACATTGTACAGATGAGAAAACAGAGGCTGACAATGAGGAAGAAAGTTGCCCTAAATCTTTAATAGGTAGCTGAGTTGGATGCAAACCTAGAGTTTTGTGACTCTGAAGTCCCTTGTGCCACACCATCTGGTGACACATGACATGAGACATAGAAGCACTTTATAAAACCATCACCAGTGTGTCCCAGGTCAGGCTGCCTTGGCTCCCACTTCCTGAAAGCTGAGGGTGGCCTCCGACACTTTGAAATGCAATAAGGCAGACTTAAGAGAAATCAAAGGAAGCCCTGTTCATCCAGCAAGTCATATTCTCTCCACCCCCATTACGTCCAGAGAAAATTCAGTGGGTTTCAGAAACAGCCTTGAAGGTGTTTATGAATTACAGCCACCTGTATCCGTAAGGGTTGCAATCTGCTGTGATGCATTTGAATTAAGAAGCATTTGAATGAAGCCAGCTCTAAGGCCATCATGATGTTCATTATCTACATAAAAACTGGGTCCACTTTCTGTCGTTAATGGCTTTGTTTTGTATTTTCCAGGTTACTGCGATGGCAGATCAGAAAGAAACCTTTTGTAGCAATATCAAGAATCTAGTTTCATCTGAGAACTTCTGATTAGCTCTCAGTCTTCAGCTCTATTTATCTTAGGAGTTTAATTTGCCCTTCTCTCCCCATCTTCCCTCAGTTCCCATAAAACCTTCATTACACATAAAGATACACGTGGGGGTCAGTGAATCTGCTTGCCTTTCCTGAAAGTTTCTGGGGCTTAAGATTCCAGACTCTGATTCATTAAACTATAGTCACCCGTGTCCTGTGATTTTAGTTTTCATTTGTGTTTATGTCTGTGCTGCAGACGGATGGGTGGGGTGCGCTTCTTTATACCAGGAGCACGTGGCTCTTTCTGACCTTTGGCCTGTTCTAGTGCCTAATCTCCATTATTAAATACTGGCTTCTCCCAACTTCCTGAAAAGGAAGTTTCCTCTTTAACTTAGGGAAGCCTTACCTACCAGCCTGGCCAAAGCACTGGTGCCAAAAGAGGAAGTGAGTAGACAGGTCAGTCCAGTGAGCCCAAGTCCTCAGTCAGCCCTAGGCCTGTGAGTGAGGTGGGCGGGCTGGCAGCTCACCAGTGCTGGATTTGAGAGGCTGAGCCACAGGGGACAAAGTGAGCTCTAGGAAACACTCCTTAGCCCTTTATTGTCTCTAGCATGCAGCTCACCTCTTTCAGGTGTAGGCAAAATGTTGATGGGGAGGAGGGAGGCCTCTGGGGAAATTCGAAGATGGGGCTCTGGAATCTCATTCTATAGGAAAGATCAGAGCACCCCCTACCCGGAATGCAGGGAGGGGCTGGGTAGGGGGTGAGTTGCAGGGGCTGGGACAGAGCACCAGCATCCTGCATCATTAGCAGCACGTGGGAACCCTAGTGTATGGGTGCAAGGCCACTTGCCTCAGTTTTCCAGGCGTTCCCAGGGGCCTCCATTTCTCATCTTGAAAAAAGCAGCAAGGCTTTGGTACCAGAGGGTCTTGGTGTAAGTGCAAATCTGCTTCAGATATATATTAGCTGTGGATTTGGGGCTGGTTACAAGGCTTATCTGAGCCTCACTCTTTTCTTGGGAGATAAGGGAAAATAGTCCTTGCCTGATGGGCTGCAGTGAGGATTCAATTAGGCAATGTCCCTTAGAGCTCTGGGGAGCTGTGAAACCGGTGATGCCAGGCTGATGTCTATGAAATGCACTGGGAGTGAGGAAAGGGTCACAGATCTCCGCCTGGGTGTTGGAATATCCAGGGACCGTGGGAGGCTCCCGGGGGCCCCATGCTAGTGTTCTCCACCAAAGACAGAGGAGACAGGTGATGTGCATGGGAGAGCTTTGCCTTCCTCTCTCACGGAACCACAGGCTGTCAGAGCCTTGCTCCGCAGCTTCAGTTTGACAACCTCAGAGAACCATAATGATATAGGAGTTAAAAAGAAATTACTCGGGCAGATAGTGAGGGTATGGAAGTCCTTGGTAAGATTTTCCTTTTAATGAAAAGCAGCCCCTAAATCCTTTTCTAACAAAAAGCAGCTGTAAAATCGTGCTGCAGACATAGACAAGCAAGTTGGAAGCTTGCATGGGTGAATGCCAGCAGTTGTGTCCATTGGAATGTACTACCTAAGACTAAGCATGTTCAAAATGGCGGCTCCGTCTTCTCTTTTTGCCAGCTATGAGTGCAGTAAGGAGAAGACAAGATGGCCAAGTGGAAAGTCCATTTGCATAATCAGATTTGGGTGGGGTGGCCAGCCTTTCTCGTGCACTACGTAAACGTCACACCTGGTCAAACCAATCTGTGAGCCCTATGTAAATCAGACACCACCTCCTCAAGCCTGCCTATAAAATACGCTGTGGTCCACCACTTTTCCCTTTTCAGATGCCTCTGTCTCACGAGAGAGAGAGCTGCTCTCCTCTCTCCTTTCTTCTGCCTATTAAACATTCTGTTCCTTAACCCACCCACATATGTCCGTGTCCTTAATCCTCTTGGCGCAAGATGACAAACCCCGGTTATTTACCCCAGACAGCAATGCCGCTTCAATAAGATAGCCACACATCACTTCCAAAAACAGGTTTAATTGATCAAATCTATTAACTAAAGTGAGCAAAACATCTCTGTTCGTTTGTCTTCGAGCTTGTGATATCCATGAATCTGACTTCAGAAGCAAGCTGCTCCAGAAACTGCATAAGCAGTCACTACTGCTGGTGCTGATTTCCTCAGCAACAAAGATTTGTTGAACACCTACTATACACCAGGCCCCGTGCTGCTGTGCATTCCAGCCACTGGCCCAGCCTCCAAGTGGTGGAGTGACCCTGGGTTCGGTCTTTGGCTCTGGTTTCTCTCTATCTCTCCAAGGGATGTATTATAAAACCATAGGTCTATAAACACCATTTATATCTCCAAACAATGTGCATCTCCAGGCCCAAGCTCCACATCTCTGCATCCAACTGCCTATTCAATTTGGAAGTCTCACTGAGATTTCAAACTGATGAGCTCCAAATGAAACTCTTGGCTCCCCCCCCCCTAATCTTTGCCCAGGCCCCCCCATTTTTGTTGCCTGCTTCACCATCCAACCAATGACAGGCTAAAAAATCAGAGTATTCCCCTTGAGTTCTCCCTTTCCCTCACATTCTATCAATTCCATCCTTCCCATCAATAAATCATCTTTGTTTTACCTTCCCAAGGTATATTTACAAGTCATTTCTCACAATCCCTCCCTAATGCCACTCACCTCCAAGGTCCCATCCCCATGTCACACTTCAGCAGCTGCCCAACTGGTCTCCATTTTCACTCATGCTCCTCAGAGTCTATTCCCTGCCCAGCAGCCAGGGTAATCTTTGCACACATTCATCAGGTCACGTCAGCCTCCAGTTGCCAACCTCCAGGGGCTTGGAGAACAGAATAAACTCCTAGGCCCTATGTGATCTAACCCTGCAATTTCTCTGGCCTCAACTGACAGGCCCCAGCCGGGTACCCCTCATCTCAGCATTAAAGGCAGTGCCTAGTGCAGAGGAGGCTCCATCAATAGTCGGCTTACGCCACTCTCCCTTCAAGCGTGTCAGCCTCCTTGCACTAACATCTCTTCTGTGTCCCTTCCCCCATTCACACAGGTGGCCCTTTCTTGTCGCTTACCTTTTGATCCAATTTGTCACTCCTCAGAAAGGTCTCCTTAGGCCCCTCCCCATCTGATCTAAATTCCCATCACTACCATAGCCCCCGTCCCATTTTCTTCACAGTGCTTATTCGCTCTGTGATGCTATACTATTTATTGACTTGTAGCCAGGCGTGGCGGCTCACGCCTGTAATCCCAGCTACTTGGGAGGCTGAGGCGGGAGGATTGCTTGAGCCAAGGCATTTGAGGCTTCAGGGAGCCGTGATTGTGCCGTTGCACTCCAGCCTGGGCATTGGAGCAAGACCCTCATCTCAAATATATAGGTATCTGTATATAGATATAGTTTATTGACTTTTATTTAGTTT
The DNA here is from genome assembly GCF_000001405.40 of Homo sapiens. NCBI lineage: Eukaryota > Metazoa > Chordata > Mammalia > Primates > Hominidae > Homo > Homo sapiens. The sequence continues at coordinate 93,588,650 of NC_000010.11, read as the reverse complement.
TTCTGCCCCTGACTCGAAGGTAAGTTCCCTGAGAGAGGGCCATGGCTGTCTGGTTCACCACTGTATTCCTAGCACAAAGGACACTGTCTGCCATGGCTGGTGCTTAAGAGGCATCTCTGCTGGATGCGTCAGGAGTAAACCACTCCTGAACTCACTCTCAAACATTTCAGAGCCATCCTACTTTCTCTCTCATTTCATGATGCCGATTCTCTTAAAAGGGTCCATAGCATTTTTATAAATGAAAAAAAAAAAAAAGTAAGTCATCTTTAACTGTTCCTTAGAAATTCTTCAATTGCTCTTGACATCAACGAATGATCCTAAACCCTTGCGAGTCCAAGGTAGGGCACAGGGTGGCTGTGACCCTTCAGAGGAGAAATCTGCGTCCTGAATCGGTTCTAAGACTCACTTCAGAAACCACTATGGTGTGGCTTTATATGTAGGAGATGTGATTGCTGAACAGTCATAAATAAATATTTATTAAATTTGATCATATTACAAACACACTAAAAAAGTTCACATTTAAAAGGAACCCATAACAAATCTTTTTTTTTTTTTTTTTAAGATGGAGTTTCACTCTTGTTGCCCTGGTTGGAGTGCAATGGCACGATCTCGGCTCACTGCAACCTCTGCCTCCCAGGTTCAAGAGATTCTCCTGGTTCAGCCTCCCAAGTAGCTAGGATTACAGGTGCCCACCACCACTCCCAGCTAATTTTTTTTTTTATTTTTAGTAGAGACGGGGGTCTCACCATGTTGGTCAGGTTGGTCTCGAACTCCTGACCTCAGGTGATCCACCCACCTCAGCCTCCCAAACTGCTGGGATTACAGGCATGAACCACTGCACCTGGCCAACAAATCCTTTTATAAAGGGAAAATATTATGAAACTTGGTGATCACCCCTTAATTTACCGACGCTGTGGATGTCTATTTGCATAGGTTCATTTTCTTAAAGCAGGGTGCACTGATGGAGGGTACTGGAAATGAACTCTGTTTAAAAGCATGCCACAGCTCGCCAGGTGTGAGAAACTCGGCTATAAAGAAAAATTAGCCAGAAATAATCGACAAGTCATTTCTTTTGACAGATGTGTCTGTTAAAATGGCTCCCTTTTCTGGGAACCAGAAGCAGCAAAAAATTTTCTTCCACTCATTCCTGCACAGTGTCATGTTGTAGAGGATGGGGTTTAGGGCTGAATTAGCAAATGTGAAGGCCACCACCCAGAAGAAGAGGGACGGCCAGATGACCAGGTCTTGCTTGAAGTTCTGGATCAGGATGAGGAGGATGGTGATGATGATGGGGCTCCACATGATGAAGAAGGAGACCATGAGGAGGAAGAGGGTGCGGAAGAGCCGGAAGTCCTGCTGGGACACGCGGATCTGGTGGCTCTCCGAGTAGGCCAGGCTTACCGTGAGCCTCTTCCTTGATGCCTTTGTGATCTGTGGAAAACCAAAACAGGACTGGAGCCACAGGTGACCGAGGGTTGTTGGGGATTTTGAGTTAGGGGCCCAAGAGTTGGAATCTGCTATCCCCAAGGCACTGAAGCTGTGTGCCTCTGGGACTTTGTGTGCCCGAGCTTAGGATGTGCTGGAGAAATGGGACCCCGGCTGCACTCCTGAGAAATAAAGCAGAAAATCACCTACCTTCTAAACAGCGTTATGAGGGGAAGTGAAAAGCCTGAATTGGGTGGTCTACAAGAGGGACATCTTCCCTGTTATTTTTTTAAAAGAGATGTCTCTTTAATTGTTTGCAAGCACAATGTGCTTAGGGTTCAAACTCAAACAATGCTATACTGATGGGGAACAAATGAAGAACATCTGGCCTTCTCTACCCTCTATTTCCACCCTGGGAGGTGACTAACGTGAGTATTTTCCCATATGGCTTTCTGGAAATGCACCACTGCCACACACAATATTCCTGGCGTGGGATTGCAGGCATCTGCTCTTTTACCTGGTACACAGATGGGCCCACACCACGCACCACACTCCGGGCCTTGCTCCTTTTTCACCTAGCAGTATATCATGGTGCTCGGGCCATATCTGCACAGAGAAGGCACTTCATTCTTGTTATCTTCTGTAAATGGTGGTTGCAATTTATCTAGCCCCTATTGAGGAGTATTTTATTTCTTTGGCCTTGTTTGGGGAGGTAGCAGCTGAAATAGCAGTGTGCATACTCTTCCCCTCTCTCCCTATATTATTCCGTTCTCATGCTGCTATAAGGACATACCCAAGACTGGATAATTTATAAAGAAAAGAGGTTTAATTGACTCATAGTTCTGCGGGGCTGGGGAGGCCTCAGGAAACTTACAATCATGGCAGAAGGGGAAGAAAATGTTTCCTTTCTCCACACGGTGGCAGGAAGGAGAAGAATGAGAACCAAGCGAAGGGGGAGACCCTTATAAAACCATCAGATTTCATGAGAACTTACTATTACGAGAGTAGCCTGTGGGAAACCATCCCCATGATTCAATTACCTCCCACCGGGTTCCTCCCGTGACATTATGGGAACTACAATTCAAGATTATGGGGATTATGGGAACTACAATTCAAGATGAGATTTGGGTGGGGACACAGCCAAACCATATCACTCCCCTACAGGTTGTTGAGTGGGAGATGGCATACCAGTGTGGCAGGCCAGGCAGAAGGGAGCACTGGACCCCACCCTAGGTTCCTTTCCTTTTGCAGGAGCGGGAGAAAATGGATCCTAGTCTTGCCTACAGGCCCCTGAGTCAGGGGTTAAGGAAAGATGATGTGATCAGAGGCTGCTCATTTGCTGGGGCAGCTTCTGTCAGGAGCCAACCTGAAAATGAAGCTGAGTGTGGGAAGGGTCTGCCCATACCTGGTGGGAGTGGGTGTGGGAAGGGCCTGCCCATGGGTTGGAGTGGGTGCTGCTTGGGAATGATCCCCTCATCAACAGGGCCTGTTGGCACCATCACCAGACACAGGGAAATCAGAGGCAATGACCAACAGAAGGGGGCAACCACCTCATATGGGCAATCATGCAAGTTCCTTGTCCTTGTGGGAGACCAGACCACTGCCAGGGCAGCCCATCCTCCTTCTCTGTCCTCCTCCCAGCTCCAGCACCACAAACCCACATCCTACGCCTTGGGCAGGGGAAGCTTTGAACTGACTATGAGATTGACATTGTAAAATAATCAAAAAATGACTGGAAAGCTCTGTAAATCAGACATAGGTGTCATTAAAGGTGCCCCTGCCCCAGCAAGAAAGAGGAGCTTGTCAGAGCACTGCTGGTGATATTTGTGGAAAATGACCATTTTACATTTATGTCCCCTGTTGAGAGGTGGCAACTGGGGGAATAAGCCTCCTCATGCGTATCCTTGCACACCTAGGTGAGCATGTCAGTAGAATAAATTCCTACCAGTGGAGCTGCTGGGACCTCTAATATTTTGTATTAATGAGCAGGGCTGGCAGTGAAGCAGAGGCATGGCAGGCAATGAAGGCAGCCCTGGTTATGTGGGCTTAGAAGGGGATTCTGGACTCTTCTTTCAGGAGATCCTACAGGTGTCCCCCAAGACTCCTGAATCTCAAGAGGGGGAGTAATGGAAGGTAATTAACATCATTCACAGTTCAGGTAAATTTAACTGCAAGATCAGAATGGCTGAAAATATTCCCGTTAGAATACTTGTAACTAGGCTGGGCGCAGTGGCTCATGCCTGGAATCTCAGCGCTTTGGGAGGCTGAGGCGGGCAGATCGCCTGAGGTCAGGGGTTCGAGACAACCCTGGCAACATGGTGAAACCCTGTCTCTACTAAAAATACAAAAAAATGAGCAGGGTATGGTGGTGGGCACCTGTAATCCCAACTACTCAGGAGGCTGAGGCATGAGAATCGCTTGATCCCAGGAGGTGGAGGTTGCAATGAGCCGAGATTGCGCCACTGCACTCTAGCCTGGGTGACACAGTGAGGCCCTGTCTCAAAAAAAAAAACAAAAACTTGTAACTAGCTAATTAAAGGATAGTTGTTTGTTTTATGATTCAATGTGGCTGCTTGCTCTGTGCAGGAGTTTAGGTCCACCTGTTGATGGTGGAGACCAGGGCAACAGATGCTGAGTGAACAGCCTCATAGTCATACAGATCTCTAGCTTTACTGAGGGCTTCCGTGTGGCCGGCACTGTGCCGCACATTTACTTCTCAGTCGTCACATTTAATCTTCATACCTACTCTAGATTTGTACTATCATTGTTCCCACTTCCCAGATGAGGAAATTGAATTTCAAGAAATTTAAGAAACTTGTTGAAGGTCACTCCACTGATAATACAGGGTCAGAGCCCCCATCTCTGAAAATCTAGCTCAGTGGGATTAAAGATGAGACAAATTACAAAAGTCTCAAAAGGGATGGCCACACTATTCAGCTCTCCCCTCCCCTCAATGGCTCTGCAGGGTGAAGGTTGCTCAGGATACACAGGGCACCACCTCGGGCTCAAACGCCAGAGGCCATATTGGCACATCCAAGTCTGGAAGTCATTATGTAGAATCAAAACTAGAACTTGTGTTCCGGTGAAACCTGGTTAATCTAAGGAAGCTGCCTTGGCTGTTAGATCTAAGAGAATATCAGTTGGGCAGGGTGTCAGGTGGGTGGGCTGCAGAGGAATTGGTACCGCCTCTGAGTAAGGATATCGCTCTAGGCCTAAGCACAGGCTGGGGGACCCACAAGGGCTGATTCTGACAGCAGCTTCATCCCTCTTGCTGCCCACACCATCCTAAGAAGGGCGACAATGTACCCAGGGTCCCTGGTGTAGTGTCGCAAAAATACTTTTTGATGAGTGATGTTGATGAAGGCTCACATTTATGGAGCACCTACTATGTGCCAGGCCCTTACCTATCACTTAGTTTACCTTTTTAAATTCTCCCAACAATTCTGTGACATATGTACTGTGATGATCCCCATTTTACAGATGAGGAAGCTGAGGCTCAAAGAGCTTACAAAACTTGCCCACCAGTACTCAGCTAAGAAGCTGCCGAGGTGGACTGCCAACTTGGCAGCCTGACGCCAGCCCATTGTCTTTATCATAAACTAGTTCTTTCCCACTCTCTACTATCTCTGCCCATGGGAATCCTTCTGCCCAGGCTTTAACTCCAAACTCTAATGCCAGGAACTCTGAGAAGGATTCCTGGTTCATCTCCCGCTTGGCATCTTGCAGCATTTTGTTTCAGGCACTCATGCGACAGTTGCCACATACACTATGTGGTAGATGTCCAGGCGTCCTACTTTTTTTTTTTTTTTTGAAGCGGAGTCTCGCTCTGTCACCCAGGCTGAAGTGCAGTGGCGCCATCTCGGCTCACTGCAAGCTCCACCTCCTGGGTTCACCCCATTCTCCTGCCTCAGACTCCTGAGTAGCTGGGACTACAGGCGCCCGCCATCACGCCCGGCTAATTTTTTTTTTTTTTTTTTTTGTATTTTTAGTAGAGACGGGGTTTCACCGTGTTAGCCAGGATGGTCTCGAACTCCTGACCTCGTGATCCACCCGCCTTGGCCTCCCAAAGTGCTAGGATTACAGACTTGAGCCACCGCGCCCGGCCCAGGCGTCCCTCTTACCTCTGACCCGGATATGGTTTGGATCTGTATCCCTAACCAAATCTCATCTCGAATTGTAATTCCCGTAATCCCCACGTGTGGAGGGAGGATCCAGGTGGGAGGTGTTTGGATCATGGGGGCAGTTTCCCCCACGCTGTTCTTGTGATAGTGAATGAGTTCTCATGAGATCTGATGGTTTTATAAGACAGTTTTCCCTCCTCCTGCTCACTCTCTTCTCTCTCCTGCCACCATGCAAAGAAGGTCCTTGCTTCTCCTTCTGCCATGATTGCAAGTTTCCTGAGGCCTCCCCAGCCATGTGGAACCGAGTCAACTAAAGCTCTTTTCTGTATAAATTGCCCAGTCTCAGGCAGTTCTTTAAAGCAGTGTGAGAACAGACTAACACAGACCCCCACCAGACTACAGGTTCCTTGGGGGATGGGAGCTGAAGCAAGGCATGCCTGTGTCTTCTGTGACCCAGAGCCCTAGCAGGTACCTGACAATGGCTGCGGGTGACAGACAAAGTGGGCTCACTCATGGACCAAGTGCTTAAGTGGATGGATTTTTTTTTTTTTTTTTTTTTTGAGATGGAGTTTCGCTCTTGTTGCCCAGGCTGGAGTGCAATAGTGTGATCTCGGCTCACCGCAACCTCCACCTCCCAGGTTTAAGCAATTCTCCTGTCTCAGCCTCCTGAGTAGCTGGGATTACAGGCATGCACCACTACACCTGGCTAATTGTGAATTTTTAGTAGAGACGGGGTTTCTCCATGTTGGTCAGGCTGGTCTTGACCTCCCGACCTCAGGTGATCTGCCTGCCTTGGCCTCCCAAAGTACTGGAATTACAGGTGTGAGCCACCGCACCTGGCCTGGATCTTTTTTAGCACTGAGAGATGCTACTATCTCCTTCTCTCCACAGTTCCCACCACTGGTAGGGTGCGAGGAAGAAAAGGGGGCTTTATAATCAAATGTGGCTCCTCTCCTCCTCCTCTCCCCATGCTAGATGTCAAAGATAATTAACATTGATCCAGGATTTCAAATGTCTTCTGCACTGGGCAGAATGCTTGATGTGCTTTTAGATTAAACTAAATGCTCAATTAACTTTTGAGGATTAATCCTAATCCACAGAACAAGCCTCTGGGATAGGTTCTGTGGTTGCCGCAGTTTTGGAACTAAGAGGCCCTGAGAAGAGAAGTGATTTGCTTGAGCCTCACAGTCAAGTAGGGGAGTGTACCCCATGCCAGGTGCCAGTGTCTTCTCCGGTGAGGCACAGCACCTCAGCAGAGGTGGACAGCATCTGGGGAATGTGGTCCACGGCCACCGAGTACATGATGACATGCAAATGCTGGGGGGCCCCTTCAGACATTCGGATTGTGTGGGGCTGGGTGAGGCCCAGAAATCTGCAAGTTTCCTAAACTCCCCGGGTGATTCTTGCCCACTGAAGTGTCGCAGCTGCTCATCTAGGACAACAGACTCAGTCTGGAGTTCCCCTCAGTCCTTTGAGGACAGACCTTTTTGAGACTCACTGCCTCCACACCCACATGAGCTTCTGAAGACCGTGGGGTAGTCTCCACCCTACCTCACACCCTTCTGCCACCCCATGCCAGCAGACCGCTGCTGCCAACATGTGGGGATGGGTAGAGGATGTTCCCACTGACAAAGTTGGGACTCAACCCTGAAGGTTGAGTCTCCTCTGGGAGCTGCTTGGTCAATCAACAGCCTCCCTTCTAGAATCACTGGACAGAAAATTCCATCTTTCCAGAGATTCCACCTACCCTTCCACGACCAGCATGCAGGCCCCCAAAGCTGGGGAATGCAGGTCAGGCGTGGAGAAAGGGCTTTGTGTTCACTGTCTAACACCCTCATGTTCAGCGGAAACAGATTTTGTTTCTCAGTTTAGCCCTGAGGCAGGCTGAGGGTTTTCCATCTGCAAGCCATAGACTCACTTATTCGACAAATATTTATATGCCCCTGCTATGTGCTAAGCACTCATAGGTGCTGGACACACAGCAATAAGCAAGGCAGCTCCACCCACGCTGCTCTTCCATTCTGGTGCATATGTGGGCAATGAGAGGGGGATCAATAAACATCCACTGTTACAAAAGGGTAGAGGCATCTCAGTTGTCATGGCAACAGTTGCTGGGCGATGACGTCAAGCAAGCCCCAAACAGTGGTGACAGCCTGATCCGAAGGCACTTAGAAGTCGCTGGGAGGTTATTCCCTTGGGAAAACTGTTGATTGGAAAAAATATTGAAGATGTATGGCATGTTTGAGTCACAAGGAAAGAGGAAGCAGGGAGGGCAGAAGGATGAATAAGGCCACTGCTCCAAGCACATGAAGCAGCCCCTGAAGGGTGGGCAGTAGGGAAAGAGCCAGGGCGAAGCCTGCTCTGAATTCTTGCCCAGGTCAGAACCAGGAAGGAGGGTGGAGACTTTAGAGCAGGGTTTCCAAAAAGGCATTTCTTGGAGCACCAGTGCAGAGAGATGCTCTGTGGAGAAAAGGGGGTTCTGTAGTCACGTTTAGCAATGATACCTATTCTATTACTGTGTGGGAGATCCTCAAAGTATATTGGCATAATAAAGGTCCTGAGAAGTCCTGCAGCAAAGAATCCAATCTAGCCTATCCCAGCATTTCCCAAACCCTTTCTAACACCTAACATTGCCATGGCACTCTACAGAGCATTCTAGGAGACACACTGCTTTAGAGCAATAGAAGACCAGGGTGATGTGAAAAAGAGACACTTCTCAAGCCTGGAGATGAGACCTGGGTTACAGGAACTAGTGACAGGTGAGAAGTGGGACTGGTGGTGCTGTAGTGTTTGTATCCCATGGTGTCAAACAATTTGTGAATTGTCTGTTATTATGCCTAATTAACATTGATGTTCAATTGATTTTACAGAGTTATGTAAAACCAAGCTTCACAGAAAAAGCTTGGACAGAAAAGCTGACTCAGTATCTCTGAGTTACGTATATCTTCACAGGGGAGGAGATGCAAACTGAGGCCCTGCTTGCACACTCCATCCACCTGGTATAGCTTGTCTGCTTCCAAATTATCAGCCTGGCAAACTCATGGTACCAAGTGAGGACAAATGTCATAGTCCTCCTGGGAAATGGGCAACAGTGGATTTTGCTAATAACGTGGAAAGTAATTTTTAAGTGATATTTGGATTAAAATTGTGATTTTTAAAACATTATCATATCTGCTCTTTCATTTTATTGTGTTAATCCACTGAGGCATATTTGGCTCCTGCGAAACTGAGGTTCACATTACTTAAGTGACTTGCCCAAGGTCACACAGTGATAAAGCCTGGATTAGAACTTCTGTCTTAGGACTCTTTGTCCAGTGATTTTCCCACTGTCCAAGAAGAGACGACCCTGTAGACCCCTTTCAATGTGATCCAAGGCTCATGCCTCATTCATTCAACAAATATTTATTGAGCACCTACAATGAATGAGCCAGGCTCTGATCTAGGCATAGGAATATAGCAGTGAACAAACCAAAACCTCTGCTCTCATGGAGCTTGCATTGTAGTGGGCAAGACAGATGACTGTCATAAATTGAATATGACAGGTGTAGTAAGTGTTTGAAGAGAAATAAATCAGGATAAGGAATTGGAGATTGATGGGAAGACTTTTTGGTGAAGAGCTTTTTGAGTAAAAACTAAATGAAGTGGGGAAGTGACCCATGCAGAAATCTGGAGAAGAGAGATCAAGGAGAACAAGTGGCAGGTGCAAAGGCCCTGGGGCAGCAGTATGGTGGCCAGTGCGCAGTACAGCCTCAAGGCCAATGTGGACACAAGGGAGGGTGAAATATGAAGGTGAGAACGGCAGCGGGGCCAGACCACACAGGGCCTTAAGGTGAGGGTGGTGATGGAATGTAAATTACATATTTGCTCTGTTACTCTGTTACTCAGAGTGCCCTTTTACCTCACTGTGAGTCACGACAGCTCTTGCATCCAGGAGGTGTTCCGAGGTCTGTAATGGGGAGAAGTGAAGGCCGGCTGTGGGTTTAGACACAAGGTGCTTCGAGAGTAAACTGCTGTTTAGAGGTGGGTGGCTAAAAGGACAGCTGCCCCAACTCCTCAGGTCTCAGAATTTTTCCAGGTGGACCCTGGCCTTGAGAAAAAGATGGGGGTGGGTGGAAAATCATTCCTTCCTCAGCAGGCAGCTGAGAAGCGTGAGGTACGAGTGAAAAGGGGCAGACCAGAGCCCTCTTGGCGCCTAAGGAACTCAGGAGTGAGACCTCCAGGAAGGAGGTCAAATGCTGCCGCCCCTTCCAGCCAGCCCTGCTCTAGCATCAATTCCTTGTTCTTGATGTGCTCCAAATCTGGGCTGTTGTTTATCCTCTTGCAAATCTTAGCAGCACCTTTTCCCAGCATGCTCTGAGACAGGGGTCGGAAGAGCAGCCTTGCCTAACAAATCACGACCGTCATAATTTATTCATCACCTGCTACAGGCAGGCATGGCTCTCTCTGTCCCATCAGTAGCATCTCCTACATGCCTCACAACAACTCTGTACTGCTGGCATTATGTTTGCTATTTTGCAGATGAGGAAACTGAGGCCCAGAGATGGTAACTAAGCTGGCCAAGGCCACACAGCAAGTAAGTGGCAGATTCAAGACTCAAACCCAGATTATTAAAATAACACTGTCAAGTCTCTGTGTCTGTCTTCATGGCCTTTTGTTTTTCTCGTTTTTTTTTTTTTTTTTTTTTTTTTGAGAGGGAATCTCACTTTGTTGCCCAGGCTGGAGTGCAGTGGCACGATCTCGGCTTACTGCAACCTCCTCTTCCTGGGTTCAAGTGATTCTCCTGCCTCAGCCTCCACAGTAGCTGGGATTACAGACGCCCACCACTACGCCCGGCTGATTTTTGTATTATTAGTAGAGACGGGCTTTCACCATGTTGGCGAGGCTGGCCTTGAATTCCTGACCTCAGGTGATCCACTGGTCTCACCCTCCCAAAGTGCTAGGATTACAGGCGTGAGCTACCACACCTGGCCTGCTCTTCTTTCTTATACCCCTTATTCGTCCCTTACGTTTGTGTAGCATTTAACAGTTTGCAAAGTGTTTGCAAAGTCTCAGTATCATTCCACCTTGTGTTCAGTTTCTCTCCTTTCGATATCAGCACCCTTGTCTGTCTCCTCCCTCTTCCCCTTTTATGTCAAAGCTTCTTCTGGATAGAGAATGTGTCTTGCTCGGTTTTTAGCCCACCTCCCTTCCCCCAAGCACTTCGCACAGAGCAGGCCCTTAACACATGTCTGAGGAATTAATGCATTGGGACTCTAGGGTCAGACTGCCTGAATTTAAATCCTGATTGCCACTTACAAGCTGTGTTACCTTGGGTAAGTTACTTAACCTCCCTGTGCCTGGGTTTCTTCATCTGTAATTCTTATCAGAATTAAAGAGTCAGTTCCTGGCATATGGTCAACACTATGTAAATATTTGTTAAATAAGTTCTACATTTATCTTCCTTTTTCTCTCACCTCTTTCCTTTTAACTTAATGATAATAGCTAACACTTACATAGCACTATCATATGCCTGGTCCCATCGCAAGCACTGTCCAGACCTTAACTCCAGGCCTGAATCTGCCTCCTGCACTTGAACAAGCCTCAGGCTGGGTGTCACTTTAGTGGTCATTGGGTGGGCAAGAGTCTAATGAGTGACATGGAGGGGCCATCTCCCACAGGACCCAGGGATTAGCAGACCTGGATGGAGGTTGGCCTGGCTATGGGTTCTGAGCGTCTAAGAAGGTTACAGACCCTTAGCTGCAAAGAAAGGGCCATAAAAGTGACCAGAGAGTGAGCAGGCCCTACAGGGCACCACTTCAAGTGCCTACTTGCCAGATGACCCACACATGAGATGCTATAAAACCAAGATTCAACAACTATAAACCTCCACGAGGATTCAAGGGCTTTGCATTAAACCTTCTAAAATGGGCATAAACATGGATGCACCCATGCTGTTTGCCTGGGCAGGCAACTTACTCACAAATGGGCTACCTTACGAGATATAAAACAGGCTGACTCGTCCTTTTTATGTCCCTGTACATATTTGTTTTAAAGGTAGAGATCATTTCCTGTTTCAGTGCACATTTGAAATGGGCATTCCCTGGGGGTGGGTGGAGTAGCAACTGGAAGATAATAGGAGGGACTTCTGGTAATATTCCATTTCTTGACCTGGGAGCTGCTTTCATGAATGCACTCAGTTTGAGCCTACACCTATGCTCAGTGTGCTTTTTATATATGTATATAATACTTCAATAAAATGTTTTAAAAAGTATACATTCTCCAGTACTGCAGTGTTTGCGATGGGGAAACAATGGACACAGCCTAAAAGACCATAAAATAAATGAAGTCATATCTGTAGCCACTAAAAATAATGAGTTAGAGATATAGGAATGATGTGGAAAGATGTTAAGATATAATGTTAAGTGAAAAAAGGAGTTACAGAGCAGAGAGTATTATCTCATATCTGAAAAGAACATTGAACAGTGTCAGATAACCATTTGACCATTTTAACCTGCAATTTCATATGGTTCATCAAATACACACACAGTATACATGACATATACATAAGCTTATAAGAAAAATAACCTGAAAAAATACATCTTGAATTGTTAAGAAGGTAGAGTAAGTTTTCAGTTTCTGTGTTATTTACATTTATGTGTCTGCTTTCATTTTAATTTAATTTTTTGTAATGACCTAGTATTACTTTAGTGATGAGCAAAAACATAATCACAAAGATATAACTTCTAAAAAAATCCTCTCCTTCCTCAGTGTTGTAGACCTGGGCAGTGAATCAAGATTGAGCTGGCGTGAACTCTTAGGTGTTCTCCGACCCCAAATTCTAAGATTCTAGCAGAAATAACCCCAAGCCTGGGTGAAGTTCAGTGGCAGCACTTGCAGAAAACATACCTGTAAAATTTTGGAGTAACTGATCACAATGACCAGTCCTGGCACCAAGAAGTTCAAAGTAACAAAAGAGACATCCCACGAGATCTCTCCAGGAATGGTGGGCCAAATCAGTGTGCAAATCGAAATTTCCTAGTTACAAAAAGGAAAAGAACATCATGTAAATGCTGGCTTCTTATTGGCCTCTGGCTCAGTCTTATTGAGGGTTTCCTGACACTTACACGGTTGCATTGCCCAGTTACACAACTAGCATGACAGTGAACCCCAGAATCCCTCCCACTGCCCACCACAATCCCACTTGCAAAGCACTTGCCCCTGACCCTCAGAATAGCCATGATTATGTTTTCTGTTCTCCAGGGACAGCAACTGAGCCTCAGGCTTACAGGGTGGTAAGAGCTAGAGTCGGTTCCTAGGTGTGGTCTTTCCACTTCCCTGGGCTGACATGCAAAGGGCTTTCGAGCCTTCTCTTCCAAGCCTGCCATTTTACAAAGGAGAAAACTGACCCCTGAAAGGTTACAGAGATCGGAAAGGACATGCTACATAACAAACATATCAAAACAGGAACGAGGTTTCCCTGTAGTCACAACTGTGTAAGCTGAAGGACACAGGGTCTTTGCTAAAGCATTAAGTATTCATGCTGGGGGTGCTCAGGTGTCTAAAGTGTGTCGAGCTGCATCAACCTGGCCATCTAGAGCCCCAAGGCAAAGATCAGCCTCCACTCACAGACAGTTCAAGATGTAAAACCAATGGAATATGGCAGAAGAATGTGAAGGTTTGTGATCTTGCTGCTATCACTATGTTGTATTGATCCAAATGTTTAACACTAACTGCAAGAACTGCAACATATGGAGACCTTACTGAATAGTTACAAATAGCTTCTGCAACAATTTCATCCAATGAATAAATAGGCCAATGAAAACAGACATATATCTGTGTGTCTGTATATACTAACTTCCCACATATAAACTTCCTATGCCCACTTGACTACAGAAACAAAACTGTCTAGAAAACAAGTGGCCCTAACACACACATATAGAATAGATTATTTTTAAGAGCACGTGCTGTGTAAAAAGACCACGTTATTGATTTTGAAGGGCCAAGGCATCTTAACCAATGTCTAGGAGTAGCATGATCATCTGAAGTACCATTCATTCATTCATTCACTTGACCAATATTCATTGAACGCTCTACTAGGCAAAAGCAGAGAATTTTTAGCAGTGAATCAAGACTGGGCTGGTGTGAACACATGGTAGGGGGAAGTTCATTAAATCCTTCCACATTTTGGTGACTGGAAAGAAACCTGTTTTGTTTTGTTTTTTTTCTTTGAGACAGAGTCTCACTTTGTTGCCAGTCTGGAGTGCGGTGGCGCGATCTCGGCTCACTGCAACCTCCGCCTCCCAGGTTCAAGCGATTCTCCTGCCTCGCCTCAGCCTCCCGAGTAGCTGGGACCACAGGAGCACGCCACCATGACCAGCTAATTTTTTTTTTTTGTATTTTTAGTAGAGACGGGGTTTCACCATGTTAGCCAGAATGGTCTCGATCTCCTGACCTTGTGATCCGCCCGCCTTGGCCTCACAAAGTGATGGGATTACAGGCGTGAGCCACCATGCCCGGCCAGAAACCTGTTTCTTTCAAGGATCTTCTGATTACTGGCAGTGAGGCTACTACTGCTCTCCAGAAAACCCGCACCACCTCCTTTTGTACTCAGGCCTCTGCCCACTATGGACCCCTCATTCCAAGACAGCAGTAGCAATACATATGAGCAGGTATGCTGAAGCATCAATCGGAAGAAATGGATTCCAGCCCTGAATGTGACTTGGTCTCTCATTCCTATTCTTGTGATGGAAAAATTTTAAGGGAGAGTAGAAAAACAGAGGACACACAGAAGCTTTTCTTAAGACCCCCAACTCTTTCCAAAAGCCTTTTCCAGAATGTCTGCCAAAATCTCTCCAGGGTTAGCAAGACTTTTGTGGAGGGTATAATGATAGAGCAAGGTGTTCTCTCTACAGTAGGAGTGAAAGAAAAAAGCAGGTCCCTAAACCATGTGCTTCTATGATCCCAGTGTGTTGAAGAGAATGTATATGTGTGAATGAGTATATGGCCATCCAACACACACACGCACACACACACTTTCTCTCTCACATACACTCACGTGCTCGCATGCACAGAAAAAAACATGGAAGGATACAATCCAGAAAGTGAAGTGTCTATTTCTAGGCAGGACTCTCAAATTGTTTTTATTCTTGTGGCTTATCTGAATTTCCTAATTTTCCATGATGTGCCTATATTACTTTTATAAAAGAAAAAAGTTCATTTATAAGTGAAATGATGATCAAACATGAAACACAGACCACCATGATAGTTCTGCCAACTTTACCAGCTATTTTTCAACAGAAACAATGAACCTGTCCCAGGCAGCTCCCAAATTCCGTGACTTTAATAAAGACGCTCGTTCTCCTTTTGATTTGTGGCTCTTGCTCAGGGCAGGAAGTGTGATAAGGAAGTAAGATAAGAACTCTGCCTGGCACCCCCACACATGAACTGAGAGGCAGTGCAACTGGCTTGGGGGCCTGAATGATGGATTGACATGCTCTTTAGAAGGTTTTGTATGGTATTGTTGACTAAATGCACTGTCTGGTCTCATTAAAAAATAAAATAACAGGTGCCATGCCCACAGAGATCCAAGTTGGTGTCATAACTTGGTTTCTGTGGGAAAATCCATTTGGCTTAAGTCGTTTTGATTCTAGGTATTCTCCCGCAGGCTGTGACATGTAGAGGAGTTAGGCAGCATGTCAAGTCTGGAAGGTGGGGATGTGAGTCCTATTATATTCTCTGTACTTTTTCTGCACATGTGAAATGTCCCCTGATTTTAAAAAGGGAACTTGGAAAACAAAAGTGGCAGGCCTGCCTTGTTACTGAGTTACAGAAGCAGAATTGGCAGAGTCAACAATAGTCTTCTTTAATTCATTTGCTCAACCACCCGACTCCAGACGTGGTGGCTGACCACAGCGAAGCCACAGTGAGGAAGAGCAAGGCGCTGGCCCTTTCCTCCAGGAGGGAGGGAGGCAGAGAAGCGCTAGGACACTTCAGGACAGGACAAGCAGCTGGAAGTGCCCAGAGAGCTTCAGAGGACCAGAGAGGGTAGAGCCACCCAGGGGGGGTTGTTTCTGCTATGCCTGGAAGGACCGCGGCCAGGGGCATAGGGAGGCTGGAGCTCAGCTGTCAGAGCAGAATTGTGGGATGAAATTGGGAGGCCACTCACAGTGAAGGGATAAGTGTGACTTGGATCCCCCAAATGTGTTCTGCCTCATCCCAGTCTCCACTTCTCCCTGGCCATCTCACTCATTTCCACGGCTCCTTTTGCAGGTAAAGCTCCAATCTACTCTTTTCAGCTGCATGCTTTCCTGAACCCCAGACTTGCCCAATAGCCATGAGGACATCTCAGCAGGAGGCCTCATAGGCGCATTAAGCTTTGAAGGTCCCATCCTCAAATGGTTCCACCTGATTCCTGCACTCCCTGAATCAGGGCACAGGGCCACCATTCTCCAAGCTGCCAGAAACCTGAGCACTGGCCTTCTGCCCACCTCCTCCTCCCCACTCAGAAGGGATCTCTAAATTCCTCCTTCATAGCCATTGACTTATCCACCTATTGCATTTTCACTGGCCTACCCCCAACCCTTACCAAGACCAGGCCATCACCATTAAGTCTAAACTTCCTACCAGGATGACTCTGGTCCTTCTCCCTCTCCTCTGCCAACGCTTCCAGCACCGTCTTTTGCCCCCACTGAACCTCAGGCTCTACACATGTGTGGTGGAGAACCCCTTGCAAGTTTCAGAACAGCACTCACTGCTCCTTTGGCCTCCATGTGGACTCTCCTCTGCCTACAATGTCCTCCTCGTCTCCATCCCCTTGCCTGGTTTACTTCCTCTCATCTTCACACTCAGTGGGGACACTGCCATCTCCCAGTAGCTTCCTGGACTCCCCACACCCAGCAGAGACCTTTCCACAGCTCTCCAAAGCTTGTGCAATCATCCCCTTCCCTGTCTGGAGTCCCCACTGAAGTGTGTTACTAAGGGTGGGGACCAAGCCTGCCTTTTTCCAGCCAGCATCCCAGCACCTAGAATTCTGCCTAATACACATTAGGTGCTCAGGACAAAATTGCCAAATGACTTTTCTAAGGAGACTCCCCTTGAGGATGGGGACATCTGTCCACAGGCACTGTGGAAATGCTGACCCTCCCCACACTGCCTGACTTATTTGCAAACACTGCCTGTTTGCAAATAAGTTCTAGCTGTTTGTTCCAGCTGTTTGCCTATCAGTCTCTCTGATGATTCTTCCTGCAGTACCTCTGGAGACCCTTGGTAGATCCTTGTTCCTGTGTCTCACCTCTGCCATCAACATGGAAGACTTCAAGATTATTTTAAGAACCTAGGAGTCCTAGTTGGATATTTCATCTTCTATCAGCTTCCCAGCAAAAAAGAGAGAAAATATTAATGCAAGAGATGCTTCCTTTCTTATATTTCAAAAGTATTCTCTAATCATAACAAAAGCAAGCAAACTGTGTTTGTTTCCTCAGACAATCCACACTCAGCAGAGACACATGAACGTTCACATGACTAGCCTGGTATTAAATTAGGGTAGGGTGGGGCAGTGGGATCAAGTGCCGCAAGGGAGTATAAACCCAAGGGTGACGGTATCCAGAGGGACCCAAAAGAGTGGGGCTAAATTCTGGTTCCATCTCTTGCAATTCTGTGACCTTAGGGATTTCCTCTTTTAGAATAAACAAAAGAATATGGGGTGGGGTGACTGTGAGGACCAAATTAGGCCAGAATCTAGGACCATCTGTGTGCTTCTCCTTGAAGAGAAGGAGGTGGATTTACGTGATTTGTGGCAGGGGCAAGAGGGGAAGGGTGCTTAGTAAATGTTTGCAGAATGAATGGGCAGCACATTCTGGCCAGGATAGACAGTCTTCTCCACCTGCCGATGTGGGTCACTGCCCAGCCAGGTCCACAGCACACACAGGCTGGAATCCTGTTGAAGCAGGGTGAGCTGACCTGGCTGAGATGTCAACGTTGCTAGGATGTGTTCGCCCTCTTAAAATGGCAGTCTGTTATTTTACAGCAATCAGAAGAATTATACTGTTTGAAGAATGTTTAAAATGTCTATGTTCAAAGATAAGGAAACTAATAATAGCTAGCAATTCTTATGTGCTTAACTGTGTATGTGCCAGGTGTTGGCCCATTTACTGAACATGAGTGCCCATGATGATCCGGTAAGGTTGGTTGATACTGTAATCATGCCCATTTTGCAGAAGAGGAAAGTGAGGTATTGAGAGGTTAGACAGCTTGGATTCTGTCATGAAGCTCCCGAATGGCAGAGATGGGATTTAAACAGAATGTTTGACTCCAAAGCCCACTCCAAATACCAAGTTGTCTCACATTTCTAGGATATTTATCACCTCATCTTCTCTTCAGTGAAGTTTTAGAGTCTGATTACCATGAACTACTGGGCACCCACAGCCCACATGGACAAGAGATTGAGTTTCTGTTTCAGGAAGGCTCTTGGGTCGGCAGAAGCTCTAAGGGGCAGTTTCCTTGGCCAGCGCTCCTTGAGGGGAGGGAGCCAGTATCTGCTTAGGCTTGGTTGATTCTCTCAGCGTGTGGTTTGGGTTAGGAAAATATCCCCCATCCCAAACCTCCATATTTAGTCTCTAAGTGGGATGGGGCAGACAGAATCCACAAGCAGAAAGCTGGGAATATGGGGATTGAGAAAACAAGCCTTTGCTAATTTTAAATGTGAGACTCAGTCAGTCTAGACCAGATCCTCCTGTTGCTTTTTTTTTTTTAATGACTACACTCCCCCTTTGTTTTTTTCTGTCTCTCATTCTTTTCAACTTATTTCTTCAACTGCTGAACCTATAATATTGGATGTTTTCTATGTATTCAGGCAACAACCCTTAGGAAATTGGGTTTTTTCTGTTTGTTGGGTTCCTGGGCAGGTAGGTGTGAAAGTGTGTGTGTGTGTGTGTGTGTGAGAGAGACAGAGACAGAGAGAGAGAGAGATGAGGTGGATGTGGCAGACAGGTAGGAAAGAAGACAAAGAAGATGGAGAGCCAGAAAGGATTGTCCCATTTTTTTTAATTTAAAAAAAATTTTTTTTTTTTGAGATTGAGTCTTGCTTTGCTGGCCAGGCTGGAGTGCAGTGGTATCATCTCAGCTCACTGCAACCTCCACCTCCTGGGTTCAAGCAATTCTCCTGCCTCAGCCTCCCTTGTAGCTGGGACTACAGGTGCATGCCACCACACCCAGCTAATTTTTGTATTTTTAGTAGAGATGGGGTTTCACCACGTTGGCCAGGCTTGTCTCCAATTCCTGACCTCAAGTGATCCGCCCACCTCAGCCTCCCAAAGTGCTGGAATTACAGGTGTGAGCCAGCATGCCCAGGGATTTTTTTTTTTTTTTAATTTCAAGCTTTCCCACCTCACCTCTACTAATTTCAGTGAGTAGGGCTCCTGTGGGTAACTAACTCACCTGGCCCCCAGTGCACACTGCAGCCTCATTCTCTCCCAGTGGCTTTGCCCAAATCCCTCTCCGAAGCTGCTTAAAACCAAGGAAGTGTTTCAACATTAAAACAAAGGAGGTCTGTGTGCCCAGCCATCACAACACAGACCTCCACGGAAGCACCTTACAGCACAACTGTGGCCACTCTGGAAGCACCACAGAGGGCTCTAACCACACCCAGATTCCCTAACAGTGGTGCGGTACTAAGTGGCCAAGACATGGAAGGCCCCTGCCTATGCCAAGGCCTTCTCACCCAAACAGTCACCTGTGTCCCTGTCAGCACACAATTTTAGTCTGGGCTCTGGCTGGGAAGTGACAAGAGTCTTATTTTTTAATGTCATTTGCCAATTAATTAGGGTTATACTTGAAATCACTGAAAAAAGGGAGAGGCACAAAATACACATCTGAAAACTTAAGATACCTTCAAGATACATTCTATCTGGTCTTTCATTCCCTGAACATCATTTTCTCCTGTAAGAAAGAAAATGAGGTGAAATACCTCAAGTTCTGTGAGAAATATAGAAGTACTGTGACTCACTGAGAGAATAACTTTTAAAAAAATCAAAGAAACTGATGGCAGAAGCCCAGCCCCCTCCTGATCCTTGCTTTTAGAGGCATCTGCGTGGCCCACCTTGATTCTCAGGTGTGTGTGGGCTAAGAACAAGCCTGTCCACTAAGCCAGAGCCCTTGGTCTGCCCATAAATGGCACCCACCAGCTCAGCTAATCCTGGCTTCTCTGGGCCCCACTTGAGTGGACATGGCCACAAGCTTGCATGTTATTTGATCAAGTGCCACAGGCTTGATGGGGCTCCTGCCTATTAGTCATTCAAGCTCATAAACAAACAAACACCCCACAATGTATTCCACACAAGCATTAGAAACAAGTGTTTAAGTTTGATTTATGTTTAAAAAAAAAAATCTCGCACAGGATACAGGAGGCAGACTCCATCCATCCTACCCCCAATAAAAGGGCTGTGTGAGAGACTGGTCTGGGAAAACCCCCAGAGAAGCTCCACCTCTCTGTCTCAGGCTCTGGAGGGTCACACAGTCAGGGGGTGTCCCTGGTGGGCTGTGTGCATCTCCATAACCAAGCCTTCCCCTGGTGACATGTCATTTCTCCCTCCCTACTCCCCTCTCTGACCACTTCGAAGGTCCCTCTTTGGGACCGTGATTCCTGTTTGTGCCACGATTACTCAGGGCGCCCCATATTCACTCCTAGGTGGAGAGGGAGCTTAAGGGTAGGGGGTTCCAGGCCGGAAAACCAGTGACCCCGGCAGGGAAGGGGAGGCCAAGAACCCAGCCACGGGCAGAAGCTCCTGGAGGCTGAGCCCCCAGCGCACAGACCTAAGTCCTTTCTCTATCTCTCTCCGCGAGGCATGGAGAACCAAACACACTGGGAAGACAGCCAGACGGCGGCCACTGTCCTCCACCGTGACTCCGCGTCTAGATTCCCTCTTCCGTGTGGATCCCGGCGCACGAACCCTGCAACCACCGGGCAAAGCGGCAAGAGAAAAAGACCCGAGCTCGGGATTCCGGACCGCGGGACTTGAGGGGAACAGAGCCAATGTCCTGCACTATCCGCAGAACCTTATTCCGATCATGGTCACTCCCACCCCTATGAGCTAATAATGACAACTATTGACCCGCTATGTAAAACAGAGCTCGTCGGTCCAGCCTCTGTAATCTGCACATTTCAGGCGCCCAGGACACCTCGAAGGTCTAGTGTAATCCTTCCGTTTTGCAGCTGAAAAAACTGAAGACCCCGGAAGGGAATTCTGTCACAAGTCCCCTAAAGACAGCATTGCATCTGGGGTCCCCGGGTCTCACATGCCTGTCCGCGCGCTTTCAAAGCAGGACCATAACCCAACCCTGGACAGGAGCCCAACTCCTCCTTGAATTACGGGTAAACTTCTGGAAGGAGCCCATCTCCTCCTCGAATTACGGATAAAATACTCTGGGCAAGTTATTATACACTTCGGTGTGCCTCTGGTTCTCATCTGTGAAATGGGTGTGATAATAACAGTATTGTAGCACCTGGCGAGGAATCATGATTCAATACAAAGTGTTTGGCCACCCTGCACCCCCAAAGTTCCGTCTCGCTCCTAAACTACTCGTTAATTAACCTCGCAACAGTCATTGCATTTTGCAAGAATTTGGGGGACTCCACTTACATCATTTAGGAGGGCGTGTGCACAGCGTTGTAGTGAGATTTAAGAGATTAAACTTCACAGCCATGGGCACAAGATTTGGCACAACGATTAAGTGCAATAAATGGCTATTGTTGTTCTTGATCATCCTCATCCCAGCTTCCGTCGGGGCCCCGCTTCCCAGCCTGCGCAGGACACCTGCCCGGCACACACAGAGGGGCGCTCACCTGGTCGGCGCCGGGGAGCCGTTGCGGGACGACTCGGAAGAAGACGCAGAGAGGCAGAGCGGCGACCGCCGAATAGCCCCAGATGAGCGCCAGCAGCACTGCCCGCGCCCGCCGCCCAGGACCCCGCACGCCGCGCTGCAGGTGCACGATGCACACCATGCGCTCCAGGCTGACCGCGGCCAGCGTGAGGATGGTGACGCTGCCGCTCAGGGTCATCACGTAGAAGAGCAGGTGGCAGGCAACGGGGCCCAGCAGCCAGGCCTCAGTCCAGCGCACGGCCAGCACCAGAGGGATAGCGCTGATGAAGAGCAGGTCCGCGCAGAAGAGGTTGAGTACCAGGCAGGCAGTCGCGCCGCGGCGTCGTCGGCGCGCCACCAGCACCAGGGCGCACACGTTGCCCAGCAGCGACACTGCAAAGATGAGCACCAGCACGGTTGTCTCCACCGCGGCCAGCACCAGCCGGTGGTCGCCCTTGACGTCGGAGAAGAAGGGAAAGCGGGTGCGGTTGGCTTGCTCCAGGCTGCGCAAGGGCGCGTCGCCCGCTGCCCGCGCGCATTCAGGGGACATTCCCGGCGCCTGGCGGCCCGCAGCGGTCTGAGAGAGTGCTCATCTGGGAGGCGACTGAGTGCCAAGGCGGGGAAAGAGGGAGGGAGGCGGTTGCGACATCTCGCCTCTGGCCCCCTCCCTTCTGAGGAGCGCCAGCACTGGGTGCAGGGAGCTGCACCCGGGGCGCGCGGGAACCAGGAAGTGCCCGGCAACACTGGCCGCGAACACCGCAGCTGGCCGGGGAGGTGGCGGCCAAGGCGGAAGCCTCGTGCCCTCTGGCCCTTTGAAAGTGTATCCAGAAGCCAGAAAACTCACTTAGCGAATTCCTCGAGCCCCCGCAGGGCCTGCCCAACCTCCTTTATTTTTCAGGGACACTGGATGTGCGAAGCCTTTTGTGAACGGATTTAGCTAAAATTGATTTAAAAGGGTCAGAGCTGGCCTTTGGAGATTATTTTGGCCTGTGTCGTTCAGGCTTTACTAAAGAAACTCCATGGGTCTGGAGGTAGATCCTAAAACAACTTGTAATGAGTCCATATTTTTTGTGGGGGAGAGAGGGAGTGGAGATCTTTTATCACTACTTAATAACAGGTCTTTAGGTGGATTATCTACTCCCTCTACCCCAGATTTTTAATCTATAAAATGGGAATAATAATACCCCATTAGGTTATTGTGAGGCTCACCTAGAGTTTTGCACACTTGGCACACAGTAATTACTCGTTAAATGTTATCAAATATTAGTTATTGTAACTAAAATGCATATACATTTTGCATTCTGAACAATGACATAAATGCTTTCTTATAAAAAGAGTGAGTCCTTCCAAAATTTTTAATAAACTTGCCATCCAAGGAAGACAGATATTTCAAGGCTGGCAGATTCACACACAAGCTATGAATGTGCCCCAGGTGCCACAGTTTGAGGAGCACTGGGCAATCCAGTCCCGTTAGAGATAAGGAAACTGAGGCCCAGCCAGAGTGACTTGTCTAAGCTGTCCTCTGGTTAGTAATGAAAGCCAGTCACCTGTCCCCGTCCCACACATTTCCATCACACCACTGCAGTCTCGTTTTCTGTAAATGAGGAAGCTGGAGATGGAAAAGTATGCCTGTGGCCTAAGATCCAGTGGCCACTTCCCCAACCAGCCACCCTCCTGCCACCCACACCTTCACCCCCTCTTCCCTCTGCCATATTACCAGGCCTCTCCCAGTTGCCCACTCTGTCTTCTAATTGTCTTTCTTAAGGTTGGGTCTTAAGAAATCTAAGCACTGACTGGGCACAGTGGCTCATGCTTGTAATCTCAGCACTTTGGGAGGCCAAGGCGGGTGGATCACTTGAGGTCGGGAGCTCCAGACCAGCCATGGCCAACGTGGTGAAACCCCGTCTCTACTAAAAATACAAAAATTAGCTGGGCATGGTGGCAGGTACCTGTAATCCCAGCTACTTGGAAGGCTGAGGCAGGAGAATTGCTTGAAACCGGGAGGTGGAGGTTGCGGTGAGCCGAGATCAGGCCACTGCGCTCCATCCTGGGCCACACAGCGAGACACCATCTTAAAAAGAAAGAAAGAAAGAAAGAAACCTGAGTACTTCAGGCTGGTTGCGCCAGAGTCTGAAGTACTGTCTGGGGAGGGGGTCCATTTGTGTGTCTGCTTTTCACGGTATCAAACAGGTCTGAGCTGATGATGTGACTTCTAACCTGAGAAGTAGATGCTCAGCTTGAACATTGACTAGGTTCAAGTTGAAAAACAGAACTGGTTTGCTTCCTGAAACAGTTGAAAAAGGGCAAAAAATTGAAATAAAGGGAACTCAGACAAATGGGGTTTTGGCAACTGTCTGATTAGGGTCAGGGGATATTAGTGTTTGTGTGAGGGAAAGGAAACTATAGGTATATGTATGTGTGTGTGTGTGTGAGAGAGAGAGAGAGAGAGAGAGAGAGAAAGTAAGAGGGAAAAGCACAGACAGAGACGGAGAGAGATTGATTACATCACAGGCTGATGTGATGAGATAGACACAGAGAGGTTTCCCTAGAATGTACAACCAGGGTGGGCTCTTTGCACTAAAAGGCCTTCTCCAACATTAACCTCCTGGGTTCTACCAATGGCAAAATGTTGAGTGCAGAGGCTCATAAACTTTCTCCATTCACTGCACCTTCATGGCACCCCTAGGCAAAAAGAAAAACCAAACAGAAACGTTTCATTTATTAAGTAGTTGGGTCCAAACAACTTAATAAGACTTTATGTCCTAACAACTTAGTAACTATCTTGGAAAATAATAATACATATAAATTGGGGTAAAAATTTTATTGTTTCATTTTTTTTTTTTTTAATTTTTGAGAGGGAGTCTCACTCTGTCGCCCATGCTGGAGTGCAGTGGTGCCATCTCAGCTCACTGCAACCTCTGCCTCCTGGGTTCAAGCGATTCTCCTGCCTCAGCCTCCCGAGTAGCTGAGATTACAGGCACCCACCACCACACCCAGCTAATTTTTATAATTTAGTACAGATGGGGTTTCACCATGTTGGTCAGGCTGGTCTCAAACTCCTGACCTCAAATGATCCACCCACCTCAGCCTCCCAAACTGCTGGGATTACACTCACCCGGCTTGTTGTTTCATTCTTAAATAACCATAGTGAGGCTAAGTGCAATGGCTCACCCCTGTAATCCCAGCACTTTGGGAGGCTGAGGCTGGAGGATCACTTGATCCCAGGAGTTCAAAACTAGCCTGGGCAACATAACCAGATCCTATCTCTACAAAAAAAAAAAAAAAAAAAAAAATAGCTGGGCATGGGGGCTTGTACCTATATAGTCCCAGCTTCCTGGAAGGCTAAAGTGGGAGGATGGCTTGAGCCTGAGAGGTCGAGGCTACAGTGAGCTATGGTCATTATACTCCAATGTGGGCAACAAAGCAAGACCCTGTCTCAAAAAATTTTTTTTAAAAAACCAACAACAATAGCTTCCTGATGGGCTGGGTGCACTTGTTGTACTCTGCACAGTTTTTCAAAACAAAATCATATTGAGCACTGCTCCATGTTGATTTTCATGCAGTTCCTGCTTTTTATCACAGCAACTCCTAAACACTCAGCTTTGTAAGGTACAATGTCATGAATCTAATGCTGGAACTGTGAATTACCTAGTAGAGCTAGCAGTTCATGCAGAGCCGGATGGGTGTTGAGTAGTGCCATTTCCCTGCAGTACCCGAGCCCATGTGGGCACTAGCCTTTGGGGACCAGAGCCCTGGCAGGACAACTCACTGTGTGACCTTGGGCAAGTTACTGTAGCTTCTTAGAGTTTCAGTCTTCCCATATATGAAAGGGGATAGTGATAGTACTGACCTCGTAGGGTTTGGGGAAGATTAAATGAAGTTCCTTAATGTAAAGCATTTCGCACAGTGGTCACTGAGTGGACACTGTGGGTCAGACTCTGTGGTCAACACTGTATATGGATTATGGACACAACTCTGCTTGCTGACAGTCCCAGTTATGATATTATTATTATTATTATTATTGGAGACAAGGTCCCACTCTGTCACCCAAGTTGGGTACAGTGGCATGGGCATAGCTCACTGCAGTCTTGAAGTCCTGGGCCCAAGTGATCCTCCTGCCTCAGCCTCATGAGTAGCTGGGACTACAGGTGCATACCACCATGCCCAGATAATTTTTTTTATTTTTTGTGAGGTGAGGTCTCGCTATGTTGCCCAGACAGGTATTGAACTCTTGATCTCAAGCAATCCTCCCACCTTGGCCTCCCAAAGTGCTGTGATTATAGGTATGAGCCACCATGGCCAGCACCAGTTTATGAAATTATTATTAGAACCTTTTTCATTCTCAAATTGCCCTGGTTTGGAGGATAAAGTATATGGCCATCCTTCCTTTGTGTTTGTTAACTCATTCAATTCCCCTACAAGTTGCAAACATTGGGATTTGAACCGAGACAGTCTGACTCCGGAGTCTTTGCTCTGAACCGCTAGAGCAGTGCATCTTAACTGGGGGAGGTTTTGCTGCAACCCCCACCCTCGGACATTTTGTCATGTCTGGAGCCATTTTTGGTTGTCACAACTGGGAGATTGCTACTGACATCCAGTGTGTAGAGGCCAGGGACGCTGCTGCTAACATCCTACAATGCACAGGACATTCCCCACAACAAAGAATTGTCCAGCCCAAAATGTTGATAGTACTGAGGCTGAGAAATCCTGTGCTCTTGAGACCTCACAAGACTTTACTTCTTATTTTTAACCCTGTCGTGGGGTCACATCTAGTGGCAAAAGCCAAAAATGTTACCATTTTTTCTCAGAGATGTTTCACTGCAACCTCTGTGACCCCTTTAACCAACCCACTGGGCTCCGCTTTGTGTTTGGGCCCCAGATGTGCACAGCCGTGAAATCCCTTTCATACACAGGGCTGGGTGTGGCATCCTCAGGGTAGACAGACTTCACGTATTCCCTGGAGACTGGACAGTAGATACCCATTGGCTGATCCATCACTGTGAAAGTCATATTTATTGCCCATGGTATTAGTTCTTTACCTCTTCCACTCTCAGATAAAGCCATAGAAACTGAGACAAGGATTTACCAAGCGTAAATCTGGACAGTCTCGTTTCTAAGCTAAAGAGAAAGCCAACATTGCAGGTGGCTTCTGTACCTCTTTACATTTCCAACCAAACAGGAGGGGAGAGGGGCACAGGGGACTTTCTCTGTGTATGCTTTTCTTTTCTTTTCTTTCTCTCCCTCCCTCCCTCCTTCTCTCTCTCTTTCTCTCTTTCTTTCTTTCTTTCTTTCTTTCTTTCTTTCTTTCTTTCTTTCTTTCTTTCTTTCTTTCTTTCTTTCTTTCTTTTCTTCTCTTTCTCTCTCTCTCTCTTTCTTTCTTTCACTTTTTTTTGAGACAGAGTCTCTCT
Organism: Homo sapiens; assembly: GCF_000001405.40. Taxonomy (NCBI): domain Eukaryota; kingdom Metazoa; phylum Chordata; class Mammalia; order Primates; family Hominidae; genus Homo; species Homo sapiens. Next base: position 93,561,862 of record NC_000010.11, on the reverse strand, counting down.
CTGTTGCCCAGGCTGGAATGCAGTGGCGTGACCTTGGCTCACTGCAACCCCTGCCTCCCAGGTTGAAGTGGTCCTCTTGCCTCAGCCTCCTGCGTAGCTGGGTTCGAGACCCATCTTTTTAGTAGAGATGGGGTTTTGCCATGTTGACCAGGCTGGTCTCTAACTCCTGACCTCAAGTGATCCACTTGCCTTAGCCTCCCAAACTGCTAGGATTACAGGTGTGAGCCGGTTTTCTTATTTTTCCTCTGGAAAAATGTTATAAAGTTAGTATGAAAATGCTTACTGGTTCATTACTCGACCTCCAAATCTCCCTGTGAGAGTCTGTCCATCTGTCTGTGTATGTATGTATCTGTCTGTCTGTCTGTCTATACCTATCAGTTCTGAGACATATGCCTTTGCAGGTTCAGGGTATCTCTGTGCAAAATTAGGATATATTATAGAGCAGAATGCAAAGGTTGCTCACCCTCGTGCAAAGATTTCAAGTCTCTCTCCTGCCTCTGTTCCTCCCATCCTGTCAAGGTGAGACCCCTCCCAGATCCCCAGACCCAACTGCCCTGAGCATTCATAGCTGAGTAACCACCTCAGCCAGGCCAGAGTGGGGTGACGGGGAAGACCACCTTGCACCCTGATGGTGGTGCAAGGCTCCTTCTTCAAGGAGGCCCAAGAGTTCCCAGGGAGACAGGGCATAGGCATTCAGACCAAGGGAACAGCAATGCAAAGGTAGGAAGGCCCGAGAGAGCAACACATGCCTGGGAAGGGGCAAGTGCTCTGGCATGCCCAGCACTGTGATCTTCTCCACTGTCCATAGCACATCTATCCACCAAAAGATAGGAACCCAAGTAGAAGCTGGAAAATAAGAGCAAGACTCAAGTGAGCAGCTGCCTGTTTATAAGTTGTTCACACACTAGGGGCCCAGGGCAGGGATCATACTGTGTCTACTTTAAACAAGATACAGAGGCCGGGCCACAGCTAGCACACTCAAAGCTTTACATAAGTTAGAAAAAAAGGGACTTCCCTGAACAGATGAGTTGGAAGGCGCTCCTTCCCCAGGGTTGATGCAGCCAAGGCTCTGGGCATGGCTAACAGGGCCTGGCTGGGGCTGAGCCCCTGTGCACGCCCCTCAGGTGGGAGTCCTTGGCAGGCCGAAACCTGCAATGTGGTTAGAAGTGGCTGTGCCTCATGGTTTGTGGGCTTGAGGGCAGCAATGGCCCTTCTCACGGGCTCTTCCTGCCCACTTGATTGCGGTTTCTGCTCAAGCCCTCAAAGCCCACCTCATACCTTAAACTGCCTTTGTAAGATTATAACTGAGGAAATTATGACAGTGAAAGAAATCAGACCTAACTGACTCCATCTTGCTTCTAAACTTTAAGCAAGCTGTCCTTGTTCATTCCTGGGCGTAGGCCGAACTAACTATGGGAAGGAATTCAGTTCACGGTTTGACTCTGAAACAAAATTGATAGCAGCCCTTTTCCCGAAAAGACCCTCGTCTTGCCTGGGGACTAGTCTGCCTTTGCAGGACTAACAAGTTAGCTACAAGATTAGAAATTACAGTTCAGATGTCATGCTGGCTCCAAGAGTCTGAACCTCCCCAAATTGCTCCTGGGGTAACATCACTGTTGCAAAACCTAAGATCAGGGCTTGAGATATTTTGCAGACCCTGCACTCGATGGATCAGCCACCACCACCCAGACCGGTAATCTGGTTCAACCAGTTCTGCCATCACACCCAGGAATAGAAAACAGCAAGAAAAACTCACTTCGACCCTCTGTGATTCTATCTCCAACCTGACCAATCAGCCCTCCCCATTTCCCAAGCCCCTACCCACCAAATTATCTTTAAAAGTTATAATCCACAAATGCTCGCAGAGACTGATTTGAGTAATAAAAAAACTGCAGTCTCCTGCACAGCCGGCTCTGAATAAATTACTCTTTCTCTGTTGCAATTCCCCTGTCTTGATAAATCAGCTCTATCTGGGCAGCGGGCAAGGTGAACCCACTGGACAGTTACATACCCTATCACAGCGGGGGCATTGACGGGGCAGGGCCCATCTGTGAGTTCCACTGAGCCGACTTTGTCTGCCTGGGAGTTTCCTCAAGCTCATTTCTGCGACAATCTTGCCTGAGGAGATGAAGAAAGGAGAGCAAGGGCCAGCCTTTTAGCAACTGTGAGGGCGGGGATGTCCGCACACTGGACGGCCAGGCCTGACCACTGTCGCTGGAGTCCTGGGGTGACTAAACTCTGTTCCTCCCAGACAGACAGAAGAGGTGAAGCCATGCCTCAAGAAGCCCCAGTGCCTTGAGGAGGCCTTAGGAGTCAATAGACCAGAAAAGATCAGCCCCCCACTGCTGAGGTAACTGGGGAAGGAGGAACACTGAGGAGTAGGGGGACTGGCAAGGGGGGGTAGAAAGAACAATAACAATAATAATAGGAGTGGCTGGGAGCGGTGGCTCACACCTGTAATCCTGGCACTTTGGGAGGCTGAGGTGGGCAGATCACGAAGTCAGGAGTTCGAGACCAGCCTGGCCAACATAGTGAAACCCCATCTCTACTAAAAGTATAAAAATTACCTGGGTGTGGTGGCACAAGCCTGTAGTCCCAGCTACTTGGGACACTAAGGCAGGAGAATCGCTTGAACCTGGGAGGCAGAGGTTGCAGTGAGCTGAGATCGCGCCACTGCACTCCAGCCTGGGTAACAGAGCAAGACTCCATCTCAAAAAAAAAAAAAAAAAAAAAAAAAAATTAGTAGTAGTGGCCAGGCACTGTGGCTCACGCCTGTAATCCCAGCACTTTGGGAGGCCAAGGTAGGTGGATCACGAGGCCAAGAGATCAAGACCATCCTAGCCAACATGATGAAACCCCATCTCTACTTAAAATATAAAAATTAGCTGGGCATGGTGGCGCACGCCTGTAGTCCCAGCTACTGGGGAGGCTGAGGCAGGAGAATCACTTGAATCCAGGAGGCAGAGGTTGCAGTGAGCCAAGATCGTGCCACTGCACTCCAGCCCGGGCGACAGAGCAAGACTTTGTTGCAAATAAATAAATAAATAAATATTAGTAAGACAAGTGAGTTCTGTTTGGGGGCTAAAGCTCAGGGGCTCGAGCAGTGGTCCCTGCAACTCAGCGCTCTCAGCCCTGCCTGTTTTATCACCTGGGCTCTGCAGCCTTCCTGTCCACAGTGGTAGCTACCAGGATCTTTCCCAGTGCATTTCTTTCCAGCTTAAATTGGCCAGAATTTATTAACTCCTGTTGCTTGCCACCAAGGAGTCTAATCAATAGAAGATCCAACATCTGACGCCTCCCCTCCCCCCCATGTTTTAAAGACAGTCTTTATTTTAATGAGGCCAGATTGCCCAATACGGGAGCTCAAACTGGATAAGTGGGATCTTGGTAATCACCTTTTTCCCATTCTTCCAAGGAAAGATGTAATTAAAGCCCCTAAATACAAAATGTTCAACTCAGAGAGAAGAGCAATTTTGATATGGTCCATTTCTACTTAAGCGGTAGTGTTTCTCTGTGGCCCTCTCTCGGCCAGGAGCCACAGTGGCCAGCCGAGGATGGCAGGCAGTCCATTGAGCACACACTGATGGAGCACGTACTGCATGGCCAGCACCATGCCCAGTCCTAGAAATGGCCAGACAGCAGGTAAGGATGTGAGCACAAGCCCAGAAGAGCTTTCTACAGTACAAGATGTAGCTTTACTGAAATTCCGCACATCCCAAGGAGACCATTGGCCAAGATATTGCAGTGTTGCGCGATTCCTCTTGCATCACTTTCTTTTTTTCTTTTCTCTTTTTTTTCTTTTTTTTTGGCTTCTTTATTAGTTCTATGTTTCTATTATGAAATGCAAGAAAAATATAAATTTGTCCTTCATTCTTCTACACAGCGATAATCCTGTGAGATTGTGCTGTGTAACTTTCCAGTGTGTTTTCTGTACATCCGGGGCTGTCTGTATGCCTACAGGTATTTTATAAAATGGGAATTGTGTTGCACACACTATTTTGTAATATGCATTTAAAAATTGTTTTCAGGACCTGGCGCAGTGGCTCACACCTGTAATCCCAGCACTTTGGGAGACTGAGGCGGGTGGATCACCTGAGGTCAGGAATTCAAGAACAGTGTGACCACCATGGCGAAACCCCGTCTCTACTATAAATACAAAAATTAGCTGGGCATAGTGGCGCGTGCCTTTAGTCCCAGCTACTCAGGAGACTGAGGCAGGAGAATCGCTTGAACCCGGGAGGTGAAGGTTGCAGTGAGCTGAGATCACACCACTGCACTCCAGCCTGGGTGACAGAGTGAGACTCTGTCTCAAAGAAAAAAAAATTTTTGTTCAGTCACATTATTCTTCTATTCTATCCCTCAGTTTCCTCAATGCACACAACTGTCCCGTGCCATATTTAGCCCCCAGCTTGGCTGCAAGGTGAAAGGACAGAGCTATGCACCACACCCACCCTCCAGCAATGGCTCTCAGAGGCCAGCCTCTGCTTTAGTCTCCGCTGGTTTAAAGTGAAATGGGAAAAGTGTCAACTGTGTAGTTTTCCCCAAGGCTAACCACATCCATTTTTACTTGCAAGATTATGTCCTGCTTATTTTGCTGTTGTTAAACTTCTCTTTCTTTTAGGACAGAGTATGTGTGGCAGTCATTAAAAACAAACAAACAAAACAAAACAAAAAATCCTATGTTAAAAACTTGACTACTGCTTCAATCTCCAGAGAAACTCAGTCAAGACTCACCAGCCCGTCACATGGCGATAATAAGGACACATATTCATACAAGCAAAGACCTCCAAATTTCCAGACCCTTTTATATCCATGCTTTTATCTCATCTCGAGGACAGCTCTCCAGGGCAGGTGGTATGCTCTCCCGTTTCACAGAGGAGGCAGCAGGTGGCCCCCGTGCAGCAAAGGGAGATGGTCCCGCTTACATGGCTCGTTAGCCCCAGTGGAGCAGACTCAGGTTCTCGATTCTCAACTCAGTGACCTTGGAGGGGCTCTTCCCTGAGCTGCAGCTTTGCAACCATGCATCACTGAAGAATGGAACCTGATGGAACATTCTGGAATTCCACTCCGAAAGTCCCAAAGCTACAACACACTTCAGTGGCCAGAACCTGGCCTCTGCCACTCCTGCTCACCCATTGGCCCTTGCTTGGGGCTGCATGCTTCAGCACTCTGGCGCTGCCTGTGGGGTGCAGCTGAAGGGGAAGAGCAAGCCTCACAATTGAACACTTGCAGGAAATGTCTGATACTTGGGTGTGGCCTCCTGGGTTTGATTCCTGTCCTGTAGCTCACTGGCTGTGCACTCTTGGGCAAGTGACATCACTTCTCTAGATCTCTGTTTCTTCATTTGTAAAACGAAAATAACAATGCATCCTTCAAGGCTGGGCACGGTGGCTCACGCCTGTAATCCCAGCACTTTGGGAGGCTGAGGCAGGTGGATCACTCAAGGTCAGGAGTTCGAGACCAGCCTGGTCACCATGGCAAAAATTAGCTGGGCGTGGTGGTGGGCACCTGTAATCCCAGCTACTCGGGAGTATGAGGCAGGGAGAATAGCTTGAACCCAGGAGGCGGAGGTTGCAGTGAGCCGAGATGACACCACTGCACTCCAGCCTGGGCGACAGAGCGAGACTCTGTCTCAAAAAAAAAAAAAAGAAACAAAGAAAGAAAGAAAATATTAAACACTGAAACACTAAACCACTTCTACAATAGATATAAGGTCAACAGTAAGGGGGAGGTAAATCAGTTATATGTCTTCAGTAGAATACTACACAGTCATTAAAATGCTTGTGAATTGAATGATATGGGTGGCAGGTACCTGTAATCCCAGCTACTCAGGAGGCTGAGGCAGGAGAATCGCTTGAACCCAGGAGGTGGAGGTTGCAGTGAGCTGAGATTGTGCTACTGCACTTCAGCCTGGGTGACAGAGCAAGACTCCGTCTCAAAAAAATAAAAATAAATAAATAAATAAAATACTTCCTTCATTGGCTTGTGTAAGATAATATACTAAATGTCACACCTTTAGTGTAGTAAGGGCTTAAGAAGTGTAAGTTTGTGACTTTTTTTAGCATCTGACACATAGGAGGGGCTTAAAATATTTTCAATAGTTGAATAATTAAATAGATGAATGAACGAAAATGGAAATTTGAGGTTTAGTGAGCCTCTTGATGTCTCTGCTATCTAAGTCGTGGTCCTCAGGAGCCTGCTGTAAAGATGGATAAGGATAGGGGTGGGGGTGGGAGGGGCCATCACCACCCTGGTACTCCCCCACTCCACCCCCACTGCCCCCAAAGAAACAGGCAGTGGAAATTAAAAAGCAGGGCTAAAGGGGATGTAACACAGACGTAAATTTTGAGAAGAGAGGGATCATTTATTGTAAGATGTGTTCTCAGCGTGGGGTCCTTCCTTTCCTGGGAAATATGACCTCCAGGTGATCTGGATTCCAAAAGGAGAGAAAAGACATGGCTAGGGAAGGGGTGTCCAGTGAGGGCCCTAACATGCAGCCCTTCGGAGGGGCGAAGACAATGACTCAGCCTGGCCAACGCCCTGAACTCTGACTGTCTGTTTCCTCTATGCTGATTGAGTTCAGCAGCCGGCAACCGATGAGACTCCTAGGAAGGGCTCCAGAATCACTGATAGCTGACGGAGGCTTGGCAGCGTGGGGGCCCTCCGAGCCTGGGAAGGTGGGCTTATGTAAATACTGTAATGCAGAGGGTGCTGGAGCCGCATCAAGAGCCAGCTCAGCTGCTGTGCGCTACTGACACAGCCATTCCTGTCTTGGGCCTCAACAACTTCCTCACAAATGAAAATGTTGAACAAAATGAGCTCTCCAAGCCCTGCCAGCCAGGTCTGATGGAAGAGTGTAGGGAGTTAGGCCTTGAAAAGCTGCTCCGCACTGCCCCCTGGTGTCATTGGCTACAGTGACCATTGTCCTCAAACCTCTGGTGTCCATCCACCCACCCCCTCATCCACCTATACGCCCATCCATCCGTCCATCCATCCATGAGCCTGGTACATCTCTGAAGAGTGTGTCAGCTTTTCATTTCGGGGGTAAGGGGAGAAAGGGACCTGGGCCCACATATGGGGGCAATGCTGACCTGAACAAGCAGAGCCACAAGGAGAAGGGGTGACCAGACGGTACCTGGAGCTTGGAACAGTTGTCTGGACTCAGAGGTATTGAGTGACACCCAAATGAGGGAACTGGGCTCCCTGCTCCTGGTGGCAGCTTGAATGATGGTTCTTTGGATTTTTAAGGATGAAACCATCCTGGAAAGTGGACCTTGAGATATAGATCATTTGTCTATTTCATACATACACACACACACACACACCCAATATAGCAATGCTATTGTGGGGATATATATCAGACTTGATGGTTGTCCTTTTGAACTCTATCAGGTGACTTGCAAATTTCCCACAGTATGAGTCCTGCCTCCCCAAGGGAAAGGTCAACACTGGCTTTCCCATCTCCCTTGCACCAAGGCATGTACCCTAAGCTTAGACCACCAGACATACCGTGAGAGACTTGCCTTTGCAGGAGAGGACAAGCTAGGGTTTCACAGAATCCATTTATGGGCAAGAGTTTAGGGCACAATCAAGAGGCTTCTAGGATCTCACATCCAGAACCAGTGGTGCAAGCCAGGCATGGTGTCTGTGCTGTAGTGTGGTGACACTGAGTGTTCCACTGGAGCAGCCTTCATCATGTGACATCGTTCCAGGCTGGGAAGTCTTCACGGTCAATTCTCTGGCCCTCCCATCGGAGAGCCTGTGAATTACATTATACCTTTTTCTGTTTAATCCAGCCAGAATGGGTGTGTGTGTGTGTGTGTGTGTGTGTGTGTGTGTAACTGTTGCTCCTCCTGTGCTAATGTTTTGTTCAGCCTTAGAGGCCTCTGGCCTGGCTTCATTAGACTCCTGACTCCCCAGACAAATAACCAGACTTAGCTGAGCAGCTTCCGAATGGCAAGCCCCATGTCCTCTCTTTCTACAACCCATGCAGGAAGGACGCTCTAAGGCCTGGATAACTTTCTCCCAGTTTACTTTTCCTCTCCCCAAACTGCATTGCAAAACCAGCCATTTCTGTCCAGCCAACCACTTCATCTCCCCTTTCTCCTCCTCTCTCGCAATTCCTGTGAAACACACACATACACACACACACACACACACACACACAAGCAAGAGAGTGAGAGAAAGAGAGAAAGACAGAGGCGTGAGGTGAGGTCAGTGACTCCTAGGCCATAAATTCTGGAATAATGACTCCCTGGTGAACTGACTGACACAGTGCTTTCTCTTTTCTCATAATTTGCATTATAGGAATCTATTCCTCATATTTTGATGCATGGAGAAATCTCTTTCTTTTTTGCGGGGGAGGGGAAATAAAACTTTCTTTTTTCTTTTTTTCTTTTTCTTTTTTTTTTTTTGAGACAGTCTCGCTCTGTGGCCCAGGCTGGAATGCAATGGTGCAATCTTGGCTCACTTCAACCTCCGCCTCTCAGGTTCAAGTGATTCTCCTGCCTCAGCCTCCTGAGTAGCTGGGATTATAGGCGCGTGCCACCATGCCTGGCTAATTTTTTGTATTTTTAGTAGAGACGGGGTTTCACCACGTTGACCAGGCTGGTCTTGAACTCCTGACCTCAGATGATCCACCTGCCTCAGCCTCCCAAATTGCTGAGATTACAGGTGTGAGCCACCGCCCCCAGCAGGGAGATAAAATTCTCTGAATTCAGCTTTTTCCAACTCCTTAATAGGTAACATTTACTGACCTCTCACTATGTAACAAGCACCTTACTTGTGGTGACTCAGCTAAGTCTCACAACAATCCTGTGCAGAAGAAGAACATTGTTATTATTATCATCCCCATTTTACAGGTGAGAAGACTGAGGCAGAAGAATATAATGATCGGGAGACGTTGGGTTACAACTAACAGGAATCCAACTCAAATAAAACAAACAGAAATGGAGGAGAAGAAAGGAGAGAAGGAGGATAAAAGGGAGGAGGAGGAAAAGAAAAAGAAAGAAAAAAAGAAATGCACTGGCCTGGATAAGCAAAAAATCCAGGCAGTGACTTTAGCTTTAGGCACATCTGGATCCAGGGATGCAAACAACAACAACTTATTTGGGCACCTGTCCTCACCTCTGACTCTTTTCTCTGAATTGGGTTTGTTTCAGGAAGCCCATCCATCCCCTAGTGGAGGCAAAGAGGCCATAGCAGCTCTTGCCCACTTCCTACCAGCTCAGCAGACTCTTCCAGCACTATCCTCACACTTCCCAAGGGTGGCTCTTGTAGGCAGGGTGGGGTCTCATGCCCATCAGGAATCTGGACCGACAGAGGAAGGGCAGGTTCATAAGAAAAGTCAGGGTGCTGAGACCAAAAGATGGGACAAGGGATTCTGGGTGGGCTAAAACAGGGGGTCCCCAACAGATTAAGTTGCATAGAAAGTAAGCTGTCCAAATTCAAAGCCAGGTGTGATTTCATCTGAGGTCCATGAATGGCCCAGGAGATCTGGATCTCGTCCTGGTTTTGTCACTAATTGGCTGGTTAGAGGCTCACTTGTCCCATTTGCAAAATAGAAATAATAATACCTGTCCAGTCTCCGTCACTGAGTTATTACAGAAATCAAATTAGACCTTGAATTCGAAAGCACTTTGAAAAGTCAGATACACAGTACTATATTATTCATTTGTATATTTTCCATTGGTTGGTTGAAATCAGCTTAAAATTCTCTATATTTTCCCATAGAAAATATAATTCCCATTCTTATTTTCTTTTTCAAAAACTCATTATGAAAGCAACACATCCTATAAGCAATTTGAAAATATAGAGAAGAAAAAGAAAGAAAAGTGAAATAAAAGAAAAAGAAAAGGCTGGGCGCAGTGGCTCACGCCTGCAATCCCAGCACTTTGGGAGGCTGAGGTGGGTGGATCATGAGGTCAGGAGTTCGAGACCAGCCTGGCCAACACAGTGAAACCTCGTCTCTACTAAAAATACAAAAAATTAGCCAGGCATGGTGGCGGGCGCCTGTAATCCCAGCTTCTTGGGAGGCTGAGGCAGGAGAATCGCTTGAACCCGGGAGGCAGAGGTTGCAGTGAGCAGAGATCGTGCCATTGCACTCCAGCCCAGGCGACAGTGCAAGACTCTGTCTCAGAAAAGAAAAAGAAAAAGAAAAAATCACCCATAGTCTCACCATCCTTAAATAACTATTATTAGCATTTTGGTATTCTTTCTTTCTTATCTCTTCTGTGTATATGCCCACATGTATATTTTTGAAAAAAAAAATATGATAATATTACAATGCTCTTTCAAAATCTGCTTTTTCCCCATCAATAATATTGCAGTCTTTCATGTGGCACTAAATAGTTTTCTACTACTTCAATTTAATGGCAGAATAGTTTCCCATTGTTTAACAAAATACTTCTTGTTAGCTATTTAACTATTTGTAATTTTTCCCTGTTAGCAAAAATCTACCCAATCTAGAAAATTTTCTAGATATGAAATTTTGGATTGGGTTCATGTGCATATGTGTGTGCATGCATGAGTGTGTGTGTGTGCTTAACTTTTGCTCCTCCTGTGCTAATGTTTTGTTCAGCCTCAGAGGCCCCTGGCCTGGCCTCATCAGATTCCTGACTCCCTAGACAAATAACCAGCCTTAGTTGAGCAGCTTCTGAGTGCAAGCCCCATGTCCTGTCTTTCTACAACCCATGCAGGAAGGAGGCTCTAAGGCCTGGCTAACTTTCTCCTAGCTTACAAATTTTGCAAAACTAAGGCTTTAATATCTATTGCACTTCTGGAAAGTTTGCACCAAATCACACTCTCATGAGCAGTGGCCACGTATCCATTCCCCATCACCAATTATAGTAGGTATGACCATGTTGTAAAACTCTAACAATTGTGATAACCTTTTTCTTTTCAAATTTAGATCTGTGGCTGCTTCCCCTTGATTACTTTTTGCAGGTGGAGACTCTTGTCTCCTTCCTGGTTTGTTCAAGGTGTCAAAAAGTTCTGAGCGTTGGTGGCTTGGAAAATTCTATAGTTTGCAGGGCTAAATCGGAAGACCAAAGTTCACATTCCACACCCACATTTAGAAGCCATGTGACTTTTGATAATCTACTCAATTTTGCTGAGCTACAGCGTCTATATGTATAAAATAGAGATCTATATCCAGAATGTTCTGAGAATTGAAAAAAAAATAAAAGGAAATCTAGTCCTGACACGGGCTTGCCTAGCTCACATACCTGTGATCAAATGAAAATGGATGTGAAAGCCCTTTCAAGAGGCATGGTCCTCAGCACACACAAGAGATGCCTTGTGTTTGCTCATTCAGCTTGCTCCACTGTGGTAGTCTCCACAATGGCTCCCAGTGAAGGATGTTTCCTGGTATTCATCCCCTTGTGTGTTGTCTTCTCCTCTTAAAGCAAGGCTGGTCCTGTGCCCTGTTTTTAAATAACAGAATGCAGTGGCTGGGCCAGCACTTTGGGAGGCTGAGGCGGGCGGATCACCTCAGGTCAGTAGTTCAAGATAAGCCTGGCCGATATGGTGAAACCCCGTCTCTACAAAAAATACAAAAATTAGCCAGGCATGATGGCACGCGCCTGTAATCCCAGCTACTCGGGAGGCTGAAGCAGGAGAATCGCTTGAACCTGGGAGGCAGAGGTTGCACTGAGCCAAGATGGCGCCATTGCACTCCAGTCTGGGAAACAAAAGTGAAACTCCGTCTCAAAAATAAGTAAATAAAGGCTGGGCATGGTGGCTCACACCAGTAATCCCAGCACTTTGGGAGGCCGAGGCGGGTGGATCACCTGAAGTCAGGAGTTCGAGACTAGCCTGACCAACACGGAGAAACCCCGTCTCTACTAAAAATACAAAAAAAAAAAAAAAAAATCAGCTGGGCATGGTGGTGGGTGCCTGTAATCCCAGCTACTTGGGAGGCTGAGGCAGGAGAATCACTTGAACCCAGAAGTCGGAGGTTGCGGTGAGTGGAGACTGTGCCATTGCACTCCAGCCTGGGCAACAACAGTGAGACTCCGTCTCAAAAATAAATAAATAAATAAATAAATAAATAAAAGATGGCAGTCAAAGTGGTGCTGTGTGACTTCTAAAACTAGGCCTTAAGACTATCTGAAGAAATTGCTGAGAGACTCGGAGAGGAAGCCACCCAGCTGAGCCCCATCAATCCACAGAACCATGAGAGGTAGTCATACATTTTTGCTTTAAGCCACTAGGCTTTGGGGTGTGTTGTTACACAGTGACGGATTAGCAAGACACCTGCTATGGGTTGGTGCAAAAGTAATTGCGGTTTTGTCGAAGTAATGGCACCACTGCACTCCAGCCTGGGTGACAGAGTGAGACTCCATCTCAAACAAACAAACAAACAAACAAACAACTATAATAGTGATGATAATCCCTGCTGATAAAGCATCTCTCTTATTTGGCTTCCTTAATTAAATTAAATTTCTTAAAGAGTATATATCTAACTACCCTGTAATTTTTACCCATTGCCTCAGCCACCATCCCTGTGGTACCTTCTCTGGGCATGCAAGGCACTCAACACTTTTTTTTTTGAGACAGAGTTTTGCTCTTGTTGCCCAGGCTGGAGTGCAGTGGAGCGATCTCAGCTCACAGCAAACTCCACCTCCCGGTCGGGTGATTCTCCTGCCTCAGCCTCCCAAGTAGCTGGGATTACATGCATGTGACACCATGCCTGGCTAATTTTTTGTATTTTTAGTAGAAATGGGGTTTCTCCATGTTGGTCAGACTGGTCTCGAACTCCCAACCTCAGGTGATCTGCCCGCCTCGCCCTTCCAAAGTACTGGGATTACGGCGTGAGGCACTGTGCCCGGCTCAATACTTTCAATCTGGGAAATGTAGTCTTGAGTAAAGCCAGGTCTTTTAAGGTATTTTAAGTGGGATTCTAAGTCAGTTTCCTTAAAGAAATGTTTTACATAGGTTGATGTCATTGACCAAATATTTACTTTATTTATGGCCACATTTTTGAAGTCTGCATTATGGCATCTTGTGTATCCATGTTTGTTTAAGGGTTGAATCATACTTCTCTTTCCTCAATGATTCTACCAGAAATTCAAAAGATAAAAAGCCAGGCAGCTCTCAGACACAAATGATTGAAACCATTGTTTCAAAAAGACCCTCTTTCACTTGCTCTAAAACCATCTGCTGCGCACCTACAATGGGCCAGATCCTAGTGTAGCTGTGAGAGATGGGAAGGGAAGACAACCTGTGACCTTAAGAAGTCTACAGTGTGTTAGGGTCAGGGTTGGGGAGAGGGTGGCAGGCCAGTGAAAGACTAATACTGAGAGAGAAGGGTTGGGGAAGAGGGAGGCTGCAGAGAGGAATTTCTCTTTTTAGCTTCTTAGTTGAGTCACTCTCCTGAAAACAAAAGTCGGATTAACAAAAGAAAAACAAGCAGAAGTTTATTAATGTGTGATGTACCCATTATGTGAAAGAGGCCTCAGTTTTAAAAGTATTCCTTTCCACCAGGCACAGTGGCTCACACCTGTAATCCTAACACTTCAAGAGGCCGAGGAGGTAGGATTCCTTGAGCCCTAGAGTTTGAAACCAGCCTGGGCAATATGGCAAAACCCTGTCTCTACAAAAAACACAAAAATTAGCCAGACGTGGCGGTGCACACCTGTAGTCCCAGCTACTTGAGAGGCTGAGGTGGGAGGATCATTTGAGTCCAGGAGCTTGAGGCTGCAGTGAGCCTTGATTGTGTCACTGCACTCCAGCCTGGGAGTGAGACCCTGTCTCAAAAAAAAAAAAAAAAGTATTTCTCTCTCAAGGCAGTGGCCTTGCTTAAATAGTATTTTAAGAAAGAGCCATAAATCCTACATAGTGACAAGACAAGAGAGAGAGCAGTTCCCTTTTTAAAAGGTAGGGAAAATGTGGAAAGATTGTAAAATCTGCTTCCAGATTCCTCTGGTATCTGCTGGTGCCTTCTCTGGGTGCATAAGTAGTATGGAAGATCCATTGATCCATCCACCCACAAACCCATTCATTAACCCACCCACCCATCCATCCACCAACCCATCCACCTGCCCATCTACCCATCCATCCATCCATCAATCCATCTACTCACCAACCCACACATTCACCCACCCACACATCCATTCATCTACCTATTGAACCCTCCACCCATCTATCCACCTACCCACCCATCTATCCACCCAATTATCCACCCACCCATCCATCCACCCACTTATCTACCTGCCCACTCATCCATCCAGCTGCCCATTCACCCACACATCCAGTTTGGAAGGATTTATGTCCTGCCATCAGGCAAGTAGAGGGTGAGGTAGAGTGTTCCCATGTTTTAAGGGTCTTTAATTTAACAATCCTCAATATTTTAGGGAGAAATATTTTTATTTCCTTCAAGGCCATGGAAACCCACAGAAGGGGAGCCTCCCCTGCCACATCTGTGACCAGACTTGCTGGCCTGGTTGGGGAGTAAGTGGAAGTGAGGTGGAGTGGCAGTCACCCACCCAGCAGCCTTCCCAAGACCCTCCTTCCCTGACATGTGGGGGTGGCAGTGTGCGGCACACAATACAATGTGTTCATCTTGCTGTTTCCTTTCCTGGGTCAATTGCCCTTCCCAGCCACCTCTGCAGTAGGTGAGGCCATGGGGCCAAGTTCTGACTAATAGGAATGTGAGCAGAGATGCAGCCCTTCCCATCTGGGGCAGTTAAAAACCGGTGCACAAAGGCCGGGCGTGGTGGCTCACGCCTGTAATCCCAGCACTCTGGGAGGCAGAGACAGGTGGATCACCTGAGGTCAGGAGTTCGAGACCAGCCTGACCAATGTGATGAAACCCCATCTCTACTAAAAATACAAAAAAAAAAAAAAATAGCCGGGCGTGGTGGCATGTGCCTGTAATCCCAGCTACTCAGGAGGCTGAGACAGGAGAATTGTTTGAACCCGGGAGGTGGAGGTTGCAGTGAGCCAATATTGCGCCATTGCACTCCAGCCTAGGCAGTAAGAGTGAAACTCCGTGTTAAAAAAAAAAAAAAAAAAAACTAAAACCCAAAAACCGGTGCACCATTTCCATCTCTCTCTTCCCCTGCTGCAGTGATGGTGGAGGCTACAAGATGAAAGGGGGCCACCAGCACACAAAGATTGTCAGGCGAGCAAGAAATAAACCTCCATTGTGTTCAGCCACTGAGATTTCAGGGCTTACTTCTTACCAAAGCCTAGCCTGGCCCATCCTAATACAATATATATCCATTTCTAGTCAATAACATGTAAGGGACATGTGCTGTGGAGTTTCCTTATAAATATTTCCATTTCCAAAGAATGGACTTTCCAATAAAACAAAAGAAACATATTAGGAGTGCTCATTCATGACCGTGGCAAGGTGTCTTCTTGGTTTTGAAGAAAAATCTTATTAGAATGTGAGGCTTGGAACTGTAGCAGTAGAGATGTGAACTTGGGCAGAGTGATAGAGATGAGAGTCCAGAGCCCTAACCTTGTGAAATTGCTGATCTAAACTGCGAGCATCTGATTCCATACTTCTTTTTAAAAAGACAATAAATGTCGTGATGGTGTAAGTCTTTTCTGTTATTTGCATTTGAATGCACCTGCGTTGATACTAGTTTCAGGTGAGGATGACAGATGGTGATAATGGACAAGTAAAATGAATGGCAGTTCTGGGGGCAGGTCATGTCACTTTCTTCTCTCACATTCTCTCCAGCTCCGTCCACACTACAGTCATTGCTGAAAAATGAAAATAATCTGGGACAGTATTTGCCATCTGCAATGTGCTTTCACATACATTTTCTGGCTTTAGGGTGATAGAAGAGTGGCCACATAACGTAGGGTTTGATAGCTCAGCCTCTAGAGGCAGACACACTTGGGTTCACATTCTGACTTGCCACCCTTTTTGCTGTCTGACCTTGGACAAGCTCTCTAAACATAGCTTTCTCATCTGTATAATGGAACCATTATAGAAACTCCCATATAGTGTTACTGTGAGAATAAAATGACATGACACTTATGAAGTGTTTAACATATCACCTGGGATACTAAAAACACTTAATACACAGGAGCCCCTGGAATACTGGATTTTGATTTTCTTTCCTGTTTTTGAGATGGAATCTCACTTTGTTGCTCAGGCTGGAATGCAGTGGTGCAATCTTGACTCACTGCAGCCTCCACCTCCTGGGTTCAAATGATTCTCCTGCCTCAGCCTCCTGAGTAGCTGGGATTACAGGCACCTGCCACCATGCCTGGCTAATTTTTGTATTTTTGTAGAGACTGGGTTTCACCATGTTGGCCAGGCTGGTCTTGAACTCCTGATCTCAGGTTATCCACCTGCCTTAGCCTCCCAAAGTGTTGGGATTACAGGTGTAAGTCACCGTGCCCAACCTGGATAACATCCTGGGATGTTATGGGATAGGCATTAATATTCCTATTTTGGAGTTGAGGAAACTAAAATTTGTACAGAATTTAAGAGACTGGCTCAAAGTCAGAACCAGAATTTGATTCCAGGTCTGGTAGTTCCCTTTTCAAAGCTCTTTGCACAGTAACATGATGTAAAACAAGCAGTAAAACAAAAGAAAAAATTTAAATTGATTGGGCTGGGTGTGGTGGCTTACACCTGTAATCCTAACACTTCGGGAGGCTGAGGCGGTGGGAGGATTGCATGAGCCCGCGAGTTCAAGACCAGACTGGGCATCATAATGAGACCTCGTCTCTACAAAAAAAATTTTTTTTAATTTGAGGTGCTTCTCTTTTGAGTGCCAATAAACAGAATCACTTCCGTAAAGTTCACTCCTTCAAGGGAAGAAATTACTACTGTGGCATATATGCAACATATTGTTAAACTCATTTAACAGATCAAAATTTAATTAACAGATTGCTAAGTTTATGCTGATAATAATATACTCTACAAGTTTTTTTCTTAATCCTCTATTATCAGCTTCTCCTGCCCCTTACCTCTACCTTACAAAACTGAAGTGAAAATGCTTGCCTTCATAATCCATGCAAGGTAGCACATGTGCCATTATGCATAATTTGTGAATCAAACAGAATAATAGCATTTTTCCCCCAAGGCTTTTCTTCTCCTTCATTAAAACCTTTAGTTTAGAGGCCATGCCTGTAATCCAAGCATTTGGGAGGCAGGGGATCGCTTGAACCCAGGAGTTTGAGACCAGCCTGGGCAACAAAACCAGACCTTGTCACTACAAATAATATAAAATTAGCAGTCGGGCGCAGTGGCTCACATCTGTAATCCCAGCACTTTGGGAGGCTGAGGAGGATGGATAATGAGGTCAGGAGTTCGAGACCAGCCTGACCAACGTGGTGAACCCCGTCTTTACTAAAAATACAAAAAAATTAGCCGGGCGTAGTGGCGGGCGCCTGTAGTCCCAGCTACTTGGGAGGCTGAGGCAGGAGAATGGTGTGAACCCGGGAGGCGGAGCTTGCAGTGAGCCGAGATCCCACCACTGCACTCCAGCCTGGGCGACAGAGTGAGACTCCGTCTCAAAAAAAAAAAAAAAAAAAAAGAGAGTCCATTTCAAAAAAAAAAATTAGTTGGGCACACAGTGGCACCTGCTTGTAGTCCCAGCTATTCAGGAGGCTGAGTGGGAGGATCACTTGTGTCCAGGAGTTTGAGGATGCAGTGAGCTAAGATTACACCACTGCACTCCAGTTTGGGCAGCAGAGTGAGACCATGTCTCGAAAAACAAACAAAAAACTAAAAAACAAAAACAAAAACCTTTGTTTACTATCTCCTCTGATAGTTCAGCATTCAAAATAATTTACTTACTGTATTTTTGAAGCTAAGTGACTCTCAACATCAAGTTAGTAGAATATGAAGCAACGCCCTTCACTGTATCAGAAACTGGATTGATCTACTGCCCTTCCTCTACAGCCTCATCCTTTGACATCAAAAAGTGACCAATAAAATACAAGGCATATTTTTCTTTAAGCTCTGCCTAATGACTTACTTGCAACCTAAGTCCAGGAACAAATACTACTAGTACTGAAATAGCATTTGTTTTCTTAAACCTAGCTCAGTCATGGCCTTGTTTGGAAAGCCTGTCCTCTCATCCTTGGGGTGACTTTAATGTGGCATTTACCTCATTGTGCTGCCATTGATCTGCATTGATGTCGGCCTGGCCATGGCTCTGCTGAAGACGATCTCTGCTTTACTCTTCTCTCCATCTCTAGAGCCTTGCACGGCACCTTGCTTGTTGCAAATGGTTTAAATATTTGCTGAAGCAAGTGACGAGATCAGTGCTTGATACATCACCTGAAAGGGATAAGATTTCTTCAGCAAATTTACCTGTAATACCTATTAAAACGTTTTAGTAGGAGATGTGCCGCTCCTGGGGTGAAATCAATCTAGTGAACCTGGCGGGCGAGGAGGTGAAGGCCATAATCAGGTGCTAACTCTTTCTCCTCGGGGCGTACCATTCCTTCTTTCTATGGTTGCTTGATTTGGGTGACACAACATGAATGTGATTCTGAGTGCTCCTATCTACTTCTGGATCATGGGACAGTCCCCAGGGCTCAGTCCTCTCTACTCCTTTCTTTGTCATCTCTCTGGATTCTGTCTATGCACTCTACAAAAACCCCTAGCTTGGTCTTGATCTTTCACCCTTATTTGGGTGTTACCACTTATTTGCAGTGTTACCATCTGCAGGCAGGATGGCAGAGAGGACGCCCCTTGGATGTCTTGCTAATATTTCCTACTCAACCATCAAGGCCAAAAATAATTAGATTCAAAAGCAGAGAGCACAGCACAGAGGACAAAGAAGAAGGGAATCAAGCCAATAAACCGCTAGGTTTGCCTTAGGAAGACGAAGCACTGGGGGGCTTGGAAAGAACGAAGTTGCTGGAATTGTGTCATACAAGCCCAGATGGTAGGGGCCCTAACAACCATTGCCTTCGGGAGCCTGGGCCTCCTTCCCTCTCCTGCAAATCTGCTCTGTGATCTTGGAAAAGTCACTTTCCTCTCTGGGACTCCATTTCATCAGGGTTAAATGAGATCAGAGGTTTCCAATCTTAGTAATGCATCAGATGTTTTGGAGATGCTTTGGAGAGCTTGTTAAAAATGCAGCTTCTTCCAGATGTTCTGATTTAGGAGATTTGGGGGAAGCCAAAGAACCACCGTTTTCAACAAGCTCCATGAGTGAGGGATTTCCTGGACAAAAGACACTGGAGTAGATGATCTCACAGTTCCTTTCCAGCCCTGACACTCCCTCGGTTGTCTGATTAGGGGAGCAGAGGGTAGCCAGGAAATGCTGGCAGCCAGCCAGCTCTCTGTCCAAGAAGTGTAGCCAGGAAAGAAGCCAGATGGCAGGTGGAAGGGGAGGGTCAGGGAGGGTGGTGTTCACGGTGTCATTGACATCAGCACTCTTTAATTGAACTGGACGTGGGGAGACCTCCGGCGTAAGACTCGGGAGGGAACCAAGAACCTTCCTTGGTTTTCCTCCCACCCCAGCCTGAGCGAATCACTCTTCTTTTGCCCCATTCAGATGCTCCAAACAAACGTTACGAACCGAAAAATGAGTTTGTCCCACAGTGTTAAAACTTTTATTAGATTTCATATTTTAAAATTCCAACAAACAAACAAACAAAATTCCAGATTTCTCTTGGAAAATCTAAAAAGATCAGTTACACTGGACTCAGAGCGCCCTGGGACATCAGCTGGCGCTGAGCAGCTGCGCCCCCTTTGGGTGAAAGCATGCATTTCCAGCCTCTGCGATCGTCAGTGGCCAGCCTGACTCATGGTCCTTAACCTGTCAGGCCCCCGTCAGAGGGGGCGTTAGAGGGGGCTCCCTTCACCCTGAAATTTATTCTGGGATAAGCCAGAACAGCAGAGAACTGCTGGATGTAACTGGACATTGAGAATTATGGAGTAGCCTCTGGTACTGAGGTTTCTTGCCTATGTGGAAAGGTATTAAGAAATCAGTGGGGTCTGGCGCTGTGGCCCACGCCTGTAATCTCCAGGACTTTGGGAGGCCGAGGAGGGTGGATCACGAGATCAGGAGTTCGAGACAAGCCTGGGCAACATGGTGAAACCCTGTCTCTACTAAAAATACAAAAAATTAGCCAGGCGTGGTGGCGGGTGCCTATAATTCCAGTTACTCGGGAGGCTGAGGCAGGAGAATGGCCTGAACCCGGGAGGCGGAGATTGCAGTGAGCTGAGATCGCACCATTGCACTCCAGCCTGGGCGACAAGAGTGAAACTCCGTCTCAAAAAAGAAAAAAAAAAATCAGTGAAGTGGGACTGACTGCTGTGTTTACGACAGGACTGCTGTGGAGAACATCGACCACTACACCACATGGTTTCTTCTCTGTGGAGGCCCAGTGGAGGAATGGATTTCTTTAGTCTCAGTACCAACAGTGCTTCTAGTTGTGTTTCTTCTGAGGATCAGTTGTGTTTTTAAGTCCTCTAAATGGTGTACAGGATGGTTTCTTTTTTTCTTTTTCTTTTTCTTTTTTTTTTTATACTTTAAGTTCTGGGTTACATGTGCAAAACCTGCAAAACCTGCAGTTTTGTTACATAGGTATGCAGGTGCCATGGTGATTTGCTGCAGCCATCAACCCGTCACCTACATTAGGTATTTCTCCTAATGCTATCCCTCCCGTAGCCCCCCACCCTCAACAGGCCCCGGTGTGTGGTGTTCCCCTCCCTGTGTCCATGTGTTCTCATTGTTCAACTACCACTTATGAGTGAGAACATGCGATGTTTGGTTTTCTGATCTTGTGATAGTTTGCTGAGAATGATGGTTTCCAGCTTCATCTATGTCCCTGCAAAGGACATGAATTCATCCTTTTTAATGGCTGCATAGTATTCCATGGTGTATATGTGCCACATTTTCTTAATCCAGTCTATCATCGATGGACATTTGGGTTGGTTCCAAGTCTTTGCTATTGTGAATAGTGCCACAATAAACATACATGTGCATGTGTCTTTATTGTAGAATGATTTATAATCCTTTGGGTATATGCCCAGTAATGGGATCACTGGGTCAAATGGTATTTCTAGTTCTAGATCCTTGAGGAATTGCCACGCTGTCTTCCACAATGGTTGAACTAATTTACACTCCCACAAACAGTGTAAAAGTGTTCCTATTTTTCCACAACCTCTCCAGCATCTGTTGTTTCCTGACTTTTTAATGATTGCCATTCTAACTGGCATGAGATGCTATCTCATTGTGGTTTTGATTTGCATTTCTCTGATGACCAGTGATGATGAGCATTTTTTCGTATGTCTGTTGGCTGCATAAATGTCTTCTTTTGAGAAGTGTCTGTTCATATCCTTTGCCCATTTTTTGATGGGGTTGTTTGCTTTTTTCTTGTAAATTTGTTTAAGTTCTTTATAGATTCTGGATATTAGCCCTTTGTCAGATGGATAGATTCAAACTTTTCTCCCATTCTGTAGGTTGCCTGTTCACTCTGATGATAGTTTCTTTTGCTGTGCAGAAGCTCTTTAGTTTAACTAGATCCCATTTGTCAATTTTGGCTTTTGTTCCCATTGCTTTTCGTGTTTTAGACATGAAGTCTTTGCCCATGCCTATGTCCTGAATGGTATTGCCCAGGTTGCCCAGGTTTTCTTCTAGGATTTTTATGGTCCTAGGTCTTACGTTTAAGTCTTTGATCCATCTTGAGTTGATTTTTGTATAAGGTGTAAGGAAGAGGTCCAGTTTCAGTTTTCTGCATATGGCTAGCCAGTTTTCCCAACACCATTTATTAAATAGGGAATCTTTTCCCCCATTGCTTGTGTGTGTCAGGTTTGTCAAAGATCAGATGGTGGTAGATGTGTGGTGTTATTTCTGAGGCCTCAGTTCTGTTCCATTGGTCTATATATCTGTTTTGGTACCAGTACCATGCCATTTTGGTTACTGTAGCCTTGTAGTAAAGTTTGAAGTCAGGTAGCGTGATGCCTCCAGCTTTGTTCTTCTTGCCCAGGATTGTCTTGGCAATGTGGGCTCTTTTTTGGTTCCATATGAAGTTTAAAGTAGTTTTTTCCAATTCTGTAAAGAAAATCAGTGGTAGCTTGATGGGGATAGCATTGAATCTATAAATTTTTTTGGTCAGTATGGCCATTTTCATGATATTGATTCTTCCTATCCATGAGCATGGAATGTTTTTCCATTTGTTTGTGTCCTGTCTTATTTCCTTGAGCAGTGGTTTGTAGTTCTCTTTGAAGAGTTCCTTCACATCCCTTGTAAGTTGTATTCCTAGGTATTTTATTTTCTTAGTGGCAATTGCGAATGGGAGTTCACTCATGATTTGGCTCTCTGTTTGTCTGTTCTTGGGGTATAGGAATGCTTGTGATTTTTGCACATTGATTTTGTATCCTGAGACTTTGCTGAAGTTGCTTATCAGCTTAAGGAGACTTTAGGCTGAGATGATGGGGTTTTCTAAATATACAATCATGTCATCTGCAAACAGAGACAATTTGACTTCCCCTTTTCCTAATTGAATACCCTTTATTGCTTTCTCTTGCCTTATTGCCCTGGCCAGAACTTCCAATACTATGTTGAATAGGAGTGGTGAGAGAGGGCATCCTTGTCTTGTGCTGGTTTTCAAAGGGAATGCTTCCAGTTTTTGCCCATTCAGTATGATATTGGCTGTGGGTTTGTCATAAATAGCTCTTATTAGTTTGAGATACATTCCATCGATACCTAGTTTATTGAGAGTTTTTAATGTGAAAGGCTGTTGAATTTTGTTGAAGGTCTTTTCTGCATCTATTGAGATAATCATGTGTTTTTTGTCATTGGTTCTGTTTATGTGATGGATTATGTTTATTGATTTGCGTATGTTGAACCAGCCTTACATCCCAGGGATGAAGCCCACTTGATCGTAGTGGATAAGCTTTTTGATGTGCTGCTGGATTCGGTTTGCCAGTATTTTATTGAGGATTTTCGCATCAATGTTCATCAGGGATATTGGCCTAAAATTATCTTTCTTTTTGTTGTGTCTCTGCCAGGCTTTGGTATCAGGATGTTGCTGGCCTCATAAAATGAGTTAGGGAGGATTCCCTTTTTTTCTGTTGATTGGAATAGTTTCAGAAGGAATGGTACCAACTCCTCTTTGTACCTCTGGTAGAATTTGGCTGTGAATCCATCTGGTCCTGGACTTTTTTTGGTTGGTAGGCTATTAATTACTGCCTCAATTTCAGAACATGTTATTGGTCTATTCAGAGATTCAACTTCTTCCTGGTTTAGTCTTGGGAGGGTGTATGTGTCCAGGAATTTATCCATTTATTCTGGATTTTCTAGTTTATTTGTGTAGAGTTGTTTTTATTATTCTCTGATAGTAGTTTGCATTTCCATGGGATCGGTGGTGATACACCCTTTATCATTTTTTATTGTGTCTATTTGATTATTCTCTCTTTTCTTCTTTATTAGTCTTGCTAGCGGTCTATCAATTTTGTTGATCTTTTCAAAAAACCAGCTCCTGGATTCATTGATTTTTTGAAGGGTTTTTTTGTGTCTCTATCTCCTTCTGTTCTGCTCTGATCTTAGTTATTTCTTGTCTTCTGCTAGCTTTTGAATTTGTTTGCTCTTGTTTCTTGAGTTCTTTTAATTGTGATGTTAGGGTGTCAATTTTAGATCTTTCCTGCTTTCTCTTGTGGGCATTTAGTGCTATAAATTTCTCTCTACACACCGTTTTAAATGTGTCCCAGAGCTTCTGGTACGTTGTGTCTTTGTTCTCATTGATTTCAAAGAACATCTTTATTTCTGCCTTCATTTCGTTATTTACCCAGTAGTCATTCTGTTCAGTTTCCATGTAGTTGTGCGGTTTTGAGTGAGATTCTTAATCCTGAGTTCTAATTTGATTGCACTGTGGTCTGAGAGACGGTTGTGATTTCTGTTCTTTTACATTTGCTGAGGAGTGTTTTACTTCCAATTATGTGGTCAATTTTAGAATAAGTGTGATGTGGTACTGAGAAAAATGTGTATTCTTTTGACTTGGGGTGGAGAGTTCTGTAGATGTTTATTAGTTCCACTTGGTCCAGAGCTGAGTTCAACTCCTGGATATCCTGGTTAATTTTCTGTCTCGTTGATTTGTCTAATATTGACAATGGGGTGTTAAAGTCTCCCATTATTATCATGTGGGAGTCTAAGTCTCTTTGTAGGTCTCTAAGAACTTGCTTTATGAATCTGGTTGCTCCTGTAGTGGGTGCATATATATTTAGGATAGTCAGCTCTTCTTGTTGAATTGATCCTTTTACCATTGTGTAATGGCCTTGTTTGTCTCTTTTGATCTTTGTTGGTTTAAAGTCTGTTTTATCAGAGACCAGGATTGTAGCCCCTCCTTTGTTTTGCTTTCCATTTGCTTCATAGATCTTCCTCTATCCCTTTATTTTGAGCCTATGTGTGTTTCTACACGTGAGATGGGTCTCCTGAATACAGCACACAGATGGGTCTTGACTCTTTATTTTTGAGACAGAGTCTCACTCTGTCGCCCAGGCTGGAGTTCAGCAGCGTGATCTCGGCTCACTGCAAGCTCCACATATCGGGTTCACGCCATTCTCCTGCCTCAGACTCCTGAGTAGCTGGGACTACAGGAACCCACCACCACGCCAGGCTAATTTTTTGTAGAGATAGGGTTTCTCCATGTTGGCCAGGATGGTCTCAATCTCCTGACCTCATGATCCACCCACCTCGGCCTCCCAAAGTGCTGGGATTACAGGCGTGAGCCACCATGCCCAGCCGGGTCTTGACTGTTTATCCTTTTAATAGGGGCATTTAGCCCATTTACATTTAAGGTTAATATTGTTATGTTTGAATTTGATCCTGTGATTATAATGCTAGCTGGTTATTTCGCCCATTAATTGATGCAGTTTCTTCATAGCATTGATGGTCTTTACAATTTGGCATGTTTTTGCAGTGGCTGGTACTGGTTGTTCCTTTCCATGTTTAGTGCTTCCTTCAGGAGCTCTTGTAAGGCAGGCCTGGTGGTGACAAAATCTCTCAGCATTTGCTTGTCTGTAAAGGATTTTATTTCTCCTTCACTTATGAAGCTTAATTTGGCTAGATATGAAATTCTGGGTTGAAAATTCTTTTAAGAATGTTGAATATTGGCCCCCACTCTCTTCTGGCTTTTAGAGTTTCTGTGGAGAGATCAGCTGTTAGTCTGATGGGCTTCCCTTTGAGGGTAACGTGACCTTTCTCTCTGGCTGCCCTTAACATTTTTTCCTTCATTTCAACCTTGGTGAATCTGAAAAGTATGTGTCTTTGGGTTGCTCTTCCTTACAAGTATCTTTGTGGTGTTCTCTGTATTTCCTGAATTTGACTGTTGGCCTGCCTTGCTAGGTTGGGGAAGTTCTCCTGGATAATATCCTGAGGAGTGTTTTCTAAATTGGTTTCATTCTCCCCGTCACTTTCAGGTACACCAATGAGACGTAGATTTGGTCTTTTCACATAGTCCCATATTTCTTGGAGGCTTTGTTCGTTTCTTTTCACTCTTTTTTCTCTGATCTTGTCTTCTCACTTTATCTCATCGATTTGATCTTCAATCACTGATATCCTTTCTTCTGCTTGATTGAATCAGCTATTGAAGCTTGTGTATGCTTCATGAAGTTCTTGTACTGTGGTTTTCAGCTCCATCAGGTCATTTAAGCTCTTCTCTACACTGTTTATTCTAGTTAGCCATTCGTCTAACCTTTTTTCAAGGTTTTTTACTTCCTTGCAATGGTTTAGAACATGCTCCTTTAGCTTGGAGAAGTTTATTACCGACCTTCTGAAGCCTACTTCTGTCAACTTATCAAACTCATTCTCCGTCCAGCTTTGTTCCCTTGCTGGCGAGGAGTTGTGTTCCTTTGGAAGAGAAGACGTGTTCTGGTTTTTTGGAATTTTCAGCCTTTCTGCTCTGGTTTCTCCCCATCGTTGTGGTTTTATCTACCTTTGGTCTTTGATGTTGGTTACCTACGGATGGGGTTTTGGTGTGCATGTTCTTTTTGTTGATGTTGATGCTATTCCTTTCTGTTTGTTAGTTTTCCTTCTAACAGACAGGCCCCTCAGCTGCAAGTCTGTTGGAGTTTGCTGGAGGTCCACTCCAGACCCTGTTTTCCTGGATATCACTAGCAGAGGCTGCAGAACAGCAAATATTGCTGCCTGATCCTTCCTCTGGAAGCTTGGTCCCAGAGGGGCACCCACCTGCATGAGGTGTCTGTTGGCCCCTACTGGGAGGTGTCTCCCAGTCAGGCTACATGGGGGTCAGGAACCCACTTGGGGAGGCAGTCTGTCTGTTATCAGAGTTTGAACGCTGTGCTGGGAGAGCCACTGCTCTCTTCAGAGCTGTTAGGCAGGGACTTTTAAGTCTGGAGAAGCTGTCTGCTGTCTTTTGTTCAGATACGCCCTGCCCCTAGAGGTGGAATCTAGAGAGGCAGTAGGCCTTGCTGAGCTGTGGGGGGCTCCACTCAGTTTGAGCTCCCCTGCCCTTTGTTTACACTTTGAGCATAGAACTGCCTACTCAAGCATCAGCAATGGTGGATGCCCCTCCCCACACCAAGCTCCAGCGTCCCAGGTCAATCTTAGACTGTTGCGCTAGCAGCGAGCCAGGCTCCATGGGCATGGGACCCACTGAGCCAGGCATGGGAGGGGATCTCCTTGTCTGACGGTTGTAAAGACCGTGGGAAAAGCACAGTATTTGGGCAGGAGTGTACTGCTTCTCCAGGTCCAGTCACTTATGGCTTCCCTTGGCTAGGAAAGGGAAATCCCCCAACCCCTTGCACTTCCCAGGTGAGGCGATGCCCTGCCCTGCTTCAGCTCGCCCTCCATGGGCTGCAACCACTGTCTGATCAGTCCCAATGAGATGAACCAGGTACCTCAGTTAGAAATGCAGAAATCACCTGTCTTCTGTGTCGATCTCACTGGGAGCTATAGACCAGAGCTATTCCTATTCGGCCATCTTTGAAGCGACCAGGATGGTTTCTTTGTGCCACCATCTGCAAAGCTCAGCACCAAACTCATGGCTGTCTTGGAAAGGCTCCATGGCCTGCCTGGGGAGCTACCCTTGTGAGTGGCTCTATTTTCCTTTCTTAGATGTGTATTTTTCCTACTTATTTTTTATTCTATGTTAGTCTAAGATTTGTGTCTTTGAAGAGTCAGATCTTTGATCTTTGTTAGAATAAACCAGAGTTTAAATAAACTCCTCTACCCTATATATACCTTGATTATAGCACTTTCTACAATGTATTATACTTACCTGTTTAGATATTGGTCTCTTCCGCTAGACTGTGAAGATCAAGCTGCATTTTATCTTTATCAAGCTGCTTATCGCTAATACTGAGCCCAGAGCTTTGCATTTAATAAATGTTTGAAGAATGAAAGTAAAGATGTTAGAGAACTGGCATAGTGGGAATCCAGGTAACAGATGGAGGGGTTGAACAAGGCAGGCCTTCTTCTCAGATCAGAGGGGTGCAAGAGACCAGTTGGTGTTTTCGGTTTTTCTCTCTAACCTAAGAAAAATTCTATTACTCTAGTTAAGGTTTTATTAAGGCTCATTTAAGGTTATTTCACTTTACACATTTCACTTAAGGTTACTGAGTTTGGAGAATATGTAAGGGGTTTTCTGGCATGGTAGAAAGAAGATGGGCTTTGGCTATGGATTTGGGTTGGAAACCCAGGAATGTCTTTTTGTTGTTGTTTTTTAAATGTTAGTGGGGGATTTGCTTCAGTTTTCTTGGCTGTCAAAGTAGCTAGCTGGGCCGGGTGCGGTGGCTCACGCCTGTAACCCCAGCACTTTGGGAGGCCAAGGCGGGCGGATCACCTGAGGTCAGGAGTTTCAGACTAGCCTGACCAACATGGAGAAACCCCGTCTCTAATAAAAATATAAAATTAGCCAGTCATGGTGGCACATGCCTGTAATCCCAGCTACTCGGGAGACTGAGACAGGAGACTCGCTTGAACCCAGGAGGTGGAGGTCGCGGTGAGCCAAGATCATGCCATTGCACTCCAGCCTGGGCAACAAGAGTGAAACTCCATCTCAAAAAAAAAAAAAAATACAAAAAAACAAAAAATCCAAGTGGCTAGCTGTAGCCCTTGACAAAGTAACACATAACCACAAATTTAGCACATAGTGGGAAACTCAGAGGTTTTAGTTTTTCCCATGAAGTTCTCTTCTTTGAATGTATTTTTCTATCATGTAGCCCCTGCCTTTAAAACATTAAGCTCTTGGTGAAAGCAATGGATCCTATAACTCATTTATCCTTCCCTCCCTTCTCCATTTACCTCCATCTGCCTTCTATCTGAGGACGAGAGTTACGTTTGCTGATATTAAAGTCACCAAGGAATCACCAGTTTGTGGGTTTGTTGGAGGCTGGACATGCACACACAGAATATGGCTCCTAGCATAAACTCCTGCTCAAATACAACAGACTTCTTAAGAAAAAAAATAAAATAAAATAAAAAAGGAAAACAAAACAACAACAACAGAAAATACCAAAACCAGTAGATGGTTCCAGTTCTGGTAATGACAGTGTAGCTTTTATCAGACTAACCCACTATTCAATAACAATTATAAACTCTGGACAAAATATGAAAAACAACTGTTGATGGCAATGAAGAACAACCAAAGGCAGGCAGCCACTGGAATGGCCATGGCTCTTGAAAGAAGGGAAGCAAAGTGAGTTCTATATTTAACTGGTTTTCCCCCATGAGTATTATTTAGTCCTGACAGTGCATGGTGAAATACAGCCTAAACAAATGTGGCAATTTGAGTCTCCAAGAACACAACTGTATATTCTCAAAAGGAAAATAATCCAGAATTTCTGTAATGTATCATCTACAATGTCACTCCTATACTAAAAAATTTAATAGACATGTATAGAAACACAAAAAATGTGACCCATAATGAGAAAAATTAGCCAATAAAAATAGACACATAGATGACCTAGATGTTGGAATTAGCATCTATGTTAACTGTTTTAAGCTGCTATGAATATGCTAAAGAATTTACAGGAAGAAATGGACAGAATGGGTGAATAGAGAACTCAGAAGAGAAATGGGAACTCTAGTAAAAGAAGAGAGATCCTAGATCCATGCTATCCAACATGGTAGCCCTTAGCCACGACAGCCACAATGTGGCTATTGAGCATTTCAAGTGTGGTTAGTCCAAATTGAGATGTGCAGTAATTTTGAAATACTAAATTTCAAAGATTTAGCATAAAATAGCTCATTAATAGTTTTTATATTGATTATATGTTAAGTGATAATATTTGGGATATGTATAGTTAAATGAAACATATTATTAAAATTAACTACACCAATTATTTTACTTTTTTTATTTTTTGTAGAGATGGAGGGGTCTCCTTGCTGTCCAGGCCAGGCTCGAACTCCTAGCTTCAAGTGATCCTCCTCCCTTGGCCTCCCAAACTGCTGGGATTACAGGTATGAGCCACTGCACCTGGCTATTTTACTACTTTTGTTGTTGTTTTACTTTTCTTTTCTTTTTTTTTTTTTTTTTTTGAGACAGGGTGTCACTCTGTCACTCAGGCTGGAGTGCAGTGGCATGATCTTGACTCACTGCAATTTCCAGCTCCTGGGCTCAAGTGATCCTCTCACCTTAGCCTCCTGAGTAGCTGGGACTACAGGCATGCACCACCATTCCCAGTTAATTTTTTTTTTCTTTCTTTTTTTTTTTTTTGGTACAAAGAGTTTCGCCATGTTTCCCAGGCTGGTCTCAAACTCCTGGGCTCAAGTGATCTGTCTGCTTTGGCGTCCCAAAGTACTGGGATTACAGAAGTGAGCCACCATCCCTTGTCTATTTTAGTATTTTTTAATGTGGCTACTGGAAAACAAAATTACATGAGGCTTGCATATTTCCATTGGACAGCACTGTTCTAGAACTGTAAAATACAATATTTGAATTCAGAGAGGTGAAAATACTAAAATTAATTAATAAATTAATAAGATTCCAGGATGCTACTAGGTCAATATACAAAAATCAGTTGCATTTCTAACCCTAGCAACAAACAATTAGAAAATAATTTTTTTTTTTTGAGACAGAGTCTCACTCTGTTGCCCAGGCTGGAGTGCAGTGGCATGATCTTGGCTCACTGCAACCTCTACTTCCTGGGTTCAAGTGATTCTTGTGCCTCAGCCTTTCCAGTAGCTAGAATTACAGGTGCACACCACCACTCCTGGCTAATTTTTGTATTTTCAGTAGAGATGGGTTTTCACCATGTTGGCCAGGCTGGTCTCGAACTCCTGACCTCGAGAGATCCACCCACCTCGGCCTCCCAAAGTGCTGGGATTACAGGTGTAAGCCACTGCGCCTGGCTGGAAAATAAATTTTTAAAAGGCCATTTATAATAGCATAAAACTCAGACTTTCAAGAATAAACTTAATAAAAGGCTAAGCTCTATGCACTGAAAGCTGTAAACATTGCTGAGAGCAGCTAAAAAAGAACTAAATGAAGAAATGTTTCTGGATTGTGCAGATGTCAATTTTTGAGAAATTAATCTATAGATATATACTATCCCAATGGAAATTCCAGGAAACTTTTGTAAAAATTGACAAGCTGATTTTAAAATGTATATGAAAATGGAAATGTCCTATATTAGTCAAGACATTCTTGAAGAATAAAGTTGGGGGACTTACCCTGATTTCAAGACACAATAACACTCCAGCATTAGTCTTATTAATTTTGTTAATTTATTGTGGCATTTAGTAATTTAGTTAATTAGTGTAGTTATTAATTTAGCATGTGTTAAGATAAATAGGGCCAGGTGCGGTGACTCACACCTGTAATCCCAACAATTTGGGAGGCCAAGGCAGGAGAATTGCATTTGCCCAGGAGTTTGAGACCAGACTGGACAACACAATGAGACCATGTCTCTATAAAAAATTAAAAATATTAGCAAGGCATGGTGGCATATGCTTGCAGTCCTAGGTACTTGGGAGGCTGAGGCAGGAGGATCACTTGAGCCCAGGAGTTTAAGACTGCAGTGAGCTATGACTGTACCACTGCACTCCAGCCTGGGTGACAGAGGGGACCCTGTCTCTAAAAATAAATACATAAATAAAAATAAAAATAAATTAGATTGCCTCTGGGAGGAGGGGATTCTGGACTAGAAGTAATTAAAGAAACTTTCAGAAATGTTGGTAGAGTCTATAACTTTATTTGGCTGATGATTACAATGATATATATATACATCTGTCAAAACTCATTGATCTGTACATTTTATTTTATGTAAAATAATTGTGTAATAAAATATGTAACATAATTTTTTAATAAAAAGCAACAGAGTGGAGTAATCCTGGCATGGCAGCCCCAGCATGTTGGTTGGGAATGTAACTGTACAATGGAGAGAGATGAACTCTGCGACACACTGAGCTGAGTTTATATCCTTTCTTTACTACTTATCAGTGGTGACCTTGGGCAAATTGTTCACTCTCTGCAAGCCTTAGTTTTCTCATCTGAAAAATGGTGCTGGTGCTAGCACTTTACTTCACAGATTTGCAAGGAAGAGCTAATGAGTATAAGTAGTTAAAGTATCTAGCATGGTTTCTGGTAGTTTACAGTCCCACAGAAGAAAACATGCCCTAAGGGTAAGCGGTTATCTGCCAAGAAAAAAGGTGGACAGTGAAGGGGGAAAAAAAAGTCTTCAATTATGAGAACCTTGAAGATTTTCAGGTCTTGAAGATGCCTTTTATTGACCCTTGCTTTGGTAACATGATCTGGGAAAGTAGAATCCTTCCTGCTCTAAATCATCTACTCTTCGGAAATATATAAATTCCCCCTCTACAGTAGCAGAGCTCCACAAGAAGCCTGCCCAATTTTTCCAAAGTTATTTTTTTGATATTGGTGCCCAGATGTAGGTGGCTAAAGTGAGCAGGGAAAGCTAAGTACAGCCCTCCAGTGAAACACAGAAAGTACAAGAGTCTTGAAACAAACT
The DNA here is from genome assembly GCF_000001405.40 of Homo sapiens. Lineage (NCBI taxonomy): Eukaryota > Metazoa > Chordata > Mammalia > Primates > Hominidae > Homo > Homo sapiens. The sequence goes on along the minus strand of NC_000010.11, from coordinate 93,529,998 downwards.
CCAGATCACCCTGTGGCTCTGGGAATCAAACTTCAGAGGTCATCAGGCTGGCGCTTCTGTTATGGTTTATGTCCTGGCCAGTTATCCCATGAGACCACATCTCTTGTTCCATACAGGCACGGACCAAAGGCCTGGGTTCTGCTTGACTCCACTGCTCACTGGATGACCAAGACATGTTCCACATCTACAAACTAGAGGTAATACTGGCTTGCTTTAAAGTTGTAAGGGGAGCAACTTCCTTATGGCATATATTTATGATTTAATACTATGGTCTTTGCTATAACATTGTGGATCGGAATAAGAACTATGCGGCTGAATATGTCCATATCTTTTGTTCAACTGTAGTTGAAGATCTTGTGAGCCTGGGATTAACAGTAATGGCAAAATTTTATTTCCATCAACAGATCTGTATAATTTCTATGGTTAGAAAAAAAAACCCTATATAATTTGGCATGCTTATTGTTTTGCCTCTGTAACAAATAACTCAAATTCATATTTATTGATAAAGAGTTATTTATTTAAGAAAGATGCGTGAAAGCATCTACTCCTTCTAACTCCTTCACATAGTTTTCGGTTCTGATGTATCCTTAACTGCCTTATCATCTTACACTGAGTGTTAATCTGTAACCCCTGATAAGTCCTTGGGGGTAAGAATCTTAGAATATCTATTTATTGAGTTGTAATGGTGCTTTATATATTCTGGATACTAGACCCTTATCAGATACATGGTTTGAAAATATTTTTTCTCTTTCTGTTGGTTGTATTTTCACTTTTTTGATAATGTGCTTTGAATTATGTCTTAAATATTTTATTGTGAAAATCTTGAATTTTGATTATGTCCAACACATTTGTTTTTTTAAACAAGAATCTTAGAATATCTATATATACACGAATACACTAGACATATTAAAACATTAAATAATTTTATTCTTTTCTCATTTACAGTAGCCCAGTGGTAAGCATGTTAGAAAACCTGAAGAAATTTAAAAGTTTTTGGTTTACAAAAAGCATGTATAAAAATACCTGTTCAGACAAACAAAGATCTGATCATTACATTGCCCAGCTTTAAGAATGCCAAAAATAACTAAAATACTGTCAATCAAATGAGAGGGCTACATGGGTTTATTAAAGTTTATTTTAACAATTTTAGCTAAGCAGAATGTGCTAATGTAATTCAAGTTACAGTTACTGCCAGATAACATAAGAGAAAACATTGTGTGTGGCCACTTAAGATTATGCCTCAAACAGATACTGTTTCGTGCGCAGAACAGAGTTGGGGAACACAGCTGGGTTAAGTTTCAATGGTAAGCAGCAATAAAGATCAAGAAAATCCCCAACTTTTCTAATAACCGCTATACAATATGAAAAAAAAAATAGTATCTATCACCACCTCTTAACAATGGACATCAAAATTAGGATTGTAGGTTTTCTAAGTGCTTGGATAAAAAATGCGAACACAGTTAAGATCCTTGGTTAATTATCTTTGATTTTTCAAAACCCCCAAAACATAAAATATTTTGCTTGCTGGTGCATTAACCCATTAGCAATAACCTGAGCTATCTTTTCCTCACCAAGTATTTTGACAGTGCAAAATGTTAGTAGTCTCAGTAGACGCTGCTCACCACATTCTGTCATTGCAGCCTGATGATGAACCATGTCAGGGAGGTATCACTGCCAAGAGAAATGCACAGCAGCCTAAAAGATACATGATTCACTAGCATGCTGGAGTGTCAAAGGTAGATAGGCAGTTTTATGCAAAATGTGAAATATATAATTCAAAATGCCCACAAGCTAACAGAAAATACAGTATTGAATCTTTTAATATCAAAACAAATACTTATTTTGCTACTTTGAACAGTATTCCACATGGACAAGCAGATCGCGATGCTCAGTGGCTGGATACTGTATATTGCACTTGGGACATTCCACCAGGCTTTCATTGAGTGCAGCAGTGGGACTTTTTGGTGAGGCGGCAACTTTTTCTCTGTTTTCAGTCTCTCCTTGGAAAGTGACTAATGGCTCTGTGATGGCAAACTCATGAAGCTGTTTCTGAAAAATAAGTTTCAAATAATAGAATTTGTAAATAGGGCCAATGTTCAGCTTTTTTTTTTTCTTTTTTTGAGGCAGTCTCACTCTGTCACCCAGGCCAGAGTGTAGTGGCACAAACATGGCTCACTGCAGCCTCGACCTCCCAGGCTTAAGCAATCCTCTCACCTCAGCCTCCTAAGTAGCTGGGACTACAGGCACATGTCACCACGTCCAGATAATATTTCTATTTTTTGTAGAAATAGAAAATTCTACAAAAAATTAATTCTATGTTGCCCAGGCTGGTCTCAAACTCCTAAGCTCAAGTGATCTGCCCACCTCAGCCTCCCGAAGTGTTGGGATTACAGGCATGAACCACTGCACCCAGCCTGTTCAGCAATTTTAACTGTTCCATAAGTATTATAGCTGCTTCAGCACTGTAGACAGATTTTCTTTTGAATTTCAGCTCATCAGTATTATGAGGGTAATATATGAGGTAGTTGTGAATTTATCCAGATAACTACTGTAATTATCCAAATTACCCAGATATGGGAGTTGGGTGTATATATGAATATGTTTTATTAGGACACAGAGTCGAATATTAGGTAGGCCTATATGCAAGGCTGATTAAATTTGCTAGTTTTGTAAAACAGAGGCAACGTCAGCAATAAAGTACTACATGGAAATTAAAGGCAGCAAGCAATTTTAGCAGCTCAAACAGCTTATACACAGAAATGACTAAGATATTCTATCATACCTTTGAGACTTTCCTTTTTTGTGTTTTTTTTCTAAGAACTTGGAGTAGTTAAAAATGAGTATTTTACAGCACAGTGAAGAGGGTGGATAGCAGGAACAAAGTACAGGAAAATTACAAATTCTTTTTTTTTTTTAATTATACTTTAAGTTTTAGGGTACATGTGCACAATGTGCAGGTTTGTTACATATGTATACATGTGCCATGTTGGTGTGCTGCACCCATTAACTCATCATTTACATTGGGTATATCTCCTAATGCTATCCCTCCCCACTCCCCCCACCCCACAACAGGTCCTGGGGTGTGATGTCCCCCTTCCTGTGTCCAAGTGTTCTCATTGTTCAAATCCCACCTATGAGTGAGAACATGCGGTGTTTGATTTTTTGTCCTTGTGATAGTTTGCTGAGAATGATGGTTTCCAGCTTCATCCGTGTCCCTACAAAGGACATGAACTCATCATTTTTATGGCTGCATAGTATTCCATGGTGTATATGTGCCACATTTTCTTAATCCAGTCTATCGTTGTTGGACATTTGGGTTGGTTCCAAGTCTTTGCTATTGTGAATAGTGCCACAATAAACATACGTGTGCATGTGTCTTTATAGCAGCATGATTTATACTCCTTTGGGTATATACCCAGTAATGGGATGGCTGGGTCAAATGGTATTTCTAGTTCTAGATCCTGAGGAATTGCCACACTGACTTCCACAATGGTTGAACTAGTTTACAGTCCCACCAACAGTGTAAAAGTGTTCCTATTTCTCCACATCCTCTCCAGCACCTGTTGTTTCCTGACTTTTTAATGATTGCCATTCTAACTGGTGTGAGATGGTATCTCATTGTGGTTTTGATTTGCATTTCTCTGATGGCCAGTGATGATGAGCATTTTTTTCATGTGTCTTTTGGCTGCATAAATGTCTTCTTTTGAGAAGTGTCTATTCATATCCTTCACCCACTTTTTGATGGGGTTGTTTTTTTCTTTTAAATTTGTTTAAGTTCTTTGTAGATTCTGGATATTAGCCCTTTGTAGGTTGAGTAGATTGCAAAAATTTTCTCCCATTCTGTAGGATGCCTGTTCACTCTGATGGTAGTTTCTTTTGCTGTGCAGAAGCTCTTTAGTTTAATTAGATCCCATTTGTCAATTTTGGCTTTTGTTGCCATTGCTTTTGGTGTTTTAGACATGAAGTCCTTGCCCATACCTATGTCCTGAATGGTATTGCCTAGGTTTTCTTCTAGGGTTTTTATGGTTTTAGGTCTAACATGTAAATCTTTAATCCATCTTGAATTAATTTTTGTATAAGGTGTAAGGAAGGGATCCAGTTTCAGCTTTCTACATATGGCTAGCCAGTTTTCCCAGCACCATTTATTAAATAGGGAATCCTTTCCCCATTTCTTGTTGTTGTCAGGTTTGTCAAAGATCAGGTAGTTGTAGATGTGTGGCATTATTTCTGAGGGCTCTGTTCTGTTCCATTGGTCTATATCTCTGTTTTGGTACCAGTACCATGCTGTTTTGGTTACTGTAGCCTTGTAGTATAGTTTGAAGTCAGGTAGTGTGATGCCTCCAGCTTTGTTCTTTTGGCTTAGGATTGACTTGGCGATGCGGGCTCTTTTTTGGTTCCATATGAACTTTAAAGTAGTTTTTTCCAATTCTGTGAAGAAAGTCATTGGTAGCTTGATGGGGATGGCGTTGAATCTATAAATTACCTTGGGCAGTATGGCCATTTTCACAATAGTGATTCTTCCTATCCATGAGCATGGAATGTTCTTCCATTTGTTTGTATCCTCTTTTATTTTGTTGAGCAGTGGTTTGTAGTTGTCCTTGAAGAGGTCCTTCACATCCCTTGTAAGTTGGATTTCTAGGTATTTTATTCTCTTTGAAGCAATTGTGAATGAGAGTTCACTCATGATTTGGCTCTCTGTCTGTTATTGGTGTATAAGAATGCTTGTGATTTTTGCACATTGATTTTGTATCCTGAGACTTTGCTGAAGTTGCTTATCAGCTTAAGGAGATTTTGGGCTGAGATGATGGGGTTTTCTAGATATACAATCATGTCATCTGCAAACAGGGACAATTTGACTTCCTCTTTTCTTAATTGAATACCCTTTATTTCCTTCTCCTGCCTGATTGCCCTGGCCAGAACTTCCAACACTATGTTGAATAGGAGTGGTGAGAGAGGACATCCCTGTCTTGTGCCAGTTTTCAAAGGGAATGCTTCCAGTTTTTGCCCATTCAGTATGATATTGGCTGTGGGTTTGTCATAAATAGCTCTTATTATTTTGAGATATGTCCCATCAATACCTAATTTATTGAGAGTTTTTAGCATGAAGGGCTGTTGAATTTTGTCAAAGGCCTTTTCTGCATCTATTGAGATAATCATGTGGTTTTTGTCGTTGGTTCTGTTTATATGCTGGATTACGTTTATTGATTTGCGTATGTTGAACCAGCCTTGCATCCCAGGGATGATGCCCACTTGATCATGATGGATAAGCTTTTTGATGTGTTGCTGGATTTGGTTTGCCAGTATTTTATTGAGGATTTTTGCATCGATGTTCATCAGGGATATTGGTCTAAAATTCTCTTTTTTTGTTGTGTCTCTGCCAGTCTTTGGTATCAGGATGATGCTGGCCTCATAAAATGAGTTAGGGAGGACTCCCTTTTTTTCTATTGTTTGGAATAGTTTCAGAAGGAATGGTATCAGCTCCTCCTTGTACCTCTGGTAGAATTCGGCTGTGAATCTGTCTGGTCCTGGACTCTTTTTGGTTGGTAAGCTATTAATTATTGCCTCAATTTCAGAGCCTGTTATTGATCTATTCAGAGATTCAACTTCTTCCTGGTTTAGTCTTGGGAGGGTGTATGTGTCGAGGAATTTATCCATTTCTTCTAGATTTTCTAGTTTATTTGCGTAGAGGTGTTTATAGTATTCTCTGATGGTAGTTTGTATTTCTGTGGGATCGGTGTGATATCCCCTTTATCATTTTTTATTGTGTCTATTTGATTCTTCTCTCTTTTCTTCTTTATTAGTCTTGCTAGCGGTCTATCAATTTTGTTGATCTTTTCAAAAAACCAGCTCCTGGATTCATTGATTTTTTGAAAGTTTTTTTGTGTCTCTATCTCCTTCAGTTCTGCTCTGATCTTAGTTATTTCTTGCCTTCTGCTAGCTTTTGAATGGGTTTGCTCTTGCTTCTCTAGTTCTTTTAATTGTGACGTTAGGGTGTCAGTTTTAGATCTTTCCTGCTTTCTCTTGTGGGCATTTAGTGCTATAAATTTCCCTCTACACACTGCTTTAAATGTGTCCCAGAGATTCTGGTATGTTGCATCTTTGTTCTCATTGGTTTCAAAGAACATCTTTATTTCTGCCTTCATTTTGTTATGTACCCAGTAGTCATTCAGGAGCAGGTTGTTCAGTTTCCATGTAGTTGAGCGGTTTTGAGTGAGTTTCTTAATCCTGAGTTCTAGTTTGATTGCACTGTGGTCTGAGAGACAGTTTGTTATAATTTCTGTTCTTTTACATTTGCTGAGGAGTGTTTTACTTCCAACTATGTGGTCAATTTTGGAATAAGTGCGGTGTGGTGCTGAGAAGAATGTATATTCTGTTGATTTGAGGTGGAGAGTTCTGTAGATGTCTATTAGGTCCGCTTGGTGCAGAGCTGAGTTCAATTCCTGGATATCCTTGTTAACTTTCTGTCTCGTGGATCTGTCTCATGTTGACAGTGGGGTGTTAAAGTCTCCCATTATTATCGTGTGGGAGTCTAAGTCTCTTTTTAGGTCTCTAAGGACTTGCTTTATGAATCTGGGTGCTCCTGTATTGGGTGCATATATATTTAGGATAGTTAGCTCTTGTTGTTGAATTGATCCCTTTACCATTATGTAATGTCCTTCTTTGTCTGTTTTGATCTTTGTTGGTTTAAAGTCTGTTTTATCAGAGATTAGGATTGCAACCCCTGCCTTTTTTTGTTTTCTATTTGCTTGGTAGATCTTCCTCAATCCCTTTGTTTTGAGCCTATGTGTGTCACTGCATGTGAGATGGGTTTCCTGAATACAGCACACTGATGGGTCTTGACTCTTTATCCAAATTGCCAGTCTGTGTCTTTTAATTGTAGCATTTAGCCCATTTACATTTAAGGTTAATATTGTTATGTGTGAATTTGACCCTGTCATTATGATGTTAGCTGGTTATTTTGCTCTTTACTTGATGCAGTTTTTTCCTAGCCTCGATGGTCTTTACAATTTGGCATGTTTTTGCAGTGGCTGGTACTGGTTGTTCCTTTCCACGTTTAGTGCTTCCTTTAGGAGCTCTTGTAGGGCAGGCCTGGTGGTGACAAAATCTCTCAGCATTTGCTTGTCTGTAAAGGATTTTATTTTTCCTTCACTTATGAAGCTTACTCTGGCTGGATATGAAATTCTGGGTTGAAAATTCTTTTCTTTAAGAATGTTGAATATTGACCCCCCACTCTCTTCTGGCTTGTACAGTTTCTGCTGAGAGATCAGCTGTTAGTCTGATGGGCTTCCCTTTGTGGGTAACCCGACCTTTCTCTCTGGCTGCCCTTAACATTTTTTCCTTCATTTCAACTTTGGTGAATCTGACAATTATGTGTCTTGGAGTTGCTCTTCTCGAGGAGTATCTTTGTGGCATTCTCTGTATTTCCTGAATTTGAATGTTGGCCTGCCTTGCTAGACTGGGGAAGTTCTCCTGGATAATATCCTGCAGAGTGTTTTCCAATTTGGTTGCATTCTCCTCGTCACTTTCAGGTACACCAGTCAGACATAGATTTGGTCTTTTCACACAGTCCCATATTTCTTGGAGGCTTTGTTCGTTTCTTTTTATCCTTTTTTCTCAAAACTTCTCTTCTCACTTCATTTCATTCATTTGATCTTCCATCATTGATACTCATTCTTCCAGTTGATCAAATCGGCTACTGAGGCTTGTGCATTCGTCATGTTGTTCTCGTGCTGTGATTTTCAGCTCCATCTGGTCCTTTAAGGACTTCTCTGCATTGGTTATTCTAGTTAGCCATTCATCTAATCTTTTTTCAAGGTTTTCAACTTCTTTGCCACGGGTTCGAACTTCCTCCTTTAGCTCAGAGAAGTTTGATCATCTGAAGCCTTCTTCTCTCAACTCTTCATTCTCCATCCAGCTTTGTTCCATTGCTGGTGAGGAGCTGCGTTCCTTTGGAGGAGGAGAGGCACTCTGATTTTTAGAATTTTCAGTTTTTCTGCTGTTTTTTCCCCATCTTTGTGGTTTTATCTACCTTTGGTCTTTGATGATGGTGACATACAGATGGGGTTTTGGTGTGGATGTCCTTTCTGTTTGTTAGTTTTCCTTCTAACAGTCAGGACCCTCAGATGCAGGTCTTTTGGAGTTTGCCAGAGGTCCACTCCAGACCCTGTTTGCCTGGGTATCAGCAGCGGAGGCTGCAGAACAGCGAATATTGGTGAACAGCAAATGTTGCTGCCTGATTGCTCCTCTGGAAGTTTTGTCTCAGAGGGGTACCCGGCTGTGTGAGGTGTCAGTCTGCCCCTACTGGGGGGTGCCTCCCAGTTAGGCTACACGGGGGTCAGGGACCCACTTGTAGAGGCAGTCTGTCCGTTCTCAGATCTCAAGCTGCGTGCTGGGAGAACCACTACTGTCTTCCAATCTGTCAGACAGGGACATTTAAGTCTGCAGAGGTTTCTGCTGCCTTTTGTTTGGCTATGCCCTGCCCCCAGAGTTGGAGTCTACAGAGGCAGGCAGGCCTCCTTGAGCTGCGGTGGGCTCCACCCAGTTCGAGCTTCCCGGCCGCTTTGTTTACTTACTCGAGCCTCAGCAATGGCGGGCACCCCTCCCCCAGCCTCACTGCTACCTTGCAGTTTGATCTCAGACTGCTGTGGTAGCAATGAGCAAGGCTCCGTAGGTGTAGGACCCTCCAAGCCAGGCGTGGGATATAATCTCCTGGTGTGCTGTTTGCTAAGACCGTCGGAATAGCGCAGTATTAGGGTGGGAATGACCTGATTTTCCAGGTGCCGTCAGTCACCCCTTTCCTTGGCTAGAAAAGGGAATTCCCTGACCCCTTGCGCTTCCTGGGTGAGGCGATGCCTCACCCTGCTTCGGTTCACGCTCGGTGCGCTGCATCCACTGTCTGACAGTCCCCACTGAGATGAACCCAGTACCTCAGTTGGAAATGCAGAAATCATCCGTCTTCTGTGTCGCTCACGCTGGGAGCTGTAGACTGGAGCTGTTCCTATTCAGCCATCTTGGAACCGCCCCCACAAAATTACAAATTCTTTTGCATACCCTCTGCTCCCTAAGCTTTGAATGGTCAATAACAAAAATGAATTATAAATTTTCATTTCAAATATTATAAATGGGTAAAATCAATTATATACTTAAGAACAGAGCCAAAAATATATTTTCTTTCTTTTATTCATACAGAAGTTACAAGTGATTTTTACTTTTATCATTGTTTTTTTTTCCTCCTTTGAAAACTGAGGAATCATATTTGTAACATTTCACTGTCTCCAAGTATTCTATAGTAGTAGAATAAAATTTAAAATATGTACTAGTGGGACAGACATATATTCAAATGCAGACCCCCAACAAGTTTGGTCCAAAAGCTTATTAGTAAGGTGAGAATAAGTAAGTGAAAAACCATTTCATCATAGAAACAATATTATTTAAAAGGTTCATGTTTTAAAAGATTATGTTTTCAGAGTGACTCACACAAACCTCATAATACATCTAAAAAGCATATTAACAGTAATAGTCCATTATCCCTAAAAACAGCATTTTTTTCTTTTTCTTTTTTTTTTTTTTTTGAGACAGAGTCTTGCTCTGCTGCCCAGGCTGGAGTGCAGTGGCTCAGTCTCAGCCCACTGCAACCTCTGCATCCCGGGTTCAAGTGATTCTCCTGCCTCGGCCTCCCAAGTAGCTGAGGTTACAGGCACCCGCCACCACGCCCGGCTAATTTTTTGTATTTTTAGTAGAGACAGGGTTTCACCATGTTGGTCAGGCTGGTCTCCAACTCCTGACCTCATGATCCGCCTGCCTTGGCCTCCCAAAGCGCTGGGATTAAAGGTATAAGCCATCGTGCCCAGCCTTTCTTTCTTTTTTAATAGATAAACACAATTTCAGTTCAGGATTCTGTGACTACCCTCTATTCTACCCTTTTGACCCCAGCTCAGGCACTATTTAGTGCCTCCAGCATCACAGCAGCTGGGGTAGTTGGGGGAATGTTTCCAGATGTGATCATGTCCCTCTTTCATGTCCTCTGAATTGATGCTCAAAGGGCAGTTGCTTCAAATGAGGCAGAGGCTCTACCTACTGATTTGAGATACAGCTAGCTGTGTGTTAAGCTGTATCCTCCTAAGTTCGGAACTGATTTGGTATATAAATGGAAGACGAAGACAAATTTTAGTTTAATCATTCCAGACTCACCAAGGATTCCAACTGTGTTATTTGATTTCTTGCTTTTCGGAGCTCCTTAAGAATTACATGCAATTGATGCTGCACATGTTGACGGTCGAGTTTTTCATTTTCAAAGTCTAAAGTACATGCCTGCATCTGGAAAAGGCCCAGAACAAGACCATTACAGCTGATACAGACTGTCTAGTTCTCTTGACTGGATGCTCACATTTTTTTATTAGCACATGAAGAAAATATTTATTGTACCATCGTAGCAAGAATTCACCTAAGCACCATGAAATGTTAATAAACGAGGCAGCTTATGGCTGAGGATTTGGTTTATCCAAGGAGCAAAGCCAACGCTGAGGTATAGGTGAATGAAGAGCAGCTTAAGAAGTTGTTGATTAGAATTACTCCTCCCTATCCACCTTTTTTAAGGGGGAAGAAGGAGAAGGGAAAGAGATAGCTATTCCCTGGTTTGGAATATACTAAAAATCTCTGCTTTACACCATTTATAATACATTCTGAGACTAAATGGTGTCTCTCCAAGTTCTGCTTGAAGTTATAAGGTAGCCCTACTTAGGAGACATTGTTAGGCTAGGAGCTACAGCCACTGGGGAAGAGCAAAATTTGCCAAGGCCAACATCTACCTGTCAAGAAAACTGCCATCACACCTCAAGAATCTGTTTAGCCTAAGGTCAGCAACAGGAATAAGTGGCTAGCAGAGTCTCTTGAAATATCTTTTTTATTGAAGAAGAAAGACTTTTATTGAAGTCTTTTAAAGACACTTTTCACAACTTTCAAACAGTTCTCCATAGAACAGCATAAACATGAGGAAAAACTGCATTTTCTAACAGGCAGAATTGAATTTAGAAGCAACCCGAATGAGTACCTGTTGTTCCAACAGAGCTACCCTTGTTTGTTCTTCTTGCTGCTTTAGCAGAGATGTGTAAAGAAACTGGACCTGTAGGACATAAAGAGAACCAATGCTGTCACATCCAACCTTTTCCGGCTTGACCTGGGATGCACGGAAAGCTCACATCACAAGTCTCACATCTCTAACCAGGACAACACCTGCTAGTCAGGGGTGAATCATTCCAGCTGGCCATCTGATGGCTATCTATGCCAGCAGCTAAGCAGTATACCACCGCCCTTGCCGAGAGTTCCCTGAGGCACACAGACTGAATGCTGATAAACAGCACTGAACTCTGCAGCAGCCATGCCCCCTTTCCTGGAGGTTCTGACACTTCTGAGTAGGATAACATGGGTGGCAGTGCTGGGCCCTTAGCCAGAGCTGAAGCAAAATTTAATCAGCAGACTTAATCTCTCCCTAGTATCACTGCTCATACCTGTAGACAGAAGAAGTGTGAGTGGTAAAGACTAAGATGGCAGGCTGGACACAGTGGCTTGCACCTGTAATCCCAGCACTTTGGGAGGCCAAGGCAGGTGGATCACATGAGGTCAGGAGTTTGAGACCAGCCTGGCCAACATGGTGAAACCCCATCTCTACTAAAAATATAAAAATTGGCCAGCCGTGGTGGTGGGCACCTGTAATCCCAGCTACTCAGGAGGCTGAGGCACAAGAATCACTTGAAGACAGGAGGTGGAGGTTACAGTGAGCTGAGATTACGCCATTGCATTCCAGCCTGGGCGACAGAGCAAGACCCTGTCTCAGAAAAAAAAAAAGAAAAAAAAGACTAAGATGGCAAATGTTATAGATGGACTTGTTACTGTCCCATCACCAGCACCCTCAACTTTTGTAGGACTGTTAAAAATTATTATTAAAATAGTAGCAATAACTAGCATTTACCTCGCTTAGTTTACAAAGCACTTTTACCTTCTCTCAACTGACGCTCACCAAAGCCCTATATGGCAAGCAGAGGTTATTATTAATTTGACAAGGGAATAACCAGTGAGTAGTCAGAGAAGTTAGGTGATTTGCCTAAGGCCATATATCCTGGACTAGAGACTAGGCATGGATTCCAAATAATGTTCCTTCCATGATGCCAGGCTGCAAAGCAAAATCTAAATTAAAGAGTTCCATCAAAGTACTGTTCAATTCCAATAATCCTAACGTAGTAACTCCAACATTATTATGATACCATAGCATAAGGCTATGAGCATAACAAGAACATGGAAGATGCCATGTGAATTCACTTGAGCACATATCATCACCATTAAGATGCCAGTCTAGGAATCAGCCTCGATTCCTCTCATTACTTCACTTCTTCTTTTGGCTTCTCACATATACTGACCTCCTCCTCACTCAGAGCCTTTGTGTGTACAATTTCCTCCATTGAGAGGAAAAGTCACCCACCTCACTGGGTCCTCCTCATCATCAGGTCTTTGTCCAAATGCCATCTCCTCAGAGAGGCCTCCACTGGTCCCCAATTTCCCTTTGTCATGTCACCCTGTTGCATTTTCTTTAGTTTCCTTATTTATTGTTTATGGTCTGTTTCTGTTCTGGAATATAACTCCCATGAGGGGCAGGAATTTGTTTTGTCCCTAGCCAGTTCTCTAGTGGTCAAATAGTCCCTGACACTTAGAAAGTGTTCGGTGAACACTCTGAATTATGGATCTGGTTAAGTTTACCTGAGATAAGAGCTCTTCGGATCTCTTCTTCTCTTCTTCAAGTTTTCCCCTAGCAATATCATTCTCTTCCCTGAGTTTTTGTATCTTCTCTGTTTTATGCCTATCATCTTCCAGATGTTGCACATCTGCCCTTCTTTGTGAATACAACAGCTGATTTAAATTGTGAACTTCTTTTTGGGTTTCTTCATATTTTCTTCGAAATTCACTCAGTTCAAAACTCAGCTGAGTTATGGTTTGTCGTTCAACCTCAAGATCTTTTTTTGCACTTGCCAAGAGATCGTTGTAACATTTCTGCTTCTCTTCTTGAAGATAACCTATGACAAACAACATTACGGCACAACTCACTTTATAAAATAAATAATATTCCTGAAAAGAGAAACATCAAACATCTAAATGAATCACACTATTTCCTTAGTTTACAACATGAAAAGTCAAGAGATAGGGACTATGGTTGATATTTGATGAAATAAAAAACAAGTTCAGGTATACTATTTGAAGTTATAAAACTCACAAATAGAAGAACTAAAAACAGTAACATCTATTCTGTTGGGAGGGAAAGTCTCAAGAAGTTCAATCAACAAATAGGAACACAAGCTCATTATTTATATGTGGAGATAACTATCAAAATTAAAAATAGAAATATTAAGAGCAGTTGCCTGATGGGAGGAAGAAACGGGGATTGGGATGGGAAAGACAGGGCAAGGTCCTTCTTAACTATTACATTATTCTAACAAGTGCTTATATTGCTTTGATAAAACAGACACACAGAGAAAGAGAGAGAGAGAGAGAGAGAACTGTATTACCAAAGAAAAGAAATTAGACTTAGCCCATAACTAAAATCCTGCTTTTACATAAGCACATATTTTATAGAAGCAACTTAGTGCCATTAGGGCTGACAGCTTTGAAGTGCCTCCAGAGACATTTATAGTTTCTTTTTAGCATTAGCTTTGTTTTAAGTATTCAAATATGATTCTCCAATCTTATGAGTCTTGTTCCCCTTTCTTTAGACTTCTCTATAAAATTCAAGGCTTTGGTCCCCTCCAAACTGTCAGTCTTTTAAGGAGAGCATTGCATGGAGTTTCTCATTTTTCTTTTCTTAGCTTGTCATCTAGAATTGCTAAACCTATTTCTTCATCTGTAAAATGAGAATACTGACCTTTCCTGCCCCGCCTCTTAGGGTTGCTCTAAAACTCCACTAAGATCTATGTAAGGGAAACTGCAAAGTGCTTGGCAAAAAGACAGCATCGTGAATGAGAAATTTCATCTCAATTCTATACCTGAAGTTCAAATGATTTAAGGATCATCTAAAAAAGGCATTCTTTCTCCTGGGGTTGATATGAATAAGTGCTGAAGGGAAGCAAAGTGAAAAGAGAATTGTGACAAGGCCAACTCTGGGGGAAGTAAAAGCTGGAGAAGGACTTTGAAAAAGGGGAAGGACATTCATGGGTAGAGAGAACTGAATGTGATTTCAGAACTGCCAAAGATCACCCATTAGCCTGTGTTGGTACTTTCTTTTGATCTGAAAACGTTAGGAAATAAAACTTGCAAAAATGGTATTTCTTACTTCAGGGCTATAAGACTTGCTCTTATTTTACTTTCTAACACATATCTATAAAAATCTAAATTTGATGAATCATTCCTTTTGGAAAATGTCAGGCCTATCCCTAGAGAACATTTTTATACCAGTCAGTACCTTCTGATTCAGGCTTTTTTGTCTGCTGTGGGAGTGAATGAGCAGCTGTTTCCGTTTTCTTTTCCAACTCAAAGATCTTTGCTAAAAGTCCTTTTACATAGACTTCCCGCTGCTGATCATACACGAGCCACTGCTGATTTTTCTCCAGAGCCTTAATGGGAAGATGAAAGAAAATCAACAGTAAAATAAAAAAACAAAATCTTAAAATGGGCAAGAGAGTCCAAGTGATGTAGTCTTTTCCAACAAAAACTCTATGGCTCATAGACTAATTCTGGGCAACCATTCTATGTTACATGCCTTCAGAATACATAACAACATGACACCATCGTAGTTTATGTGGGATTAAGTTCATTTGTTTGCTTTTTTCAGTACACAACTTGCTTTGTGTGTGCGTATATGTCATTCTCTGTAAACTAAAACACGTTTTATGACAGACATGGAGATGAACTGCTCAGAATCCCCCTTCAAGAGCCCTGCCCAGCTGGCTGGGTGCGGTGGCTCTCGCCTGTAATCCCAGCACTTTGAGAGGCCGAGGGTGGTGGATCACCTGAGGTCAGGAGTTCAAGACCAGCCTGGCCAACATGGTGAAACCCTGTCTCTAATAAAAATACAAAAATTAGCCAGGCATGGTGGCGCGTGCCTGTAATCCTAACTACTCAGGAGGCTGAGGCAGGAGAATCACTTGAACCCGGGAGGTGGAGGTGGCAGTGAGCTGAGATCATGCCCCTGCACTCCAGCCTGGAAACTCCAGTGAAACTGCGTCTCTCAAAAAAACAAACAAAAAAAAGAGGATCTCTGCCCAGCTGCATGGTGAGTGATTAGCTGATTAGCTGACAGCCTCCATCTGTTAATTCCTTCAAGTCCCTGTCAGCTTTTGAGCTGAGCTGGATTGGCCCCAGCCAACAACTGAACAAGTGCCTAACTATTGCTGCCCAACGAGGACTCTGCTTTTCAGCACTCTCTGCTCTGGAGCCCCCCATGGGGTGACAGAGACCTTGTTAGGTTTTCATCATGGTCTGATGGTCTCCCTGGCATAACTACTTCCTTTTTCCTTGCACAGATCTTGCTCCCCAATAAACCGTCTGCACTCCTAACATCATCTCAGTGTCTTCTTTAGAGGATCAAACTTAACAGCTACCTTCTCTCTTTACTACCAACTTTCATCCTTTATATGATCTTTTATAACCCAATTAAAAACTCCAAGCTGCCGTCACTCACCTGTTTGTATAGGGGTTTCATACTTACAGTGAGTTGAATAATGTCCCCCAAAATTCATGTCCACTTGAAACCTCAGAATATGACCTTATTCAGAAATGGGGTCTGTGGGCTGGGCAGTGGCTCACACCTGTAATCCCAGCACTTTGGGAGGCCGAGGCGGGCGGATTACTTGAGGCCAGGAGTTCAAGACCAGCCTGGCCAACATGGCAAAACCCTGTCTCTATTTTTTAGCCGGGCATGGTGGCACGTACCTGCAGTCCCAGCTACTTGGGAGGCTGAGGTAGCAGATCACTTGAATGCGGGAGGCGGAGGTTGCAGTGAGCCAAGATTGCGCCACTGCACTCCAACCTAGACAATAGAGTGAGACCCCGTCTCAAAAAAAAAAAAGGGGAGGGGGAGGCTTTGCAGATGCAATTAGTTAAAATGAGGCCATACTGGAGTAGGGTGAGCCCTAAATCCAATGACTAGTATCCTTATAAAAAGGAGCAGACACACAGATATACATAGAGAATGAGGCCATGTGAAGACAGAAGCTTTGTATGGCAGGGATTGTAACCAGTTCATTTCACACCAGAGGACTTGCTATAAATCCAGAGCTCATAGTAATCTGAACTTCGAAGAACCTATAACAGTATCAGCAAAGCTCATTTTTTCAAGAGTGGAATACAGATTTCTGATTACTATTTGGAGAACAACACAGTAGCTCTTAAAATGATCTATTATGCATAGATAAAATTCTTCTATTTAATTTCAATCTGACAATACAATATAGTGTTTCCTTTTATAGCAGCCACTCTTTCCAGACCTCTAGTTCCACAATGAAGAGGACATAAGGAGCTTAAAGGTTTTGGGTGTCTATCAGGGCAACTGCTTTCCGGTAAGAATTTCCATCCTTTAAAGACATTGATTGAGTCCCATATCCAGAAAGATCTACATGTATGGAAACTCTTATTAAGTCTAGAGAGTTTCTCTAAGCTTTGTTAGGCTCTTTCTACTAGCACCCTACAAACTCTTGAGCAAAGCTCCTGGGTATGGCACTTAAAGGATTTTCAGTGTCTGTTTGCTATAGAATTAGCAAATGAATTAGGAAGACAGAAACAGTCTCTAAAATCAAAGACTTAGCCCAGGAGCCTCAGCCACTTTACCAGACACTTTTCTCTCTGCATCCATTAGGGAACAGTAGTCCTCTTTACATGGCTTAAGAGTCCATTTGTCAAGTGGAGATATTGTATATCCATTTTGTATTATATATCGTCAATAGTGTAAAGCTCTGTGGATGGCTGTTTTCACTGTAGTAATTTGATTTTTGATTTAAAGAGTCTGTCTTATTGAAACTTCGTGGTAGATATATGATTGTTCAATGTATTTTCTTTTAACTTTTGTGTATGTTTGACATTTTTCGTAATAAAAATTGGGAAAAATAATCATAAAAGTTGGGAAAAATAATCAGTGAACTTAGTACAGTTGAGAAGATTGCTAGGATTCTTGGCCTATCTTAAAACAGGCTGCAGTAGTCACTCTCTTATTCAGCTCCACTGCCATCCCCAGTGAGGTTCTTACTCAGAACCTATGCATCTTTCAAAAGAAAGGACTCATGAGAAACCCAGGATCAGATTTAAATTTACTTGATAAGAGAGGAAGCACTGTATGACTCACAATGCACATGTATATCCAAATACCTATAAATTATAGTGTGTTAGATACTAAAGATACCTAATTTTATACTAAATTTTACATTTGTCCACATTTAAGTAGTATTTTAATACAAATAATTTAAGTCAAAATTAAATGGTCATGAAATTTTTTTTTTTTTTTTTTTTTTTGAGACGGAGTTTCACTCTTGTTGCCCAGGCTGGAGTGCAATGGTGCCATCTTGGCTCACTGCAACCTCCACCTCCCGGGTTCAAGCGATTCTCTTGCCTCAGCCTCCCGAGTAGCTGGGATTACAGGCATGCGCCACCACACCCAGCTAATTTTGTATTTTTAGTAGAGATGGGGTTTCACCATGTTGGTCTCAACTCCTGACCTCAGGTGATCTGCCCGCCTTGGCCTCCCAAAGTGCTGGGATTGCAGGCATGAGCCACTGAGCCCGGCCAATTTTTTTTTTTTTTGAAACGGAGTCTCGCTCTGTGGCCCCGGCTGGAATACAGTGGCATGATTTCAGCTCACTGGAAACTCTGCCTCCCGGGTTCCAGCAATTCTCCTGCCTCAGCCTCCCGAGTAGCTGGGATTACAGGCGTGTACCACCACGCCCAGCTTTTTTGTATTTTTATTAGAGACGGGGTATCACCATGTTGGCCCAGCTGGTCTCGAACTCCTGATCTCAGGTGATCTGCCCTTCTTGTCCTCCCAAAATGCTGGAATTACAGACGTGAGCCACTGCGCCAGCCCAATTTTATTTTATTTATTTTATTTTTCTTTTCTTTTAAAGGAACCAGCTGGGTGCAGTGGCTCACGCCTGTAATCCCAGCACTTTGGGAGGCCGAGGCGGGCATATCACAAGGTCAGGAGTTCGAGACCAGCCTGGCCAATATGGTGAAACCCCGTCTCTACTAAAAATACAAAACATTAGCCAGGTATGGTGGCGGGCGCCAGTGGTCCCAGCTACTCCGGACGCTGAGGCAAGAGAATCACTTGAGCCCAGGAGGTGGAGGTTGCAGTGAGTTGAGATTGTGCCACTGCACTCCAGCCTGGGCAACGGAGCGAAACTCCATCTCAAAAAAATAAATTAATTAATTAAAAAAAAAGGAACCATACATCACTTAAGTATGAGAAACAAAAATACATGTTAGTTGAAGATTCAAGGGGTAGTATTCTAAAAGGCCACATGATGGCGATGTTCCCTCAATAAACATTTCCTTATGCCACCTCTTCTCACTGTGTGCATCGGCTTTCTATCAGTATCAATACACGGAGTTGATAGCTATCATAAATATTGATTGTATTAGTTTTGAGTTTTTAGAGTCAAACATCATTGCATTAGATATGCCTTCCAGCTTTGTGTCATCTATACGTTTGTTAGGCATGCATTTAACAATTTCCTCCAAGTTACCAATAAAAATGTAGAACAAAAGTGGGCAAAATAACATGTCCTGTGGAGTCCGGGCATGGTGGCTCACGCCTGTAATCCCAGCACTTTGGGAGGCTGAGGCAGGCAGATCACGAGGTCAGGAGTTCAAGACCAGCCTGGCCAACATGGTGAAACCCCGTCTCTACTAAAAATAAAAAAAAATTAGCCAGGCGCAATGGCAGGTGCCTGTAATCCCAGCTACTCTGGAGGCTGAGGCAGAAGAATCGCTTGAACCAGGGAGGCAGAGGTTGCAGTGAGCTGAGACCGTGCCACTGCACTACAGCCTCGGCGACAGAGTGAGACTCTGTCTCAAAAAAAAAAAAAAAAAAAGTCCTGTGGAATGCTATAAAGGTCTTCGCCCAGGTTTGACAAGAATCCACTAAATATTCTGTAGACAAAAATTCCAACCAACGTAGATTAAAATGTTAGCCTATACTGGAGGAATAAAAAATGTGGGTCAATTGACAAAACTGCAGTAGGAATGGTAGATTATAGAAGTATTGTATCCATGTTAAATTTATTAAAGTTGCTATCTGTGCTATAGTTGTGGGCAAGAGTATCCTCGTTCTTAAGAAATACACATTGAAGTCTACGGCCATACCACCCTGAACGCGCCTGATCTTGGCTGATCTTGGAAGCTAAGCAGCGTTGAGTCTGTTTAGTACTTGGATGGGAGAACAAACACACATTGAAGTATATGGGTTTAAACGGCTGTGGATATGTACAATTCATTCTCAAATGGTTCAGAAAAAAATACTACATGTATATGTGTGTGGGTGAGGGTTGAAAGAGGAAAAACAGAGTGCAAAATGGGGTAACATGTTAACAACGGTTGAATTTTAGTAAAGGGGATATGGGCGTTATATGTTATTATATGTTATCATACTCATTCTTGTAACTTTTCTGTTAATTTGAATGTTTGCAGACAAAATAATTTTAAAACAATTATTATTTATCTTCCCTAAGTTCTATGCTTAAAATTCGGATATTTGAATTTAAGAGCAAGAAACGCCTATTAAAACTGTCTTTTGGCTATTTGGTTTGTCTAGTTTATACTAACATAATGCTTAAATAAATACTAAAAGTACTGACATTTGACAATGCTTACGACATTAACTCTACGTAATTATTTCAACTGTCGGCCAGAGCGAAATGGTAACTGAACAATGATACAACTGGGCCTAAAGAAGCTGTACGTAGCTTTTAGGGCTTATTTAAATATAACAAATACTAATTCTGAAAATACGTGGGTAAGCTTCTACAGGAAGTTTCTGCGAACTTTGAGAGGGTGATGGAACTAGAACTGCTGAGCTCTCAAAAGCCAAATAATGTGCCAGTGTCGGTGCTGCAAGAAGTGAGATGTCTCTTTCCATGTTCCCTAAGTCCTCCAACTACAATTTTCCCCCTGGTCTCAAAGATTTGCTGAAATTCCAAAGGGAAAACCAGAGCTAAACCACTTCTTGCTCCTCAAATATAAGTTCTGGCTGGGTGTAATGACTCACACCTGTAATCCCAGCACTTTGGGAGGCTGAGGCAGGTGGGTCATCTGAGGTCAGGAGTTGGAGACCAGCCTGGCCAACATGGCGAAACCCTGTCTCTACTAAAAGTACAAAAATCAGCTGGGCATGGTGGCACGCACCTGTAATCCCTGTTACTCAGGAGGCTGAGGCATGAGAATCACTTGAAACCAGGAGACGGAGGTTGCAATGAGCCAAGATCGCGCCACTGCACTCCAACCTGAGTGACAGAGTGAGACTCCATCTCAAAATAATAATAATAATAATAATAATAATAATAATGTTAATGGTTCTCAAAGCGTGGTCCAAGGGCCAGCAGCAGCAGCAGCTAGGAGTTTACTGGAAATGCAGAAAACTCAGGCACTACCCCAGACCTAGTATATTAGAGTCTGTGAATCTTGCTCAGTCTAGACCACCATTTGTAGAAGAGTTGGGTTAAATTTTACCCCATTTGTATAAACGCCTTTCTAAGACAGAGGAGACAAGCACAATGTGACCCTTAAATAAGCTGAGAAGATAGAACAAAAAGCTTGGGCTTACATATGTAGTATTTCAAAGTTAATTTCATAAAAAAGAATCATCATTATCTAAAAATACCCTCAGGTGATATCTGAAGCAGTTAGCACTGAGATGCCTAAAAAGCACATGTAAGCTTAAGATAATGGCATCTATTTTCAGGTACTTTTCTAGAAGAGACACCAGTAAAATTCAAGAAACTTCCCAAGATTCCATCCAGTCATTCTTTCAAATGTTCTAGACACTGAGGATATAGCAATGTACAAAACATGCAAAAATCCTTCCTTCATATGACTTCTATTCTGATGGAAAGGTTGAACATTAAACAAGAGAAGTTAAATAGATTGTAAATTTAGCTGTAGAATGTGATGAGGAGGGAAAAGCAGGAGAAAAGAATAGGAATTGTCTGGGAGCTATAATTTTAGACAAAGTGGTCAGGCAGCCCCCATTCTGTCCTCCCCCAACCCCAAGAAAGTGGCATTTAAATAAAAACCTGCATGAGGTAGGGAGGAAATCATGAAGATATCTGGGGAAGAGTGTCCCAGGCAGAGGGAACAGAAAGAGAAAAGGTGGTTTATTCAAGGAGTAGCTGGAAAGCCATTGTGGTGCAGGTGGAGTAAATAAAGTGGAATGCAGGAGCTGTGTAAGATATTTCTAAATATGTGCATCTAATGCATAGGTATGGATATACATAGAATAACAAACTTCAGTGTAATAAGACATAGAACTTTTCCTTTTCATTCCAGTTACCTCTAGGTAAATTACGTATTCTGATAAGAGTACTTGGCACCTGGCTAGACATCCAGGAGATTTAAATTCTTCTTTTGAAGATCAAAAAGACTTCAAAGGATACTTGATAGATGAAGTAAAACAGAAATCTTAAGAACATGCTTATATCAGGATAGACATGCCAGTAATATTTTTGGAACCAAAATACCAACATACTGACCTAATACTTAAGTCAGAAACTTTATACTTCATATCTCTAAAACTTGAAAAAAATACACTGTAAGTAGCAGTCCTGTGTCCTCAATTTATTCCATTCCCAATAAAACCCACCAATCCATTTATCAGTTTGCAATAATACAGCTTTACTGTATAACTAAAATAACCTCATACCAAATTCTAGAGAAAGGAAGTACTGAGTGTACAAAGAACGTTTCCTTTTCAACCTACGAAAGCAAACCTTAGTTTCAAGAGAAGTATTCAAACCAAAGAGAGCATCTTGCATGGATAAACCAAAAGAGAAGATACTACAAATTAAATTACATTATAAGAATAAAATGGAGGCCAGGCACAGTGGCACACGCCCGTAATCCCAGCACTCTGGGAGGCCGAGGCAGGCAGATCACCTGAGGTCGGGAGTTCAAGACCAGCCTGGCCAACATGGTGAAACCCCATCTCTACTAAAAATAAAAATTAGCCGGGCGTGGTGGTGGGTGCCTGTAATCCCAGGTACTTGGGAGGCTGAGGCAGAAGAGTCACTTGAACCTGGGAGGTGGAGGCTGCAGTGAGCTGAGATCTCACCAGTCCATTCCAGCTTGGGCAACAGAGCAAGACTCCATCTCAAAAAGAGAAAAATACTGAAAAAACAAGAAACAATAAAATGATTGGGCAAATTAGGGAAATTAGATTTAGATAGAAAAGGGATGTTATTGAGGTATTTGGTGGCAGTGATAATTTCTAGGGCTGTCTACCCTACAGAGACCATGATGCCGGGCATGGTAGCTCACAGCTGTAATCCCAGCACTTTGAAAGGCTGAGGTGGGCAGATCACTTGAGGTCAGGAGTTTGAGACCAGCCTGGCCAACATGGTGAAACCCCATCTCTACTAAAAATACAAAAACTTAGCGGAGTGTGGTGGCTCGTGCCTGTAATCCCAGCTACTCAGGAGGCTGAGGTAGAACTGCTTGAACCCAGGAGACAGAGGTTGCAGTGAACCAAGATGCCACTGCACTCCAGCCTGGGCAACAGACCGAGACTTTGCCTCAGGAAAAAAAAAAAAAAAAGGGACTATGCTTAGAAGAAATGATTCTCGAATGTATAGAAAGAGACTTAAATGAAGCTCTCAAACCATTCAGTTTTTCTGTCACAGCACTAATGTTGCCAATTTCTGTAAAACTTAAGAATAAATGAATTAGCCCTCTTTACCCATAACTTAAAAGGAAATGAACTTACATCTTTCAGCTGTATTTCCATTTCATGAATATTATTTATTGATGAGTTGAAGCAGTTTGGAGCCACAGTCTGTAAATAATCCAACATTAGTTAACATCAGACATTCCACAATAGAAGTTGCCTCATTACATTCACCATAATAATACAGTATAACTCACGGGGGCATCCCGAAATCCAGATCTAGGCTGGGCACGGTGGCTCACGCCTATAATCCCAGCACTCTGGGAGGTTAAGGAGGGTGGATCATTTGAGGTCAGGAGTTTGAGACCAGCCTGGCCAACATGGCGAAAACCCATCTCTACTAAAAATACAAAAAGAAAAATTAGCTGAGCCTGGTGGCCTGTGCCTATAATCCCAGCTACACGGGAGGCTGAGGCAGGAGAATCACTTGAACCCGGGAGGTGGAGGCTGCAGTGAGCCGAGATTGCGCCACTGCACTCCAGCCTGAGCAATAGAGTGAGACTCTGTCTCAAAAAAAGAAAACAAAAAATCCAGATCTAGTAGATGGTGGTAAACCATCAAGCCAGGTGAGAGTTACCAGAGATAACCATTGTGAAAATTAAGATCCCCTGAAGTTTCCCAAACAGACTGGAAATCCTGAGATTTTCTATCTAATCTGACTTCTGCAGTCCTCTAGACCCCAGGATTGCCAGAATAGCCCTCAGTGCATATGAATAGCCCAGTGATTTTTACCAAAAAGACAAACACAAAACAACTAGGCTATTTAAATGACACCTAGAAGACATTAAATTGTCAAACAAAAGGTAAAATTTTTTTTCTAGAATCATGTTTTGTATTAATAATAGTATTAATTAGGCCGGGTGCAGTGGCTCGCGCCTATAATCCCAACACTTTGGGAGGGCAAGGCGGGTAGGATCACAAGGTCAGGAGTTTGAGACCAGCCTGGCCAATATGGTGAAACCCCATCTTTACTAAAAATACAAAAATTAGCCAGGCATGGTAGCGCACCTGTAGTCCCAGCTAGTCGGGGGGCTGAGGCAGAACCCGGGAGGAGGAGGTTGCAGTGAGCCAAGATCAGGCTTATGCCTGTAATCCCAGCACTTTGGGAGGCCGAGGCAGGCAGATCACCTGAGGTCAGGAGTTCAAGACCAGCCTGGCTAACATGGTGAAACCCCATCTCTACTAATAATACAAAAATTACTCCAGCCTGGGCAACAGAGCAAGATTCTATCTAAAAAAAAAAAGTATTAATTATTAATTAGTATTAGTTCATATAGATTATATGGAACTCAAAAATTATTTCTCTCCTCTTCATTTTCTCAGAGAAATAAAAGAGAAGTGGGTGGCTAGGTAGCCAGGCTGGCCAACAAACATAGAAAAAGCTGTATTTCAGTCTTTTAATAGCTATAAGAGACTTGTGAATACTGGCAAAGAAGCTCAAAAAAATTATTTTTCTCCAAAGATGCTCTATTCATTCACTTTAATATGTAGCCCTTTCTCTCTCTCAATTCAGTCCTCGAGGTGGAAACTATGACAAAGATAGTTCTCTAAATCCCTTTCCTTTTACCCTGGGCACACTGTAGACTGATTCCAGCCTTCCCTGTGGTTAGTGGAGCCATGTTCCAGTGGAATGTGAGCAGAGGTGAGATATGTCAATACCAGGCCTGGCCCCAGACCCCTCCTAGGCAGTTCTCCACAAGCTCCATCTCACAGCTACATACAGAGGACTTGGTGGGGGACCCTACCCTAAAGGAAGGTGGAGCCACTAGAAGGAAGGAACCTGGAGTCAAATGACTCTGTGGAGCAAAGCTTCCTCTACTCCAATCTGGACTAGACCAGCATGAGAGAAAAATAAACATTTGTTGCATAAGACACTGACATTTGGAAGTTGTTATAGGAGTCAGACATACTAGTTAATAAAGAAATCAATACGAGTAGCCCACAAAATTATTATAAGAATACATTTTTAAAAATTATAATTTCAGGCCAGATACGGTGGCTTATGCCTGTAATCCCAGCACTTTGGGAGGCTGAGGCAGGCGGATCACCTGAGGTAAGGAGTTCAAGACCAGCCTGGCCAACATGTTGAAACCCCGTCTCTATTAATAATACAAAAATCAGCAGGGCGTCGTGGCAGGTGCCTGTAATCCCAAATACTTGGGAGGCTGAGGCAGGAGAATTACTTGAACCCAGGTGGAGGTTGCAGTGAGCTGAGATTGCGCCATTGCACTCCAGCCTGGGTGGCAAAATGAGACTCTGTCTCAAAAAATAAAAAATAAATAAAAATTTTAAAAATTATAATTTCTACCAAGTTTGTATTTCACATTCCAAAAGTGGAGAAACTAACTCTTGAACTTCAAAGAAAAATTTTAGTCAGCTACTTTGAATCTGACTGTAACGTTTTATGAGTTTCAGCTCTGTGGAAATTCTCTAGAAAAACTTCAACTTTTTGAACTCATCTGCAGAAACACTCAAACGCCCATCTATGAAAATACACATAAATGTATAGGTCTGATCACTATCTCCCCTAAATGGGAAATAAAGTACAGAGAAAGATCCTTAACAGCACTGAGATATATTTGAAAGCTACAGATTTTCTACTATAGATGATTTTTTTTTTTTTGAGACAGAGGCTCACTCTGTCACCCAGGCCGGAGTACAGTGGCGCAATCTTGGCTCACTGCAACCTCCACCTTTCGGGTTCAAGCGATTCTAGTGCCTCAGCCTCCCGAATAGCTGGGATTACAGATGCGTGCCGTCACACTCGGCTAATTTTTGTATTTTTAGTAGAGATGGGGTTTCACTGTGTTGGCCAGGCTGGTCTCAAACTCCTGACCCCAGGTGATCTGCCTGCCTTGGCCTCCCAAAGTGGTGGGATTATAGGCGTGAGCCACCATGCCCAGCCTATAGATGATATTAATGTTAGTATTATTCGAATCTCCAAATCTCCAAAAGAATCAAAGGTCTGATCAATAAGTAACCATTTACCGAACACCTACTATATACTAGGCACTATGCGAGGCAATTTACATACATATTTACATTTAATTCTCACTATTCCTATCCTGATTTTACTGATGTGGAAACTCAGGTTTAGCTTATATGTTTAAAAAAAAAAAAAAGAAACTAAGATTTAGAACAGGGGTCTGGAGAAGTCTAGTATTGTCTCTAAGGCTATAAAGGTTAACAAATTTGTTCAGAGTCACAGAGCTGGCAAGTACAAAACCAAGATCTGAACTCACATGTCTATTTCTGTATCCTTGTTCTTTCTATGACGCTAGTGCCTCTCAAACAAAACGGGGAGAAAATGCAAGTGCAGTTAGGAAAAGTATACTTGATATTATAATTGTATGTTTCAAATATGAAAAATAACCAAAAAAATGAAGCCTACTGTTTTCATGATACAAACTATAGAAATAAGAGCTCAAAAAAAATCTTGGTAATTGTAAATACACAGTAGATGCTGTCTTCTGAATATTCCTCCAGGCAAATCAATGGTACAAGGAGTGGAGGGTACCATATTAACTATTTTTGCTTATAGAGAAGGGACTGGGCTATTAAAAAAAGTGAAGTGACCTGATAGTATACTATACTAATCATTTGTCTCATCATTTGGGAAGCATGTCTTAACAAACTCATTCCTCCTAAGAATTACAAACTGTATCAGAAAGAAAAAAAAAATCTGGGTTTAAAGAAATGATTAGCACCTGTGATAAACGGAGTGTATTGGTTTTGCTTTCAAGTTCAGCAATTCGTGAGGTTGCAGCAGACAACTGTTGTTTCAATACGTCTTTCTCTTCAGATAAGGCTTTCAACACCTGCTCCCTCCTTTCTCCTTCTCTCGTTGTCTCTTCCAGCTGTTCAAGCAATGTGGTAGTACTATATCTGGCCTTCAGTTGGTCTCTCAGTCGCTGTATTTCTTTGTCCTTCTCTGTGAGTTGATAAGCATTCTTCTCCTTCTCAGCCTCAAGGACTCGAATTTTCTAGACATAAACTAAGAAG
The DNA here is from genome assembly GCF_000001405.40 of Homo sapiens. Taxonomy (NCBI): domain Eukaryota; kingdom Metazoa; phylum Chordata; class Mammalia; order Primates; family Hominidae; genus Homo; species Homo sapiens. Next base: position 93,503,093 of record NC_000010.11, on the reverse strand, counting down.
AATCTTAGAACAAAGCCAGGTCAAACATCTAGCTAAACAATATATACTTCAACAAGCATTTATGAAGCATTTATTATCAAGTCAGCATTACGCTAAATACCAAGGCCAAAAAAGATTAGGAAGCCAAAGTTTTATGTTCAGATAGCTCACAGAGAAGTAAGCCAATGTATTAATGCAACGTTGTAAGTGCTGTAGTTAAGACAGATTAAAAAATGAGCACAGACACAAAGAAAGGAGAAACCACCTCTATCAAGGGTGGTGAGAAAAAGCTAAAGAAGGGCTAGCTTTCCCATGAGTATTTGGTAATCATTCTTCCATAACACTGGATCTTGTAAAAACTAAGAGCTAAAAGTCGGTCACACAAGATATACATGCTCCTTAATGAATTTGAATCAGTGGAACTTAAAAGTTACAGAATATTTCAGCAGGAGAGGGATGCATTCATTAACCTGCTTACTTTCGATAAATGATTCAGTATTGAATCTAGAAGGTGATCTCTAAAGGAATGCTTAACATCTTCAAAGATTCACAAGATATACATAAGTAATGTTTTTTAAACTGCTGCTGGCATAAAGGAAAAAGTAAAATAAAAAGATAATAGAAATAATTATTAAAATTATAGGCTAACAGGATCAAAACAGCATGAAGTTAAAACTTGAATTTAGGAAGAAAAAAGCAGCAGTTGTTCAAATATAAAATGGGGAAAATTTAAGTTTAGGGGCATGGTTATTCATTTGAAAATAATGAGGAGATTATAGTTGGCCACAAGCTTAACTCAAATCAGTAGTATGAGACAGATAACAGAGCCATACAATTTTAGGCTTTAATGGAGTACAGTATCCAGCTAAGTAGATGTAACACTACTATTTCAATCTGTGTTTTCCAGAACATATTTAGGATACTGTGTTCAATTCTAAGTGCATAATTCAGGAGGGATATGAATAAACTAAAAACTATTCAAGATGATAAGAAGCCAGAAAAGCTGAAGAATATGAGCTTGGTCTGCAGAAAAGTTAAGAGGAAGCAAAATTTCCTTACATATCTAATAAATTGTCAGTTTGCATAGGAAAAATAAGACTTGTTCTGTGTAACTTTAATAGGCACAATTAGAACAAATGGGTAGAAGTTATAGGAAGTTTAATTGATTATAAAGGAACAAAATATCCAGTGCTTCTCAAAAAGTGGAATGAAATGGAAAGCTATCTCTCAGGGAAGCAATAAGATTCCTTTACCAGATTGCAAAATAACCTTCATATCTGTGGACTGGTGATGACTGTTCTCTAAGTGCTTGAAAAAGCATTTACCTCAATGTATGTTGTTACAAAAAATAAATCAGTTTCATTATGTGCCTGTTTAGAGAATTTAAATAAATCAAATGGTATACTGTTTAACCATTTATTTTATTTTATTTATTTATTTTTTTTTTGAGACAGAAGTCTTGCTCTGTCACCCAGGCTGGAGTGCAGTGGTGCGATCTTGGCTCACTGCAACCTGTCTCCTGGGTTCATGCGATTCTCCTGCCTCAGCTTCCCGAGTAGTTGGGATTACAGGTGCACACCAACACATCCGGCTAATTTTTGTTTCGCCATATTGGCCAGGCTGGTCTTGAACTCCTGACCTCAGGTGATCCACCTGTCTCAGCCTCCCAAAGTGCTGGGATTATAGGCATGAGCCACCGTGCCCGGCCTTAACCATTTATTTTCTAAATACAAACAATAAAAGCACTTTTGCAAAATAATTAAATCCAAATTTGTGATTATATTTATGATTACATTTTTAAGTCCCTCTAGTTCTAATAAGTTCCTAACTTCCTTACTGTCTATGCCATAACAAATTATAAATTAGGGAATCCGAAATATAGTTGAACAGAGTGTAAATGCCAACATGTCTAATAATTTTTCCTTCAAAAGCCTGAAAACCAGAATTACTTGGATAGCAGCCAATATGCATGATAAAATATGTTTTAAATAAGGAAATCTGAACACTATTTAATACTCTGAAATGGACAGATCTGATTTTTTACATTTAGTAAATTAACAGGAAAACCAGATTATATAACTATTGGGTAAATATTTTCTCCTCTCCCACAGTAAAAAAGAGATATAAGCCCAGCACAGTATCCTTAAAGTACATCAACGAGTAATTTAGTACTCCAAAAAAGCATGGAATGGCCAGGCATAGCGGTTCACACCTGGAATTCCAGCACTTTGGGAGGCCCAGGCAGGAGGATTGCCTGAGGCCCAGAGTTTGAGGCTGCAGTGAGTTATGATCAAGCCACTGTACTCCAGCCTGGGCAACAGAGTTGAGACCCAGTCTCAAAAAAAAAAAAAAAGTATGGAAAATCGAATGCTTCTAAGTTATGCTATCAATTTAAAAATAGCGAAAATAGTTAGCCAGAATGTTTCACAATCTTAAATACAGCATAACAAAAGTTATCAAGAATATTCATGTAGTTAAGCTAAATTACCAAGAAGCTATAGGAAGAATGATGAATTAGGTTATTACTTTGTTTTAAATAACTGAGAAACAGAGCATACTAAAGGTGAAACAGACCATGTTAAAGGTGCAAAACTATTAATCGCAATGTCTTTATTTCCAGAACAAACTTAGTACCTGGTAACCTCAAAACACATACTCAATTACATTTAAAAGGTGAGAAGTTAGTAATGACTAAAGTACATCTAAGACTTGGCAAAGTCAAAGTAGGAATTTAAGATTCTAAACCCAATGTCAGCTTTCCAAAACTAATCAACTGGACAAGACAGGGAACACGGCAAGAGTAAGAAGGTAGCATCAGGAAATCTTCATGCATCGCTTTCTTGGAGAGCTTACAATTTAAAGGATCAGAAGACCATTTACCTCCAAAAGTCTGTGTCTCTCTTTATCAGTCAGCTTTCCTTTCCCACTTGTGATTTCATCCACTGATGTCTTTAAGTGTGCAATTTCTCCCTTTAATTTTTCTAATGTAGTTTCGGATTTGGAGTTACTAGGCTTCGATCCCCACTTACTTTTAATTAAATCTTTGGTACTTCTGGAAGACATCTCTGAAATGGTCTGTAAAAATAAAAATCAACTGTATAATTCTGAGTTTAAAAATTTAAATCTCAAGTTTGAAACAGGTCTAATAACCTATCTGCTCTAAATAGAAATGATATATCCAAACCAGCAGGGTATGGAGAAAGATGGATGGAGGCTTCTGGGGTATTGTAACTTTTTTTTTTAATCTCAGTGGTAGATAAATGGGAGTATTCACCTTCTAAAATATGTCAACTTGGGCTGGGTACGGTGGCTCACGCCTGTAGCCCCAGCACTTTGGGAGGTCAAGATGGGTGGATCATGAGGTCAGGAGTTCGAGACCAGTCTGGCCAACATGGTGAAACTCCATCTCTACTAAAACTACAAAACTTAGCCAGGCGTGGTGGCAGGTGCCTGTAATCCCAGATGCTGGGGAGGCTGAGGCAGGAGAATCGCTTGAGCCCGGGAGGTGGAGGTTGCTGTGAGCCAAGATCGCACCAATGTACTCCAGCCTGGGTGACACAGCAAGACTCCGTCTCAAAAAAAAAAAAAAAAAAAAAGTCAACTTGTACATTTATGTTTTGTGTAGTGTTCTATATGTGTAATTATATGTGTAATTCTTTTGTGGAAAAGTTTGGTTTAAAAAACAATGAAGGGGTCTCCAACCATTAAATAAAGCCTGAAAGAAGTAGGTCACAATCAAGGACATATCTTGGCCCAAAATAAAAAGCTGTTGGTAAATAATGTAATTCTGAGTATATAGGCACGAAATGTCATTACTTAACATAGGTCCTCTGTTTTAGAAGGTAGCCTAGTTCAGATCCATCTTAATAATCATTTGAGAGAGCACAGTGGGAAAAAGTGAAGAGAACCTAAAATAAGACATTTACTGGAAAAGAGGTATAACATTCAGGGGAGTCAGGCATGAAAGGAATTAAGAATAAGGGGCCAAATTAAGTAAGGAGAAACTCAGTATCTGCTAACAGTACTGGATGACAGTTTAGAAACAAGTATATAATATAAACTTTAGCAGGCAAAAATCTAGTGAAGCATACGATGCATATAAATAGTATATAAAAGTAACTCTAATTAAGGAGGTTAAAAAACATTTTTCTACTTCATGTATCCCAAGATAAAATAATGGCAGTGTGATTAAAGGATATAAAGGAGTATGAGCCCATTAGTGCATTCAAAAATTACTATAAAGCCTACTATTTACCAGGTATCCTAATACATGCTGGGTGTAAACTGGTTTAAAAAAAAAAAAAAGACATGTTCCCTAATGTTATGGGGCTTTCAGTGTAGTAAAGGCAGGCAATAACAAGGAAACAAACAAGGGTTCATGAATCCTCAAACTGTAATAAATATTACACAAGAGAAGTACAGGGATAAATGATATCAGTAAAAACAGGAGAGACCTCCTTAGAATGGTAGTGAAGTGACTTTTAAGATTGTCCTGTGTGAAATCAGAACGTCTAAACATATTAGAACTGTGGAGATTGAGTAGAAGAAATCATCTATCAAAAGGTTAGTCCTGGATTTTTGCCATTATAAGGTGAAAGATTGCAGTAGCTCATCCATCAGTTAAAGAAATGCAAGGTTATGGCGTCTCTCAGTCACCTGCTGCCACAGGAAGTTCTTTCCTATGTGTTTCTGTTGATAACACACTGTTGACTTGATATCGTGGGTCGTAGGACAGAAAACTACTACCAAGTCATTGAGACACAAAATGATGGAAATATAGATCTGCAGAACGTGAAAGAACCCCCAAACATCTGCTTCCTAACCTTTGCACAGAAACTCTGGCAGTGAATGAATGACTACTAGTTTCTAGCCTCTGGCCCAGACGGTTTGGATCTCCCCCACCACCTAGTCCCACCAACCTCCTTTCCCTGTATTTTCTTTTTTCTGTTTCTGTTTCTTTCTTTTTTTTTTTGGCGGGGGCGGGGCGTTAGGGGCGGCAGAGTCTCGCTCTGTCGCCCAGGCTGGAGTGCAGTGGCACTATCTCAGATCACTGCAACCTCCGCCTCCCGGGTTCAAGGGATTCTCCTGCCTCAGCCTCCTGAGTAGCTGGGACTACAGGTGCGCGTCACCACGCCTGGCTAATTTTTTTTTATCTATTAGTAGAGATGAGGTTTCACCATATTGGTCAGGCTAGTCTCGAACTCCTGACCTCAAGTGATCTGCCCGCCTCGGCCTCCCAAAGTGCTGGGATTACAGGCGTGAACCACCGCGCCCGGCCACCTTTCCCTGTATTTCCTATTCCAGTCATCCACAGGGTTCCCCCAGTTCAAACCTTCCTCAGCATGCCTTCCCTCTGTGAACTCTTAACAAACGATATAGCTGCCCCACCCCCACCCCTACACAATCTAGTACCCAATTACACTTCCTGCTAACCTTTTATTTTTTCAATTGTTCAACTATTTTTTCAAGGACTGCACTTTGATTTTTGTTGTTGTTGTTGTTACCCACAGAGCCTAACAGCAAGCCCTCAGATATGATTGGTTGATTGGGGCCGGGCGCGGTGGCTCACGCCTGTAATCCCAGCACTCTGGAAGGCCGAGGCAGGTGGATCATCTGAGGTCAGGAGTTCGAGACCAGCCTGCCCAACATGGCGAAACCCTGTCTCTACTAAAAATACAAAAATTAACCGGGCGTGGTGGCGCACGCCTGTAGTCCCAGCTATTCAGGAGGCTGAGGAAGGAGAATCGCTTGAACCCAGGAGGCAGAGGTTGCAGTGAGCCAAGATCGTGCCATTGCACTCCAGCCTTGGTGACAGAGCGAGACTCCATCTCAAAAAAAAAGAAAAAAGAAAAGAAATGATTGGTTGATTAGCTGAAGTGACCTAAGTCATGCTGGACAGGTGACCAAACAAGCGCTTCCATCCAGTAAATGGTACAAGGCCTCAATTACAAGCCGCATCTTCTACAAGGCGACGCCAATCTTTAAAAATTCCCACATAAAATCTCACTTGAGGAGACAGACAGGAAAAGAGAAACTGCAAAAAAAGGCACAAGTTTTCTCACTTCTAAAATAAAGATGTTTGAGGAACACACAACGAAAGTGCCTGCCAATCGGAAAAAGCCGTCCTAACAAAAGACCTTGGGCAAGTCACTTGGCCTCTCTGCGCCTATCTGTAAGGAGATGATACCCACCGCCAAGTCCAAAGAAGCGATCGAAGAGACAACGGTCTTGAGGCGCCCAGCCGGGTGCCAGGCACGAAGTGAGCGCCAGGGAAAAGGACTGTTATCAGAGCGGGCAGAGATTGAATCCCGCGGACGCGATCTGCCCACTGACCTGCCCTCCCTGGCGGTCCGGACCGGCCCGGCCCCGGGGCTGCGGGTCCTGGCCGCCCCTCGCCACCCTCCGCGGTCGCCTCCCTTGGGCCAGCTAGCAGCTGAAGCGAAGCGCGGCGCTCGCGTCGGCCGAGTCACACCATCAGGTGTGGATGCCGCTTCCGGGAGTTTGAATCCCGCGGCTGCAGGGCGGGGCACGTCACTGCCGGCAGGGCGCGGCCCGCAAGAAGGAGGAGCAGCGCGCGCGCGGCGGGGACGCGGCTCCCCGATTGGCTGCCGCCTTTGAAGGGCGGAGAGTAAACCTGAGGGCGGGCCGAGAAGTGGCTGGGGCCGCGGGGCGGGACAGAGGGCGGGAACACTTCCTCCCGGGCCCGCCAGCTAATTCTGGGATCGGGGGTTCTCTGCGGGCTTAGACCTAAACAAGCTTGGTGTCTCGCAGTCAGGGGCTGGTTTTGTGTTTATACGCTTTTAGGAGAAAGCAAATTACTATTTTTAATGGGATAAAACCAGTGACGATGGACCGAGACGAACTAGTTCTGCGCTCTTGAGCATAGATTCTCCCTGTGTGAAGTGCGGCCCCTCCTGCCCTGGGACAACGGGATTTCACAAAGGAGCACAGCCCCCTTGTCATCCCCTCGGGTCTCACTCTGTCGCCCAGGCTGGAGTGGAGTGGTGCAATCATAGCTCACTGCAACCTCAGTCTCCCGGGTTCAAGCGATCGTCTTGCCTCAGCCTGCCGAGTAGCTGAGACTACAGGCGCACGCCACCACGCCCGGCTAATTTTTTATTAAAAAATTTTATACAGACAGCGGAGTGGGGGGGGGGGGGGGTGGTCTCACTTTGTTTCCCACTCTGATCACGAACTCCTGCCTTCAAGTGATCCTTCCACCTCGGCCTCCTAAAGTGCTGGGATTACTGCCAAAAATCAGCAGCACAGCAGGGAGTGTTAACGGGAGAGATGAGAGGCACGCCCAGGTTGAACGCTGAGATTATGAATGCTAGCGGACCGGCTTTCAGACCAGACTGCTACCCTCCAGCCTGATATCTATCTATTGATCGATTCTAGCTCTTGATTAGCCGCTTTGAGAACGTTACTGCTGAGAGAAGAAGCACATGAAATGTTTAGCAGGGCCTCCCTTTCTCTCCTAGACCCAGCATAAACTCGCTGGAGATTTAAAACAGTAGATACACAGTAGCAAAACATCCTAGGTACACAATATTGTACAAAGGTTATAAACTCTAGATTAGGACTTTCTAGATTTAATTCCTTACTGCCCTGACTAGATGTGTCTCCTTGGATAAATTTATTTAACCTATTTGAGCCTCGGTTTCCCGATGTGTAAAATGATGCAAATAATAATATTTACTTCACAGCTCGGTTATAAGGATTAAATGAGGAAATCCGGCCAGGTGGAATGGCTAATTCCTGTAATCCCACCACTACGTGAGGACGGGGAGCGAGGATTGCTTGAGGTCAGGAGTTGGAGACCAGCCTGGGCAACACAGAGAGATCCACTCTCACCCCACCCAATCCCTGTCTCTAATTTTAAAACTTTAAAATTTTTTTACATGAAAGAAATTCATGTAAAGTGCTTAACATTTAGTAAATGTTCAATTGATGTTAGCCATTGTTAAACAAAAGGCAACACTCAAATGTTACTGAATAGAATGGATGAGAAAACCATGTGGGGAATTTTAAAGAATCAGAGAAACAAAACCAAAACAGAATGCAAGATAACGTTTGGTACCTGCTTCCAAGGAGCTCCCATTTCTGAAGGGAAGGTAAACTAAAGTATCAAGTGGGATTAGGGTGGGAAAAATCAGGGCAAAAGATAAATCATCGTGTGAACATTATTCATTGCCCAGAGTTGAGGGGCAAAATTAATTTCCACAGAGATTTACAAAGATTCTTAAAGAGATATAGAGAAAAACATTTCCCTGTTCACCTTCAAGCCAAATGGGGAGCAAAAAATGGGGGAGAGGGAGGAGGGACCCTGGAGAGAGGTGGCACCTGGCGGACTGGCACCTGGGTAGCCAGCACCCAGGCCTGCTGTGCCAGACACTCCAATTCCACACCTGCCCTCCAGGACCTTCTTTTCTGGCTAAAGGTCGCCCTGTGAGTGGGGACCTTGAGGAAGAGGAGCAAACAAGAGGCTCATTGGCCTGGGGGGCTTGTTAAATTCCCTAATTGCCATTGCTAGCCCTGAAAATTAATGTTTGCTCTTTACAGATAGGAGCTGCCAGTCATGAGGTTGTGAAGAGCTGGTAGTTTCCACAAGATCTCACAAGTACTTTGATGTTGATAGTTCACTCAGGGATAGTCTAGGATGAAGATTGGGAAACTCATCTTTATTCATGTAAAGAGAAATGTAACAGCCAAGCAGACTAGATATTTATCTAAGCAGGTGAGCTCATTTTCTTCCCAGTAGGAACCTGTTCTTGGGAAACCAAAACAGGATCAAAAGGCTGCTGAATGGGTTTAAAGATATTAAATGGAAATAGGGAGGCTGTTGTAGGTTAGAGCACCTATCACCTTTGAAGGTTACATCTTCCAAGGCAATGCTAATGAACACACAGGGCCTCACCAGCGTGTAGATCTGCACTGTCCAATACAACTTTCTGCAGTGATGGAAAGGTCCCTCCTGATCTATCCAATATGGTAGCACTAGCCATAGATGGCTACTGAGTGCTTGAAATGTGGCCACCGTTATTGAGAAACTGAATTTTTAACTTTATTTAATCTTAATTTAAAAACTAAAAGTTTATTTATTGAAAAACTTTTGATTTTCTTATTTTTTTCTTTTTTTTATTATTATTATTTTATTGGAAAACTTTTAAGTATGTTTGGAACAACCTGGGTACAAAAACCTGTTTTTTCAATTGTAAATTTTATGAAATCTACATATAGATCAAGTATTTCTGAGGAAGATTTTATGTCCAAATTGAGGTGTGTGAATATACACAGCAGATTTCAAAAACTTAGTATGAAAAAAGAATGTAAAATATTGCACTAATACTTGTTTATATTATTACATGTTAAAATGATAGTATTTTTGATATATTGGGTAAAATGAAACATATTAAAACGGATCTCACCTAATGTGTTTTACTTTTTTTGATGTGACTAGAAAATTCAAAATGATAAATGTGGCTCATACTATATTTCTATTGCACAGCACTGGAATGCACACAATAAATGTTCTCTAAATTCAGAACAAGAAGAAATGAATGAACTCTTGTCTCCTTTCAATCTGATTTCTCCTTAGCAGGGATTTTTTCTTTTAAATAATGCAAATGCAATCTTGTCACCTATTTCCCAATGCAAACACAAAGCATTTGATTGATTTACCATTGTTCTTAAAATAAGGAAAAAAAATTCTCCATCTGTCCTCTGGGGCCTAGTGGAGACCAAAGTCCCAAACCAGCCATGCTTGACACCTTTCATTCCTTGACCAGGCAGACTCCTTCCTGCCTTCGGGGCTTTTCCACAGGCCCTGTCTGGAATTCTCCACTGTTATCTCCTTTCCTACTTCCCCGGAAAATCTTAGTTCTCACTGCTGCAGGGATGTCCTCGCTTTAGCTTGTACTTCTCCAACCACTCACCACACTTATAATTGCACATTTATTTGAGAGTGATTCTTTGGTTGGTATCTTTTCCCCTCACTAGGCTGCAAAATCCTTGAAGGTAGGGGCCACATCTGATTTTGCCAGCCACCATATCCTGAGCACCTAGAAGAACCACAGTGATTGAGCGAATTAGATCAAGGATGAATTGATCAGAGTCTCGTCTGATCTAAACTATTACGGAGAAACAGACAAATGCTTTACTCTCTTTCCTTTCTGTTATCGATATTCCTTAATTACCTAAAAGGATGCACCTTACTTAAAATAATGCACCAGAAGCATGCTTTTAGAGCTCAGCACCTTTTCAGGGTAGACCCCCTGCTCTTTCCTAAAGTTTATCTTCAGCCAGGAAGGGCTGCATTTTAAATCGGCAAATAGGGAGATCCCCTCAGCACTTAGCTGTGATCACTGCAGCTCTATCAGCAAGCAACATATCTGAAAATCATTTCAGGGGCAGGCGGCTAATCTCATATGAGAGAATTCTTCTTAGGCAGTCAGTGATACTTCCTGACTTGGTTCTTGATTTGGGGTGCATCCTATTTTGAGAGGGCAGGCCCTGACTGCTCTGCCCGCTTTAGGTCCTTTTTTTTTTTTTTTTTTTTTTTAAGAGATGAGGTCTCACTATATTGCCCAGGCTGGTCTCAAACTTCTTCAAGCAATCCTCCTGGCCTGGCCTCAAGCAATCTTTCCACCTTGGCCTCCCAAAGTGCTGGGATTATAGGCATGATCCACTGAGCCTGGCCTATTTTAGCTCCTATTAAAATTTAAGTCTGCATGGTAACTAAAACATTTCATTTGTAACCAGGGTATTAATAGGCAATCCAATCGCTCCACTTCCCTGCTGAAAAATACATCTCCAATAGGTCCCTGTCACCATGAGGTATGTGTAAGAATGAAGAGCACGGACTCTGGAAAAAGACTGCCTGCATTCAGATCCTGGCTTTACTTACCGTGAGAACCTAGGCAAGGTGCTTAGCCAAACCAGGCCTCAGCTTTTTCGTCTGTAGAATGGGGATCCTACCATAGCAGGGACTTCACAGGGTAGGGTGGTGGAAGGTTTCAATGAGAAAAAATGCTTAGGATAGTGTTTGGCACGTAGTGAGTACTCAGTAGATGTTACTGAGCAAATAAGGCTCTCTGAGCTGGTAACTGCCTGCCTGCCTAGGCTCAGTGCTTGACTGTTTTATGTCATACATGATGTTCCACCAGTGTGGAATGTCTTGGGGTTCCAAATGTTCACCATATGTATTTAACTCTATTTCAGATCATACAGTCAGGCACACACACATACACACATATCAATCCAACCATTAAGATTCAGTCCAGTTTTCAGCTGTCACCTCCTCCAGGGAGCCTACCATGCTTGCCCTCCCCTGCCCTACAGATACCTATCTCTTCAGTTTATCTCTTTCTATCATTGCCCTCACCACATGATGCTACAATTATCTGTGAGCTTCTTGCAGAGCAGAAATGTGTCCTATTCATTTTTGTAGTTAGCATTGTGCCTGGCACCAAGTAGCGTTTAATAAGTATTAGCTGAATAAGGTGCATATGTGCGTGAATGAATGAGGGCTCTTCCAGAAGAACAGCTGGGAGCCATTTGTCTATCAGACATTTTGATGAAGAATTATTGTTTCTGTAAAGGTGAGCACAAGGCTTAAAATTATTCCACTTTTGCCTGTTCTATTTTTTCTAGGTTGATTTTAGAAAATATATTAATATCTTCTTAGAGAAGTCAGATTAATTCCTATCTTATATTTAGCTCCCCCAGTTGCCTTGAATGATGACAATATGATGGTGCCAAATGTTATAAAATAATTTATCTCCTCCTGCCCTCTACGTGGACTCAGTTGCTGCCAAGCACTTTCTTAAAGGAATGAAATTCAAATATACTATATATTAAGTTATTTAAAGATAGTGTCTTCCACTGTGAGAAGCCCTGTAATTAAGCCACCAAAAATAGTATTTTAGCTCTAAAAAGCACTTTGGTTATCAACTGAAACAATGGACCCTTCTGTGCATGCCAATTTGAAAAATGCTGTTAGGTAATACCTAAGATTCTGTAAAACTGGAATTGGAATAAGATGTTACGAATCTATCTTCATTTCTCTTCCACTAAATCCTCTTTGCTACCCCAGCACTTTGCTCTTCACATCTAGATTTTTTGCTGAGTCTCCCTTCTCTTCCTCTCACATTCCTCTTTCTCCATCTCTTTTGTCTCACTGTTCCAGGGCAAGTGTAAGGCCACTCACCTAGATTAATGCTTGAGTTTACTTGAGACAGGTAAGAAACAATGAAACAGAAATATGAGATCTCAGCTGAGGTGAAGCTGGGAAGGGAGTTTGACTCGGAAGACACTAGGTTTGAATCCTGGCTCAAGTTTTTTGTCACTTCTGTGCCTCCATTTTGTTAGGGCAGTACAGGTATTTCTTCTTAACTTAAGATGGGCCATTGCTTTTCTCATGTTCCTAGGAGCCACCTTAGTAGTGCGTTTGCACCATCTCTGGGGGCCTTGCGGCATATGAAATCAGCATCTTGGGGGAGCGCACCCATACTGGTCAACTCTCTTTTATCCAAATTTGTGTTCTGCACTGCCCTTCGACACAGCACACTTAGAATCCAGCCCCATGTGAACTCTTCCAGCTTCTGCCAGTCCAATTGGTTGTGTCCTGCAGTTTGTTCAAGGGGTGTCCCCTTTCTGTCTTCAGCAGGCAGGCCTAGCACATCCCAGGCAGCAATATGTTGTTAGGACTTAACCGTAGATATTGGTAACGGCCGGGGTGGGAGGCCTTCGCAGATCCTGAGAAAAGAACAAGGTGTCTTGCAGGGGGGAGGCCTTCACATCATCTCCAAGCAAGGTGGAGTGGTGCTTGTCTTTAATCTGAGCTCCCCCAGGCTCAGAGGGCTCAGAGAAATTTGGGGATTTAAGATTCTCAAGGACATCAACCAGATATCCCCATCCTATGTATCAGGGTCCCAGTCCTTCCCCAAGCAGAGCCTTGATCTTATCAGAGTCAACTTGTCTCGGTTGGGGGTTCAATCTTCCTTGGAGCTTGTCGTCTTTTGTGACTAAGTTCTGGTGCTGGGCCTGAGCTTTCCCAGTTCTCCTGCTGCAGGAGAGGCCACCTGGCTTTCATTCATAGCTATTTATTGCTGATTAATCACTCTCAACCTTTTGTTACTTTTCCAGAGTGTCAACTGAGTTTGGCAATGGCTCCCTAAATCCAAATCCTTAGTTACTGTTTTCCCTGCATATTTCAACTGCTTGACATTTCACGCAGCTAATGCGTTCCCTTCCATTGGTGACACATTTTACTATTGTACTGTGCCAGGGATAATCATTGATGAGATTATCAGGGGTCTTCATTCCCATCTGGGTGGTGGAAGATCAAGCTCAAAATCCCATCTTAGGATCTGCTTTCTTGAACCACTCCTGGCACCCAACTCTGACAGGTTGCATTCCCCAGGGAAAATTTCTGAAATGATATCAGTATACAGGTATTTCTTAAGAAGTATTCATGAGATCAACACCACAGATGCAGGGAGAAGGAAGCTGGGTCCATCACTGGATCCTGCTGACTCCATGGGGAACCCAGACGCTGGAATGGCCCTGTAGATTGTCACCACTTGGGGCAAGGGGACCAGGCCTTCATATCCCTGCGCTGATCAGTCATTGGGAGGTAGGCTGCTTCTGGAAGGAAACATGATCTTGGGTAGGGCAATTTTCTTCAGCGCAGGCAATCCCTGAAGAGGGCTAACAGCTGAGGGAGGTTTTCTGGCAGCTCTCCCAGCAGCTGGGGGTATTTTATCCTTCATTCCTGGAGGGAAATCTGGGTGGTGTATTGTAGCAACAGCCACATTCCCACATTCCATTAAAGCCAGTCCCATGGCCATGTCTGCCACAAATGGGGTAGAGGACAACATGCTTTGCATAGAAAAGCACTGCAAGTCACACAGCACAGGTGCAGGTATGTGATACTCTCCTAGAGATGGCGGGAGCAAGCTATGTGGGAAACCAGAAGACAATGGAACAATGCTTTCAAATATTGGGAGGAAATGCTTTTGAACTTGGAATCCTGTGCCAGCCATACTGCCAATGAAATAGGAGAGTAGAATAAAGCTGTTCAAACAGGGAAGGTCTATGCTTCAGCAATACAAGAAAGTAAACCAAGAAAGAGGAAGACACGGAATCCAAAATAAGAGAGATGCAAAGAGAGGTGGAGAAAGGCAGCTCAGGGATAGCAGCTATGCTTAGCTCCCGAGCAAAACCCTCCAGATCAGAGCCATTTGGAAGACCCCAAGCGAGGGTTCAAGATGAAATTGATACAATTCCAATATGTTTGAACATGTTGGAAATTTACACAATTTGGGAAGAGTTTAAAGTACAAAAAAACAACAAGGGGCTAGGGGCAGTGGTATACGCCTGTAATCCCAGAACTTTGGGAGGCTGAGGTGTGCAGATTGCTTGAGCCCAGGAGTTTGAGACCAGCCTGGGCAACATGGCAAAACCCCAACTCTACAAAAAATACAAAATGTAGACAGGTGTGGTGGTGTGTGCCTGTAGTCCCAGCTATTTGGGAGGCTGAAATGGGAAGATCACCTGAGCCAGGGGAGGTTGAGGCTGCAGTGAGCTGAGATCGCACCACTACACACCAGCCTGGGTGACAGAGACCCTGTCTCAGAAAACAAACAAACAAACAAACAAACAAACAAACAAACACTAAAAACCACCACCAACAAGGTATTAACTCCAAAAGAAAGAAAAGAACAAGTTGAAACAAGATCAAAATGTATGAAGCACATTGCAGTATACTTCATGGCTTGTGAACAGTGTTTATACAATCACAATAATGTATCTATGCAAATTTATGGTACAGCTATCCTGGGGGTGATGGGATACAGAAAGTGTACACATATGTGTTTGGATTTGAGGAGGGGCAAAAGACAGCTAAGTCCTCATTTTCCTTGTTAGGAAACAGATGATGCCTGATGCTGGAAAGTGAAAAATAGAAGAAAGCATGTTACTTGGAGATATGGATATAAACACCAAAATAATCAGATGAAAGAGCTGAAAGTTAGGGCCTCTGGAAATGGAAATGCTGTCAGGAAATGCTAGAGGTAAGGAGAGGTGAACTTCTAATTTTATAATAAGCCTGGTAGAGTTTACTTATTTATTTTGAGACAGGGTCCCACTGTCTCCCAGACTGGAGTGCAGTGGCAAAATTATAGCTCACTGCTCCCAGGCCTAGGTGATCCTCCCACTGCAGCCTCCCAAGTAGCTGGGACTACAGGCACACGCCACCACGCCCAGCTAATTTTTGATTTTTAGTAGAGATGGGGTCTTGCCATGTTGCCCAGGCTGGTTTCAAACTCCTGGGCTCAAGCAACCCTCCCACCCCAGCCTCCCAAAATTCTGGGATTACAGTCGCGAGCCACTGCACCAGCCTCTGATAGGATTTCTTGAATCTTTAAAATAAATACAGGTATGAATTTTGTGAAAGAACAACAAACATATCAGAAGAAATAATTCCAAGTTCACAAGCTTTTCCAAAGAATTAAAAAAGAGGCAACAGCACACCCCACCCCATTTTATGATGCTAGCATGACCTCCACACCAAAGCTGACCAGGACAAAATGAGGACGGGCAATTGCAAGTCAGTCTTATTCATAAATATACATGCAAAAGTCATAAATAGTATATAAACATATTTGCAATCTAAATTTAGCAATAGGAAAGTATAAGATATGACAACCAAGTTGAGTTTATCTCAGGAATGCAAAGTTAGTTTAATATTAGAAAATAAATGTAATTGGCAGGGCGTGGTGGTTCACACCTGTAATCCCAGCACTTTGGGAGGCCGAGATGGGTGGATCACTTGAGGTCAGGAGTTTGAGACCAGCCTGGCCAACATAGTGAAACCCTGTCTCTACTAAAAATACAAAATTAACTGGGTGTTGGTGTGCACCTGTAATCCCAGGTACTTGGGAGGCTGAGGCAGGATAATTGCTTGAACCCAGGAAGGGGAGGTTGCAGTGAGCTGAGATCATGCCACTGCACTCCAACCTGGGCAATAGAGCGAGATTCTGTCTCAAAATAAAATAAAATAAATGTAATTCACCACATTAAACATAAAATTCATATGATCATTTCAATAAAGTGAAACCATCTGATAAAATCCGACTTTATGTCTTATAAAAAGCCTTAAAACTGGGCATTTAAAAGTAGCTAAGCACTTGCCTGTAGTCTCAGCTACTTAGGAGGTGGAGGCGAGAGGATTGCTTGAGGCCAGGGGTTCAAGGCTGTAGTGCACTATGATTGTGCCTGTGAATAATCACTGCATTCCAGCCAGAAGGACATAACAAGACTCCATCTCAAAAAAAAAAAAAAAAAAACCAAAAAAAAAAACCTCAAAGTTTTAGCAACCTAGGAATAAAGAGAACTCCTTTAATCTTAAAAGGGCTAATTATGAGAAACCTACAGCAAACATCATACTTTATGGTGAAGTATGGAAATCTTTCCCTTTGAAATACAGAAAAAGATAAGGATGTCTGTTATTACCACCCCTAGTCAATATTATAATGAAAGGTCTAATCAACATAGAAATAAATGGGAAAATAAAGTAAGCACAAAGATTGAAAAGGAAGAAACACCCCAGGCGTTATTTGCAGATTCTATAATTGTAATGGTAGAAAATCCATGAGAATTTACTGCTGATTACACTCTCACCAGCGGTGTATGAGACTTCCCGTTGTTCCACATTCTTGTCAAGCTTGGCAATGTTAGATTTTTACATATTTTCCCATCTGGTGAGTATATAATAATAACTCATTGGAGTTTTAATTTGCACTTTTCTAATTACCAATGAGGTTGAGTACCTTTTCATATTTACATTTCCTAATTTATGAAGTGCCTATTCAAATCTTTTACCTATTTTTCCATTGAGTTCTATGTGTTTGTCTTACTAATTTGCTGGAGCTGTTTATGTACTCTGAATACTAGTCCTTTGTAGGTTGTGATTTTAATATAATTGAATTTATCAATATTTCCTTTATGATTTGTACATTTTTTCATATTAAGAAATCCTTTCCTATCCTGGGGTCATATAGATATTCTTCTATGGCTTTTTTTGTTGTTTGATTTTTTTCTTTACTTATTTGTTTTAGAGAGGAGGTCTTGCCATGTTGTCTAGGCTGGATTTCTATTTCTGGCCTCAAGTGATCCTCTTGCCTCAGCTTCCCAAGTAGCTGGGACTACAGGTGTGAGCTGCTGCCACCACCTGGTTAGATTTTTTTTTTTTTTTTTTTAGAGACAGGGTCTCACTCTGTTACCCAGGTTGGAGTATAGTGGCACAATCATGGCTCACTGCCACCAGGACTTCCCAGGCTCAAGTGGTTGTCCCACCTCAGCCTTTCAAGTAGCTGGGACCACAGGTGCATGCCACCACACTCGATTAATTTAAAAAATTTTTTTTAGAGGCAGGGTCTCACTATGTTGCCCAGGCTGGTCTCAGACTCACCTCAGCCTCCCCAAAGTGTTGAGATTACAGGTATGAACCACTGTGTCTGGGCTGAAACATGTTTTATCTTGCTTATTTAGATTTATACTCCACCTGTAATTGATTATGTATTATGTAAGGTTGGAAGTCATTTGTCTTTTTCTCCCACATGAATAGGTAAAAGGCAAATTAAAACTCCAGTGAGATGCTATTATATGCTCACCAGAAGGGCAAATGTAAAAAATCTAACATTGGTTAAGTATGACAAAAATTTAGAACAACAGGAAGTCTCATACACTGCTGGCAAGAGTACCATTGTGGAATATAATTTGGAATTACCTTGTAAAGGTGAAGAAATGCATACATTCTCTGGCCCAGCAAGCAATTCCACCCATAGATTAGACTCTAAATAGACTCATGCACATTTGTGCCAGAACAGTCTTGGACTGTTCAGAACAGCACTGTTTGTAATAGCCCCATTCCCTGAACTGTCCAAATGTCTGGCAGTAGTAGAATGAATTAATCAAATCTGGAGGCCAGGCGCAGTGGCTCATGCCTGTAATCCCAGCACTTTGGGAGGCTGAGGCAGGCGGATCACGAGGTAAAGAGTTCGAGAACATCCTGGCCAACATGGTGACACCCCATCTCTACTAAAGATACAAAAATTAGCCGGGCGTGGTGGTGTGCACCTGTAATCCCAGCTACTCAGGAGGCTGAGGCAGGAGAATTGCTTGAACCCGGGAGGCAGAGGTTGCAGTGAAACGAGATCGCACCACTGCACTCCAGCCTGGGCTACAGAGCAAGACTCTGTCTCAAAATAAATAAATAAATAAAATGTCAGAAACTCATACAATGAAATGCCATATAGCAACAAGAGTGAAGGAAGTAGAGCTACATGAATGAATTTCACAATATAATACTGAGAAAAAAGAAGTCAAACACGAAAGAATCCATTCTGTATGAGTCCATTTCTATAAAGTCATAATACAGCAAAGAATTCACAAAGTATGAACACATGTATGTGTGTACCTATATATATGAATATATGTGTTGTATGTAAAGTTCATAACATACAAAAGAATTTATATCACCAAACAAAGGTCATGAGCAAGCAAACCTAAACTGTTTTGTTGTTGTTGTTTTCGGTAAAAACTACAAAGAAAAGCAAGGAAATCATTACCATAAAAATCAGGAGAGTGGGCCAGGCATGGTGGCTCATGCCTGTAATCCCAGCACTTTGGGAGGCCGAGGTGGATGGATCACCTGAGGTCAGGAGTTTGAGACCAGCCTGGCCAACACGGTGAAACCCTGTCTCTACTAAAAATACAAAATTAGCCGGGTGTGGTAGTGCACGCCTGTAATCCCAGCTACCTGGGAGGCTGAGGCAGGAGAATTGCTTGAACCCGGGAGGTGGAGGTGGCAGTGAGCCGATCACCCCACTTCAATCCAGCCTGGGCAACAAGAGTGAAACTCCATCTAAAAAAAGAAAAAAAAATCAGGAGAGTGGTTACCTCTGGGAGAAGGAGGTGGATATGATATATGGGGTATTCCAGGGGCTTCTGGAGGACTGGCAATGTTCTGTCTTGACCTGGATGCTTGTTAAACTGTCACGTTTATGTAGTATGCATTTTTCTGTAAATATATTTCACAGTAAAAATGGCAAATAGAAAGCAGCCAGATAAAATAAAAGTAATAATCTCTATATTCCACTAAAACTGCCAACATGTCCACTAAATACAATAATGAACACAGCACTGGGTAATTGGTTCTTTGCTTTAAGCCTTGGAGAAACTCGTGGAGACAGAAGAATTCTTGTAGGTTAAGTCATGCTTATTCAATGTACTTGAAATGTTTATTTACAGGTGGGTCTGCTTGATGTGTGTTCTAAAGCAAAAAGAAGCCCAATGTTTCTTCATCCCAAGTTTTAGCCTTTTCTTCTGAAATATAACGAGATCCTGATTTAAAGTCAGCCTGCACTAACAGAAACGCTGTGAGACCACAAATAAGCATGAACTTCTTACATGTGCAAATTACTGTGTGCTTTGTGCCAGCTCCTATGCTATGACCTTTATCTTATAACAGCCTTTATCCCCAGTTCATAGATGAGGAAACTGAGGAAGAGAGGGGTTAAGAAACTTGCTCGCCAGCACGGTGGCTCAAGCCAGTAAAGCTCAAGCCAGTAAAGCTCAAGCCACGGAGGCCGAGGCGGGCGGATCACAAGGTCAAGAGATCGAGACCATCCTTGCCAGCATGGTGAAACCCCGTCTCTACTAAAAATACAAAAAAAAAAAAAATTAGCTGCGTGTGGTGGCGCACGCCTGTAGTCCCAGCTACTCGGGAGACTGAGGCAGGAGAATCGCTTGAACCCGGGAGGCAGAGGTTGCAGTGAGCCAAGATCGCTACACTGCACTCCAGCCTGGTGACAGAGCGAGACTCCGTCAAAAAAAAAAAAGAAAAGAAAAGAAAAGAAAAGAAACTTGCTAAGATGACGTAGCTCAGGGTGGTGAGGCAGAGTCTCACACTCAGATCTGGCTGACTAACCCCAGGCCGCCTCTTGTGATCTCAGCCAAGCTGCACTGTCTTCATGCACCCTCTGGGACAGAAAGACACCATGGGCAGCTGTAGGTCCAGAAACAGTGGGGAGTCACTTCTCCATTTTCACTGAAGGCAATTGGCAGCATTTGAAGAGCCGGGAAAACTTAGGCGCCCAGCTCTCACCTCTGAAGGGGTTTTGAAGAAATTCTATGTTCAGTCCTTTATATATATATATATATATATATATATATATATATATATATATATATATATATATATATAATTATTTATACATATATGTAATTATTTATATATCCCATGCCTGGATCGCGTTTACTTGAAATAAACGCTGTCATTCGTTTGCCGTCCAGTAAGAGGCACCCTTTAGCTGCTTTAAAAAAGCTGAACATAGGGTTACTGAGTGGGTGTGTTCAATGGCGTGAGAAGTAACAGCGAAAAGTCAAAAGCAAATAATGACTAAAGTTTTAAAACTCCTTGAAACTCAGAAAAGAATGAAAGCAGTGACGGAAAAATCAATTAATTCAGTTTCACGAACCATTGCTAAAAGGCAGCAACATTTTAGTGGTTTCCTGACCTACCCGTATTTCTTAGCTCCAAATTCATGTTGGTTTCATTTGTCGCACGGAATTATTTTTAGTTTAGGGTTTGTCCTTTTCACTTCCACATTTCCCGAATTCATAAGTCTGTGCCTGCGGCACTGCGTAGACGCGGGGAGTTCGGTATCAGTTTACACGTTGCCTTCAGTAAAATCCGCCAGAGGTCCACCCATTTTGCCTTTTCCCCTTCCTTGCCCTGGGAGAAATCCTCCCTTCACTGGGAGAGAACTTCTCTCCCAGGGCGGTGCGACCCGGAGCTCCAGCGCCCTAGTCTCCACTTCGTTTGCTGAAACTTGCTTTCTACCAGCTAAGAACCATGCTGCGAGTGATTGTGGAATCTGCCAGCAATATCCCTAAAACGAAATTTGGCAAGCCGGATCCTATTGTTTCTGTCATTTTTAAGGGTAAGAAAAAGTTTTCTTCTTTTTCTGAAGTCCTGTTTTGGAATGTTAGTTTCTTGAGTCACCTTCTTGAAAAGTCTGCATTTAGACAGCTGATGAAGCCAAGTCTCTCCAGCAGCGTTTGTTACCTGCGCAGGACAGGGGAGAGGACCCGTTTCTGGGGAAGGCATTTAATTTTCTCCAGGGCTTGAGACTCATGGAATGACCTGATGTTTTAGCTCTAAGAGTGTGATTTCTGTAAGCTCTTGGCAGAAAACGTATTTGCGAATCACTAAATTTCAGGTATCAACAAACATCTGTATTGGTTCAAAGTAAGTTTCAGTAGTCTTAGATGCATTTTTTCTCTGCCTGTGAGAAATGGGTAAAGGAGGAAGAAGAGCAATTAAATTGTTGGAGACACCATTACTCCTTGAACCAGCCTGACGCTGCTTTGATTGTCACTGGGTTTCTGGGAGGTGGGATGGGTGAAGTTCATAGTTTTATTGAGTTTTCCTGCCCTTTTGTGCCTTTGTAATTGTTTTTATATCTAAACTGTTGGGGAGCTTTTTTTGTACATTCTGTAGCTTTTAAATTGCTCATTGAGGAAAGAACTCTGGACAGCTAGTTTGCAATTTGGGGATCTAGTTCTATCTTGCCTGCTGAATGACCTTGGGCAAGTTACTTCATTTCTCTGGGATCTCAATTTTCTTTTCTGCAAAACAGGCGAGAAGGGTTTAGACAAGATCATCTCTAAAAACCTCATGGTTGGCTGAGCACAGTGGCTCCTCAACCCTGAGCCAACTTTGGGAGGCCAAGGCAGGAGGATTGCTTGAGCCCAGGAGTTTGAGGCTACAGTGAGCCGTGATCACGCCACTGCACTCCAGCCTGGGTGTAAAAATAAATAAAAATAAAAGGCTCATGGTAATTTTAAAAGGCTATTTTTCTATGACACTTGATTGCCATTGCAGGGGAGGGGACAGGAATGCTTGGTGTCATGGTACAATTTGATGTAAGTGACTTAGTTTTGGCTAAAGTGGGGTTTCTAAATCTCAGTGTGGAGGCTTTATCTATTTTGTTTGTCATTGGTAAGACTGCCAACTCACTTCTTGGCAAGAGGGATGGGAAAGAGAGGGAAAGGCAGAGAGAGTGGGAGCATGGATAGACATGTGTTTCCTGACCATGCCTTGCTACATTTCTCGTTTCTTCCAGGAGCCTGACTGCTACTCCCTGTCAGTTCCTGAGGCATCTATACCTTTCGCCTTTCTGTTTCCCGTTTTTCCCCTTTATTTCTCTTCTTAAACCTCTCTCTCTGAGGATGAGCAAGAAAATGAAAGAAATGAAACTCAAAGCTGGCTGGCTGGGTGTGGTGACTTCTGCCTGTAATCCCAGAACTTTGGGAGGCTGAGGTGGGTGGATCACATGAGGGCAGGAGTTCGAGACCAGCCAGGCCAACATGGCAAAACCCCATCTCTACTAAAAATACAAAAATTAGCCGGGCATGGTGGCACATGCCTATAATCCCAGCTACTCGGGAGGCTGAGGCAGGAGGATTGCTTCAACCCAGGAGGAGGAGGTTGCAGTGAGCCGAGATCATGCTACTGCACTCCAACCTGGGCAACAGAGTGAGACTCCGTCTCAAAAAAAAAAAAAAAAAAAAAAAAAAGCTGGCAAATTGTTGGTTGGTTAAAAAAAAAATCTAAAGGGCAAAAATTGGATTTAAAAAAAATTTAAAAAAATTTTTTTGAATAAGACTGGGTCTTGCTATGTTGCCCAGGCTGGTTATAATTCCCTTGCTCAAACTTTCTTCCCATCTCAGCTTCCCAAAGTGTTGGGATTACAGGCGTAAACTACCACGCCCAGCTTAAAATTGGGCTCTTAAAGGACAATGAGGTTTGAAAATCTGGCTAGTGAATATCATGGACTCACGTTATGTCAGAGTTTATTTACATGTGTTAGGTTTTATTAATTTTTTGTTTTCTTGAAGCAGTTACATAATAGAGACATAATATGAAGATTTTACATCCTTCATCATTGACATATAAAGACATTAAAATATATTTGGATCAGTCCGATCATGTAATTATTTAAGTATTATAGATTATAGAGGAATTGGAGTTAATACTATATTGAAATCTGACTTGTTATTTGTCTGGAGTTTGTATGCATTGATGAAACATTTTAAATGATGAAAAATATATCTAAGTCAATGAATGCAAACAATCAATTGAAAGTGGAAAACTTCAGTTAAGTTGGCAAATATAGTCTATACAAACAATTACACATTTAACTTTAGTCTCTTTTCTGGCCTCCTTTTTTCATACAAATCGAGTGGTAAAGTCATTCATTCATTTAGCTAACAAGCAACCTGACAGAGGAAAGGGCACTCAACTCAGAGTAGGAACATCTGCATTCCAGCTGACATTAACTCAATATCTGATTTAACCACCTGGGTCTCCAATTTCTCAGCTGTGGCATGATGGGAACTGGTCTTTAGATGCCTTCCGTCTTTTAGATTCTAATTTTCTAGTTCCAGGTATTGAGTTAGCTGCTCTCAGCAAGATGTGAAATGCATTGCCTTAGGTGCTGGAGGGGATATAGCAACAAACACAGCACTCTTCTTGCTTTCAGTCTATGTCGGTGGTTTAAAATCCTGGTGATGGCAAACCCTTTACAGGTGTGTTCCCAATTTTGAGCACTGCGTAAAATTAAGTAACATTAAGTTCTGACTGAACTGAGGATACTTATAGCAAAATACTGTCCATCAGAGGGAACATGGAACAAAGGCAGACACACTTCATAGTGTGGAGTGGGGCAGGGTATGGTAAACTGGAAAAAGCCCTACCATGCCTGTAGTCCCAGCTACTCAGGAGGCTGAGGCAGGAGAATCACTTGAGCCTGGGAGGCGGAGGTTCCAGTGAGCAGAGATCGCACCACTGCACTCCAGCCTGGGAGATAGAACGAGACTCCATCTCAAAAAAAAAAAAAGGAAAAAGCCATACCAGAAGATCAAGGCGGCATCAAAGAAAGTCCCTGTGTTAACAGAAATATGTAAACATTTTGCCTCTTGGGTAAATAAACAAAGTCAGGGCAGTAAGCAGCTCTTCTCAAACTATAAGACGGTGAAGAATGGCCAGGGGAAGTGATTGTTAATGGTGAAGCTCGCATAGACACTGTGAGGCCCTATTAGGCTATAGCTACACTGTACTTGGGATTGTGCTGTACTGACAACCAACTGGTTTACAGTTGACCTCAGTTTTTCGTGTTCAAACCCTTTCTTTCTTTCTTTCTTTTTTTTTTTTTTTTTTGAGACTGTTTCACCCTGCCATCCAGGAGGGAAGAGTGCAGTCAGTGGTGTGATCATGGTCTCGAACTCCTGGGCTCAAGCGATCCTCCCACCTCAGCCTCCTGAGTAGCTGAACTATAGGCACACACCACCATGCCCAGCTAATTTTTAATTTTTTTTGTAGAGACAGGGCCTCACTCTGTTTCTCAAGCTGGCCTTGAACTCTTGGGCTCAAGCAATCCTCCTGGCTTGGCCTCCCAAAGTATTGGGATTACAGGTATGAGCGCCCAGTTGTGTTCAACCGTGAGTGACCCTTCTGAGGCTGTCAAATTACTCAGGGCCTGGTAGGAACTAGGAGGATCTGGGGGTTGCTGTAGTCCTGGTGCATGGTTGTTGGTGATGTTCAGCAGCGCAGGTGTAGATTATGAAAGCCACAACGCTTATGTAATTTTTCATATCCTTCGGGTACACCAGGTTCCATGAGCCAGATCCGAATTGAGGCTGGAGTGAGTGCCTGTGAGCCAGGGGTGGCCATTCTGCCCTAAGTTCCATGCGGACAGCCAGGCTGTGAAGCTGAATCTAGCTGAGATTAGACTACACAGACCTCTGAGACCAATTTCAACTCTGAGACTTGATGATTCTTCCAAACAGTCCTCCAAACAGAACAGGTTGTTAAAAAACTTTTTAATTTTAAATAATATAATATTTTTAATTTCTAAAATTAAAAATGCATGTAGACATAAGATAAACAACCCAGAAGGGATTATGCAACTAAAAAGTGAAAATTCTCCCCACACCTCTTCTATTCTTTCTCTCTCCCACTGTTAGTCCTTCAGGGTCACCACTCTGAACAATTTGATTTGAATCCTTCTTGATCTTTTGCTCTAGACATATAAGTTGTCCCAACTACTGCCTGTTAGCAACAGTACTGCAGTGGGTGTCCCTGTGGTGCGTGTCTTTGTGAATATGCATATTTCATTTTTATTTATTTATTTATTTTTTAGATGGAGTCTCGCTCTGTCACCCAGGCTGGAGTGCAATGGTATGATCTCGGCTCACTGCAACCTCCACCTCCTGGGTTCAAGCGATTCTCCTGCCTCAGCCTCCTAAGTAGCTGGGATTACAGGCGCCCGCCATCACGCCCGGCTAATTTTTGTATTTTTAGTAGAGACAGGGTTTCACCATGTTGGTCAGGCTGGTCTTGAACTCCTGGCCTCATGATCCGCCTGCCTTGGCCTCCCAAAGTGCTGGGATTACAGGCGTGAGCCACTGCGCCCGGCCATGAATATGCACATTTCAAAAGCACAGCTTCTATCTTTGTGTGTGTTTGTGTGTGTTTTTCTTTTTTCTTTTTTTACACAGAGTTTCGCTCTTGTTGCCCAGGCTGGAGTGCAGTGGCATAATCTCGGTTCACTGCAACTTCCACCTCCCGGGTTTAAGTGATTCTCCTGCCTCAGTCTCCCGAGTAGCTGGGATTACAGGCATGCGCCACCACACCCGGCTAATTTTGTGTTTTTTAGTAGAGACGGGGTTTCACCATGTTGGCCAGGCTGGTCTTGAACTCCTGACCTCAGGTGATCCACCCGCCTCGGCCTCCCAAAGTGCTGAGATTACAGGCATGAGCCACTGCATCTGGCCTTTTCTTTTCTTTTAAAGGTGCTTTTGCTGGATCTTGCCTTAGGCTTCCATTTTCCCTTTGACCTATCCCTTGCTTCTGTGTCCAATCTCTTGAAAAGGTGATTGAGCGGAGGTTTTCTTGCATACTTTTATATTATTGTGCCTTTACAATGTGGCAACATTACATTCACATAAAACATCCATCTCCTTGGGTACGTAGTTGTTGCTACTATAGCATTTTTCTCATTCTCTCCTTACAATATCCCCCATTCCATCAGCCAGAATTTTCTCTCCCTTCTGGTCTTGTGTAAATCTTTTCCTTGTGGAATGGCTACTGCTACTGTCCAGATGGCCACCAGATAATTGTCATGTTATTACTTATTTTTTCCAGATTCCTGTCATTTTACTTGGACCTGTTTTTGGAATGTGAGCCTAGATATTTCTAGAATATCCCCCCTCTAATTAGCATATCAAACTTTGTAGTCTTGAGCAAACCAGTTAACCTCTCAGAGAGTCCTTTTTTCTTTTGAAAAATGGGGCTGTAATGGCTTATCTGAAAGGGAGTTAATCTCTAGACATCCCAAAGGCTGTGATGTATCCAATAGACACATGTGTATTTTTAGTAAAAACCTGCTTTGCTATTTGAAATTATAAAGTTGATTTTTTTTTTCAGTGGGGGACATTAACACCAAGAATATATCTTTTAAAGCATTTTTAAAATAAGCTCCAAAGCTATGCGATTCCACTTAAGAATGGGGAAGTAACTTCCTGGCCAACATGGTGAAACCCCATCTCTACTAAAAATAGAAATATTAGCTGGGCGTGGTGGTGGGCCCCTGTAATCCCAGCTACTTGGGAGGCTGAGGCAGGAGAATCGCTTGGACCTGGGAGGCGGAGGTTGCAGTGAGCTGAGATCGCGCCACTGCACTCCAGCCTGGCAACAAAGCCAGACTCCATCTAAAAAAAAAAAAAAAAAAAAAAAAAAGAATGGGGAAGTGATGTGAGAAAGAGCTCATGGATAGTATTCACTGTGGTTTGTCCAGGCACTTGGTGCGTTCCCCACAGAGAGCCTTGGTTCACCCAGTGAGCACCATAGGACTCATCAAGAAGATCCCTATCAGCTCAAACTGATAATCACACTACTCGGGTATTCCCATAAAACCACTGTATTGTATTGACAAAACAATCAGGAAGGCAAAAGTGTTTAATCTCCTGAGTCATTCCCATCCCTTTCTGGAGAACAAGGCTTAGAGACTCACTGCCTAAGGAAAGTGGCCCCACCCTATGGAAGCATGGGAATTCTCAAAGGTACACTCCCCAAAGGCACATTCTGCAGGGTCTCAGTCATCTATAAAGCTACAATGGCCCTTAAAAAATTAATTAACGTGCCTTGTTTTTCTTTCCTCCTTCACAACACATCTCACCTGCGTGCCCTCAGCTTAGGGGTGCTGGTATTTGTCTGGTATGGGTTTTCCTTTCTAATCACGGGTGTGTTTCTCCTTTACTGTAGGATTTGGCCCTGCCAAGAAGGTGTGGGATTGTTATATCCTCTGCAACACCCAGCACATCACTGATGTTGAATATACATTTTAAATATTGAGCATGTAGCAAAGAACTGGCAGGAAATTTCAGACACCTTAATGTGACAAAGTCCTTGATGCTTAGTCCTGAAAGAGACCCTGGGAAGTCATCCAATTGCCCTTTACGTTTAATATCCTCTCAGGTGTTTGTGAATGAGGCTTAGCAAAGAACCATGTCAAGTATTCATGAACCCTGAGTACAACCAGTTCCTAGCACCTGTTCTCTGGGGGCAAATTGGTGTATAAGACATTTTGCATTCTTGTTCCTGGCAAGGAAAATATGAAGCTGCCAGTTTTATGTTGAACCTTCATACATGAAACGTAGTATATAGAATGCCATGATATGGCAGTGGTCAGCTGACTCACTGTGTAATTTCTATTGAACAGCTGTTCTGTTGCACTGGGGTGTGCTTTGAGCAGGTCTGAGCACAGTTCTCAATCAGAAAAAGTTATGGGACATTTGATACCTTAAGCCTTATCAATTAACTTCTTACTGGGCATGAGGGTACAAAGGCCCTGAGCTCTGGGGCCAGGGATGCCTAAATGAGAATTCCAGTGGCCATCCCTAGTTGCTCATGAGCAAATACAATCTGCAGCTTCAAGCCCGGTCATGATGGCTCACGCCTGTAATCCCAGTACTTTGGGAGGCTGAGGTGGACAGATCACCTGAGGTCAGGAGTTCAAGACCAGCCTGGCCAGCATGGTGAATCCCTGTCTCTACTAAAAATACAAAAAACTTAGCCAGGCATGGTGGTGGGCACCTGTAGTCCCAGCTACTCAGGAGGCTGAGGCAGGAGAATTGCTTGAACTCGGGAGGTGAAGGTTGCAGTGAGCTGAGATGGCGCCATTACACTCCAGCCTGGGCAACAAGAGTGAAACTTCATCTCAAAAAAAAAAAAAAATCAGCTTCAGTGTTCTTAATAATATCTCCTGCCTTGCAGGGCTGTTTGAGGATTAAATTAATGTACATGTGACATTGCACATGGCAGTCTATAAATCTCCTTACCTATTTGATAACAGTTTCATGGAGCACTACAGTGCACCAGAGAGTATTTCTGGAACTAAGTCTAGAAAAATATGCATAAGATGGCTTGGATTTTCAGGCCTAGGTGACCGACTAGTTAGCACACAAGAATGAGATGCAAACCAGAATAGACATGAAAAGTTACAATCTGAGTAGATGAAAGAGTGAAAAAGCTTGTGGAGAAAGTGTCATTTGGCTTGGTTTTAAAGGATGAGTGGAAATTTGACAGAAATAATGGAAAAAAGACATTCCAGGCTTTGGAACAGTACAGGAGGACCAGAGAGCCATGGGGAGGAGTAACGTGGTATGAATAGGGATTGAACTTTACTCATCAACCATTGGGGAGCCGCTAGGCCGCAATGTGAACAGCAGATTAGTACTAGTCAGGGAGACTAGTAAGAAGGCTTACTAGTTGAGTCAAATGCTTCTCAGCACAGATGGAGCTCATCCCAGGACTGGAATCAGAAGGAAGGCACTAATAAGGAAAGACACTGAGGAAACAACCTGATTAAATTAAAGTGATAAGGGAGCCACACTGGACAGGCAAATTTGGCCATCCTTCCTCACACTGTACTGTGAAATGGAACATCAGACTGCCTTGCTTCCAGCTGGAGTGTGCACCCTGTGGGCGAGTGCAGGGCTGGTTGGGGTAGCTCAGCAAGAGGCCAGCACGAGGGCAGTAGCCACCTGAGGCGGCAGGGAGGCCACCAAGAGATCGAACAAAAACAGAAATACAAAGTGATCTTTGAAGACAAATTTTGCTGTCTTCCCAAAGATCAAATGGGGGAGCATTTCCTCAACCAAGCTGAGCCATGGTTCATTTGCATAAGGTCCTTCTCTCCCTAGCCTGTTGTACTATCTGAAAGGATAGGGAGTCATGGTTCAGAATTGCTTCATTACAAGGAGCAGATACCCACTTCAGCGTGCTCAAGGAAACCTTGATTTTTCTAAAGCTAGAAAGAAATCTGGAGTCCAGATCACAGACCTCACAAGAGCCAGAATCATGTCAGCTCCCCTCTCCTCATTTCCCAGGGACTGTGCAGCCTCCTGCCTCTGCTTCTCCCTGCACATGGCAGCCATTACTTTTCTGCATATTGTCTATAATTGTTGGCTCTCTGCAAATTGGCTGTCCTTAGTGAGGCCTCTTGCATGGGCTTTGGGTTGCTGCAAGGTGACTGGGTCTTGACTCTACATCCAACTGCAGTGGCAGCGTCTCGTGCATGAGATAGCTCAGAGAAAAACACCAATTGCCTTGGTTTTGGTCAGATGTTCAGCCCTGCTCCAATTAACTGTGGCCAAGGGGCATGGAAGGCCAAGACAAAGTGGGTAGACCAGATGTGTCTACTCACAGGGCAGCCTTCTGGGGGCCTAGAGTATGAACTCTGCAGCCTGTCTCCTTCCAGGGATTAGATCTGTTCTTTTCCATCTTTACTCTGTTGGTTGACATAACCTCTCACTTAAAAGAACCCCCTTCTTTCTGTAACCAACACAATACTTGGAAAGGGATGACCTTTGGATTCGAAAAATTAATTTTCACTCCTGGTTTTATCCCTAGGAGCTGGGTGTCTTTGGGCAACTATATTTCCGAGCCTTCATTTCCTCATCTACAGAGTGTGGAGAATAATCTATACCTCACAGGGAGGTTGTTGGGAGCAATTGTGATAAAATATATAGAGAACTTGTCGTAGTGCTGACACAGAATGTTGCATGACAGGTGCTCATGTCTTCTGGCTTTTATGCCCCACTTCTTCCCCCATTGCTGCAGGGACATACAGAGTCCTGGGGGACATTTCCAAGGGGTGGCCCAGGCTTAGCTGTTCAGAATAAACAGGATGCTGGTCAGCTGTGGCTGCACAAACAGCTTGAAGGCATTGCCAAAGTAGGTTCTTTGTTTTTAATTGTGGTAAAACACATATAACGTAAGATTTACCATCTTAACTATTTTAAGTGTACAGTTTTGTTTTTGTTTTTGTTTTTGTTTTTGTTTTGAGATGGAGTGTTGCTCTGTCACCCAAGCTGGAGTGCAATGGCGCCATCTTGGCTCACTGCAACCTCCTCCTCCTGGGTTCAAGCGATTCTCCTGCCTCAGCCTCCCAAGTAGCTGGGATTACAGGCACATGCCACCATGCCTGGCTAATTTTTGTATTTTTAGTAGAGGAGGGGTTTCACTATGTTGGCCAGGCTGATCTTGAACTCCTGACCTCAAGTGATCTGCCCACCTCGGCCTCCCAAAGTGCTGGGATTTTATTTCTAATTTCCTGAGGAAATGGCCTACTGTTCTCCATAGATCCTGCACCATTTTGCATTCCCACCAGCACTGCACAAGTGTTCCAATTTCTCCACAGCCTTGACAACACTTCTTTTTTTCTTCTTTATTTCATAATAGCCATCTTAATGGGTGTGGGCATAGTAGGTTCTTAGCAACTCTCTGACTTGGATTTTCAGCTCACACTTGCTGCATTAGCTCAGAGTGAGAATTGCTGCAGTGCAGGCCTCGTCCTCAGTGATCAGCAGGAAGGCAGCTCTCCTGTGATGGAAAGCCCACCTCGCAGGAGCCCAGCAGCAGCCTGAAAGAGCCTGGTGGCCTCTTGGCCAGTGGAGCCCAGCTCTGAGGTCCATGTGGCCAGAGTTGTGCTGGGAACCATAGTAGAGCCAAAGACGTGTGGGAAATAGCCTTGGTCCTCTGCAATACCAGGTCTTCCAGTTGGCCACCGTGCCGAGCCTTTTTTTTTTTTTTGAGACAGTGTTTCACTCTTGTCACCCAGGCTGGAGTGCAATGGTGCAATCTTGGCTCACTGCAACCTCCACCTCCCAGGTTCAAGCAATTCTCCTGCCTCAGCCTCCTGAGTAGCTAGGATTACAGGAGCATGCCACAATGCCCGGCTAATTTTTGTATTTTTAGTAGAGAAGGGGTTTTGCCATGTTAGCCAGGCTGGTCTCGATCTCCTGACCTCAGGTGATCCGCCCACCTTGGCCTCCCAAAGTGCTGGGATTACAGGCGTGAGGCACCACGCCCCGCCTTCATTTCGTTTTTAGGAAGTAGGTATTATTGACATCTTCATTTTCCCTATGAGGGAGCTGAGGCAGAGACAGGTCAGGATTTAACTGGATTCCAGATGGTCCATGCGTCTTCACTGAGCTCAGCATGGATGAAGAAACAACTCACAACCTCTGACTACACAACCAACTCACATAAACAGTTCCTCTCTCTCTGAACAGATTGAGTTGTTTAGTGGTTGGAGTCATTAGGATCCAGTCTGAAAAAGGAAGAAAGTGTACCAAGAACAAAAGAACTTAAAAAAAAAGAAAAAGAAAAAAAAACCCATCCCCCCTGGGGTGAGTTTGCAACAGAGCAATGAAAGCCTTTATGACATGCTGTGACTCAGAAGCTCAGAGGTGACATAGCTTAGCAGTGAATCAGTTCCACTGATAGTCAAGTTTGAGCCATTTTATTAGTGGAGACTAGAACCATAACTTCTTGTAATGTAAAGTATTAAAAATCTAATATTTGACTGGCAGGGCGAGGTCCACTTCATTTCACCTCCGTTTGTTAGTTTATGACCTTCATCATCTTTTTCATCTCAATAGTGCAGCTTATAAATTGAAAAAAAAAATTCCTTGCCCTTCTCTCTCTTTCTTTCAATAAATAAAATGTTATGTTTTTGCTTACCCCTCCTAACAGACTGAATTCATTGCTAGGACACTCCCTGTCTCTGTCCCTCCTATGTTTAGCAGCTCCTTCCTCATTCCAAGCATGAATCCATTCAACAAGCATTGATCCAAGCATTGATTGAGAGGGTACTCTGCCAGGCAGTGTGCTTAGCTCTGTGTATAGGGTGGGGAACAAAGCAAGTTTGGCCCTGCCCACATGCAGCTTATAGTCTAGGCTGTAAATGGGGCCAGCGTTCAGTGAATTAAGAGTGTAGGCTGGGTGTGGTGGCTCACACCTGTAATCCCAGCACTTTGGGAGGCCGAGGTGAGCAGATCATTTGAGGTCAGGAGTTCGAGACCAGCCTGGCCAACATGATGAAACCCTGTCTCTGCTAAAAATACAAAAATTAGCCAGGCATGGTGTTGGGCACCTGTAGTCCCAAGCTACTTGGGAGGCTGAGGCAGGAGAATGGCTCGAACCTGGGAGACAGAGGTTGCAGTGAGCCGAGATCGTGCCACTGCACTCCAGCCTGGGTGACAGAGCGACTCTGTCTCAAAAAACAAAAAACAAAAAAACAAAAACTTCTGGAAAGGAGACATTATCATTATTGGCAATTATATTGATGGTGATGGTTTACTGGCTGTTAAGCACTGTGCTACATGCTTCACATGTACTTAGTTATTTAATTTTAACATATTCCTTTATTTTCTTTCTTTCTTTCTTTGTTTCTTTCTTTTTTTTTTTTTGAGATGGAGTCTCGCTCTGTTGCCCAGGCTGGAGTATAGTCACGTGATCTCAGCTCACTGCAACCTCCACCTCCTGGGGTCAAGCGATTCTCCTACCTCAGCCTCCCAAGTAGCTGGGATTTCAGGTGCGCACCATCATGCTTGGCTAATTTTTGTTTTTTTAGCAGAGACTGGGTTTCACCATGTTGGCCAGGCTGGTCTCGAACTCCTGACCTCAGGCGATCTGCCCGCCTTGGCCTCCCAAAGTGCTGGGATTACAAGCGTGAGCCACTGCGCCCGGCCTACTCCTTTATTTTCTCACCAAAAAAGTAAAAATAAAAATAAGAAAGAAGTCCTCACTTGAGAGCTGAACAAACTGAGTCTCGGGTAGAGTGGGTGAAATGCCTCACTCAAGGTCTTACAGCAGGGTCTAGGTGGAGCTGGAACACTAATGCTTACCGCCAAGGCTGTACCACCTGTGCTGTCCCTTATGCAGCCCTGAGTGCTTGGTCTTGGTCGCATCCAAATCTGGCCCATCCTGTGGTCAGGCACGTGAACTCAGCCCACATTGCTGGCAATCTGGGCTCTGCTGCTTACTCTTGGCAGTAACTTCCCTGGACAAAGCCAGCCCTGAGGGCATCTGGTCACACCATGCTGGGGCCTGGGGCATTGGTGCCTTTGAGCTGGACATCTCTGGTCTCAGAGGCCTTGTCTGGGGCCCCAAATTCCCTCTTGTTTGCCCTAGGGTGTTGGACACATTATGATGGCTTCCATGTGTGAAATTGCCTTGCAGGGTACTGACAGTGTAGAAAGCTTTTTCATGGGTGTAATCTTTTTTTTTTTTCTTCAGAGATGCAGTCTAGCTCTGTCGCCCAGGCTGGAGTTCAGTGGCATGATCTTGGCTCACTGCAACCTCTGCCTCCCAGGCTCAAGTAATTCTCCTGCCTCAGCCTCCCAAGTAGCTGGGACTACAGGAGTGCACCACCATGCCCGGCTAATTTTTTGTGTTGTTAATAGAGACAGGGTTTCACCAAGTTGGCCAGGCTGGCCTCGAACTCCTGACCTCAAGCGATCCACCCACCTCGGCCTCCCAAAATGCTGGGATTATGGGCGTGAGCCACCATACCTGGCTCATGGGTATAATCTTATCTGTTCTCCACAACAACACAAGCAGGTGCTGAAGGCAGATATTCATACCGATTGTGCAGATGAAGATATTTAGACTCAGATATCAAGGGAGGCCAAAGCTGTGTAGCCAGAAAGAGGCAGGGAAGGACTAGAAGCTGGGTCTTGGGATGCTTGGTCCTTTGCTTTTTCCCACTGCTTCATATATGGTTGGTTTTCTTTGTGCTTGGCGTCTTCTCATTTTAATTCCACCCTCTGTCCTTGTCCCAGGCCCCACTGACAAACAACAGCTCACAAACACTCCTGACTCCCAGCTCTCCCTCTGATCTGCAGCAAACAACCAGCCCAGCTTGCTAAAGCGCCCAGAGGTGAAAGCCATGCACAGCATAGGAAGGAGGGTTGAGGAAAGTAGATTAAACTGCTGGCAGGGCCCAAAATTCCAGTGAAAGAGATGACTAATGATGAGACACCAGGGTCTGAAGCTGAGGTTAAATTCAACTGGAAATTCTTGGCCTGGGAGGGATAGGATCTAATTATCAAGATTTTTCACTCCGCGCTTTGCATTTGTTTTCAAGGTTGTTTTAAGTGACTATTTTATTTTCTCTTGATACCATCTCTTGGAGCGAGGAAGGACAGAGGACTGGATCCTCCCAAAGCTTGCCTGAAGGAAGCAGTTGATAGTTCTGATTCCAACACCTGGTAATGTCCCCTGTGTCTTGGGCATGGGTATGCTTTCTCATTTGATCCTTGCTGCAATTCTACCAGGTGGGCTTTTGTATCCCCTTTTTAGAGGACACTCGGGACTTAAGAGGCACTGTAGGCCCTACCTCCTCAGCTGGGTTTGAAATGTATTTGCTGAGTACTTGAGACTTAATTCATTCTCTAGCAAATTATGTGAAATATACTAGTCAGAAGCCAGAGAGGTTGAGTGGCTCCAGAGCCAGAAGACCTATATTCAAATTCTGGCTTTGTTTCTTACTAGCAGGTAATCCTGGACAAGCTACTTAACTTTCTTGTGCCTTGAATAAGGATCATAATAATAATAGGTAACATTTACAAAGCCCTTAGAAGAGTGCCTGGCAGATGGTAAACCCTATAGTTGGTAGGAATTATTCCTGGGCATTAGATACCAATCTTTATTAATGAAGAAGTCTAGATATGAAGAGCTGGAGTAAGTAGACCAAGTTCACACCACTGGAAGGTCTGAAAAAGTGACAGGTCGCCTGGCACCCTCTGCCTGCAGTGGCAGTTAAGAGCACAGGTTTGCTGAGAATGATGGTTTCCAGTTTCATCCATGTCCCTACAAAGGACATGAACTCATCATTTTTTATGGCTGCATAGTATTCCATGGCATATATGTGCCACATTTTCTTAATCCAGTCTATCGTTGTTGGACATTTGGGTTGGTTCCAAGTCTTTGCCATTGTGAATAGTGCCGCAATAAACATACGTGTGCATGTGTCTTTATAGCAGCATGATTTATAATCCTTTGGGTATATACCCAGTAATGGGATGGCTGGGTCAAATGGTATTTCTAGTTCTAGATCCCTGAGGAATTGCCATACTGACTTCCACAATGGTTGAACTAGTTTACAGTCCCACCAACAGTGTAAAAGTGTTCCTATTTCTCCACATCCTCTCCAGCACCTGTTGTTTCCTGACTTTTTAATCATTCTCAGCAAACTATCGCAAGGACAAAAAAACCAAACACTGCATGTTCTCACTCATAGGTGGGAACTGAACAATGAGAACACATGGACACAGGAAGGGGAACATCACACTCTGGCGACTGTTGTGGGGTCGGGGGAGGGGGGAGGGATAGCATTAGGAGATATACCTAATGTTAAATGACGAGTTAATGGGTGCAGCACACCAACATGGCACTTGTATACATATGTAACAAACCTGCATATTGTGCACATGTACCCTAAAACTTAAAGTATAATAATAATAAAATTTAAAAAAAAAGAGCACAGGTTTGGAAACAAGGCTGACTTGGGTCTGAAGCTCAGCTCTGCCACTTACTGGCTCTATGATCTCGGGCAAGTCAGTTAACAACCCTGATCCTCAGTTTCCTTATCTGTAAAATGAGCATACTCATATCTCCTATTTTTGTTGTTGTTGTTTGTTTGTTTGCTTGTTTGTTTGAGATAGGGTCTTGCTCTGTCACCCAGGCTGGAGTGCAGTGGCCTGATCACGGCCCACTGCAGCCTTGATCTCTAGGGCTCAAGTGATCCTCCCACCTCAGCCTCCTAAGTGAGTAATTGGGACCACAGGTGCAAGCCACCATGCCAGGCTAATTTTTAAATTTTTTGTAGAGATGGAGTCTCATTATGTTTCCCAGGCAGGTCTCAAACTCCTGGACTCAAGCCATCTCCCACCTCTGGCCTCCCAAAGTGCTGGGATTACAGGTGTGAGCACTGCGCCCAGCCTCCCTTGTAGGGAACAGACGTGAATGTGTTTAATATGCCCAGCACACAACACAAACACCAAGGCAGTCAAGCCAGGTGCCTGGCCCTCCTGGGAGCCCTTCCCAGCAGCCCTGGCAGTGAGCAGAGCTGGGACATGACCACGCCCCAGCATCAGCTTTTAGGAAGCAGATTCTGGCTGAGTCATTCAAATGGACTGGACTTCACTGCAGCTCCCTTGGAAAATGTGGGTTTGATTCAAGAGCCTGTACATCTGAAAGGTCATTCCCAGAGGCCAGTGGGGCACTGGGTGTGGAGAGGGGAGCAGTCACCCCTCCTGCCTTTTTGCTGGGGCATTTCTGTTTATCAGTGATATCAGTGACTGTTTCAGAAATGTCCCAAACAGCCTCGCTTTGTATCCTGTTGCCACTTGCCCAAAATGCCTTTCTCCTAGAACCTGTTTGGCAGCATCTTCCTGGAACGATAGGGCAGCCAAGGTTGGAAAGCCAAAGTCAGAGACACTCCTGGAGAGGGGTCCACCTGATGGGCCCTGTGTCCCTGTGCTCCCCCAGGTGTCTCTCAAGTCCCCAGGGTGGAGGCGTTTCTGCCAGCCCTTCTCAGA
This sequence comes from Homo sapiens, assembly GCF_000001405.40. Taxonomy (NCBI): domain Eukaryota; kingdom Metazoa; phylum Chordata; class Mammalia; order Primates; family Hominidae; genus Homo; species Homo sapiens. Next base: position 93,466,094 of record NC_000010.11, on the reverse strand, counting down.
AACTTCTCTGCCCCTTGTTGATAGTAGAAATTAGCCAGCTCCTGGAGGCTGCCAGGCTGCCTGCCAGAGAGGAGCAGTCACTGCTCACATGCCAGCTGCCCCAGGGAAACTCAGAAGCCTGGAATGGAGCCACGTGGAAGAAATATTCCACCAGGGCGGTCCCAGCCTCACAGGGCACTTCCTCCAGTCACAGGGGCCCTGCCCTCCGGAGCTCCACAGCCTGGGAACTCCCTGGGGGGATGCAAGGAGGCTGCCCTGGTGCTGTAATAAGAAATCATCTAGCTGTGTGCGGTGGCTCACGCCTGTAATCCCAGCACTTTGGGAGGCGGAGGTGGGCGGATCACCTGACGTCAGGAGTTCGAGACCAGCCTGGCCAACATGGTAAAACCCCATCTCTACTCAACATACAAAAAGTAGATGGGCATGGTGGCACATGCCTACAGTCCCAACTACTTGGGAGGCTGAGGCAGGTGAATGGCTTGAATCCAGGAGGTGGAGGTTGCAGTGAGCCGAGATTGTGCCACTGCACTCCAGTCATCTCAAAAAAAAAAAAAAAGAAAAGAAAAAAAAGAAAGAAAAAAGAAAAGAAAAAGAAAGAAATCATCTGATAGCTCTCATTTGTTTAGTGCTTACTGTGTGCCAGGCCCTGGGCTGGGCACTTTGTATTCATTCTTTCATTTAATCATTAAAGCCGCCTAGTAATCACACTTATATGAACTTATGAAGTCCAATTTACTCCGTCATGGAGAAATTACTATGTAGTAAGCGTTGTGGGGGGAATAACAATATTAATAATACATAGTCTCAGCCTTCAAGGCATCACCCTCTTGTCTTAATCCTCCAACTTTGGAAACTAATTGCTTTTTGTCTCTTTCGACCGGGGTTTGAATCCCAGCTCCATCACTTACTAGCTGTATGACCTCTAATAAGTTGCTTAACCTCTCTGTGTCTTGGTTTCTTCCTCTGTAACTGGGAATGATCATAATAGAATTTATCTGTTAGAGTTGTGAAGATTAAGTGAGAGAATCCATGGGAAGTACTGGGAACAGTGACTCAGTTCAGAGCACTTAATAATAAGTGCTAGCCATGTATGGGTGTGGTTCAGGGGTGTGTGAAATGTTAGGCAAAATGGCAGATGAATTCATATGGGGCTTTATATATCTCAAAAGAAAGGAGGCATGACCCAGAGACCTAGAAAAGGGGAAGAAGTACTTCTGAATGGGAGATCAAATGTAGACTCTTGGCTGAACCTAGAGATCTTGTTGTTCTATTTTGTCTACCGAAGAGCTGAGTTACTTAGGGAGCTTTTGTAGACAGCACCCTAACTTTTCCTGAGGCCATTTCAGAAAGACACAGCAATCTAACCGTTCAGGACTTGGGGGGCACATCATAAAGGTTATGTACCATAAGTCTGGGGGAAAACTTAGAGATTATATATCTCGTCTGAATGCATCAGTTTATATATGAGGGACTCTGAGCTTGGGGGTTCAGCCTTATATTTTCCTAAGATAACAGCTCAAAGGAAGAGAAGTCACAGATATGAAAGTTCAGTCAGAGGGGCTGGGCCGACATCTGTGCTTTTCCCTGCAGGATTTTTAGGATCAGTGAGACGGTGTGTATTTGGAAGCATTTCAAATGTGTTACCATCGTGTTACTTCCGTGGGCACCTGGTGTTATTGGTTGGACTAGTCAGGATTCTCCAGAGCAGCAGAAGCAATGGGATGTGTGTGCATGTGTTTGTGCAGAGACAGAAAGAGAGATTTTAAGGAACTGGCTTATGCAGTTGTGGGGGCTAGCAAGTCTGAAATTTGCAGGGCGGGCCAGCAAGCTGGAAATTCATGTAAGAGTTGATGTTGCAATCTCTAGTCTGAATTCCACAGCTTAGAAAACTCAGGCAGGGTTTCTATGTTAGAGTCTAGAGGCAGAATTTCTTCTCCAGGAAACCAGTTTTTGCTTTTAAGACCTTCAACTGTTTGGATGAGGCCCATCTAAATTATAGAGGGTAATTTTGCTTTACTTAAAGTCAACTGAGTGTAAATGTTTATCACATCTACAAAATACCTCGACAGCAACATCTGGACTTATGTTTGACCAAACAATTAGACACCACCATAGCCTAGCCAACTTGACATTAAAATGAACCAGCGCAGCTGACCACCGGCACAGATGTAGCAAGCCAGTCTCAGGAGTCCTGATGTCTTTCAGGCCTTTTTTTTTTTTTTTTTTTTTTGAGACAGGGTCTTGCTCTAACACCCAGGATGAAGTGCAGGGGTGTGGCCACTGCAGCCTTGACCTCCCAAGCTCAAGCAATCCTCCCACCTCAGCCTCCTGAGTAGCTGGGACTATTGGTGCATGCCAGTATGCCTGGTTAATTTTTAAATATTTTGTAGAGATGGGCCGGGTGTGGTGCCTCACGCCTGTAATTGCAGCACTTTGGGAGGCCGAGACGGGTGGATCATTTGAGGTCAGGAGTTTGAGACCAGCCTGACCAAAATGGTGAAACCCCCATCTCTACTAAAATACAAAAATTAGCCGGGCATGGTGGTGGGCACCTGTAATCTCAGCTACTCGGCAGGCTGAGGCAGGAGAATCACTTGAACACAGGAGGCGGATGTTGCAATGAGCCAAGATTGCACCACTGCACTAGATCCTGGGCGACAGAGTGAGACTCCCTCTCAAAAAAAAAAAAAAAAAAAAAAATTTGTAGAGACGAAGTCTCACTATGTTGCCCAGGCTGGTCTTGAACTCCTGGACTCAAGCGATCCTCTGGCCTTGGCCTTCCAAAATGTTGGGATTACAGGTATAAGCACCGCACTGGGCCAGGCCTTTTCAATAAGGTTCTGACACACTGGCTGGTAGGTGAACAGCAAAGGAAATGGTTCCGCGCAAGAGGGCGGGTGGTTTGGCTAAGAGAGCTGTTCAGTTCTCCCGGAAACCTTGTTTGGAGGCTGGCATTGGGGTTAATTACTGCAGTGGTGACCTCCGCAGAACTGAGTGAGAGGCAGGCGTAGCTAATCGGAAAACAGGAAATGTCCTGAAGAACGACTTGAGCCCTTGAGCACACTCAGAGTGTGCTCTGCATTTGAGTCAGTTGTTATGTTCTGAGCTGAAAATATTTTATTGCTTTCCATAGGAAGAAACAGTCATCTTAATAAAATTAGACGCAGGAGCCAGGTTGGGGGGTAGGTAATGTGGAGAAAGGGGAGGGAGTTTCCTGTAATTCAATTTGATGTTCAGTGCCTGCAGGTTTAACCTTTTTTTTTTATTTTTACAGAGGTAGAATAAAATAATTGACTAATATAAATATGTGACTGGCTGCTGATAAGAAAAATAATTTATCTACTTTTTTTTTTTTTGCCTGATGTGTTTATGTGTGAGAATAGGTTTTCAATAAAATGTAACATATACACATTTTGATAAACATCAGAGCCTCCTTCTTGAAAGAGATTGAGCTGGGTTTCTCCAGAAGGGTAGGAGCCAATGCCAGCCACTTAGTTTTTCCTTATTAGCTAGGGAAATGGGAGGTGCAGTGGTTAAATGCATGGGCTCAGGAGTCATACTAGACCTGGTTAGAGGGCTTCGTCCTAGCCCTGTGATCTTGAGCAAGTTACCTAACCATTCTGGGCTCTCTTTGCTTCTCTGCAAACTGAGGATAATAAAACAGTGCCTACGTCATAGGCTTGCCAGGAGGATTCAATGAAATGATGCATGTAAAGGGCTTAGCAGGCCGGGCACGGTGTCTCACGCCTGTAATCCCAGCACTTTGGGAGGCCGAGGTGAGCGGATCACTTGAGGTCAGGAGTTCGAGACTAGCCTGGCCAACATGGGGAAACCCTGTCTTTACTAAAAATATAAAAATTAGCTGGGTGTGGTGGCACACACCTGTAATCCTAGCTACTCAGGAGGCTGAGGCAGGAGAGAGATTGTAGTGAGCAAAGAGCGTGCCATTGCACTCCAGCCTGGGCAACACAGTGAGACTCTAACTCAAAAAAAAAAAAAGGTGGGGGGCTTAGCAATGCCCAGCCTGCAGTGAGCATCCCCTAGAGGTAATGCCATTAGCATCAACCTCACACAATGAGTGCCAGGAGCTGCAGGAAGTTCTGGTTGAATAGCTCCACCTGGTCTGTGGTCAACTGGCATCTGCCTGGACTCAGCCACTCCCCTTTGTTTTCAACACACAATTGAATCATGTGTTCAGGAACATGCATTGGGAGAATTGTTGGGCCACTTGGTTTTTCTCATGAGTTATAAAATTTTGAAGTTATAAAATCCAGTTTCTAATACCCTCCTCCTTTAAGTACTTATATCAGCCAAATGAAGCTTAGCCTGGTACTTGAGGCTTCACAGTGAGACCATAACCTTCCCACAAAGCCCGTTTGCCCCCTACCCAGTTCTATGCTCTTTGGTTCCAGCTGGTTGGGTCCTGGAGTGTCCCCAGATGTGACATAACTGGTTCTCCCTCCTCCATGCCTGATCCACCCACCCTATTGTGTCTACTGGAGTGAGCTCGTCTTCTGGCTCCACATTTTCAACCCCTCCTTGCCCTTGAATTCTCATCTAGCTCAGCCTCTGCATCTTCTGTGCACACAGCCTGAAGTCACCTTTCTTTCCTCTGAATTTTTCTGTGCATTGATACCCCTCTGATAGCAACTGAAGTCCTTTCTCTATCAGTCCCGTATAGCCACATTTCCTCTCCCCACTAGACCCCCTGAGGGCAGGAACCATGTCTTGGGTATTTTTGTGTCTCCTACAGTGCTCAATGCCTGGCAATTTCACAAACATTTGTTGGGTGGAAGAATGAAGGAGCTGATTAATGTTTGCGGAAGAACTCACTCAGTGAACCATTTCTGTGGGCTGAGCTGTGAGGTCTCTTGGCCTGAGCTGACCAGTCATTATTTCTGTTTATTCCCCCTCTGACAGGCAGGAAGAAACTTCAGGATGAGAATGAGACAGGCAAAAGCCTGGTGGAGCTTTGTGCTATTTCTTTTCTTTTCTTTTCTTAGATGGAGTTTTGCTCTTGTTGCCAGGCTGGAGTGCAATGGCGCGATCTAGGCTCACTGCAACTTCCGCCTCCCAGGTTCAAGCGATTCTCCTGCCTCAGCCACCCGAGTATCGGGGATTACAGGTGCCCACCACCATGCATGGCTAAATTTTGTATTTTTAGTAGAGATGGGTTTCACCAAGTTGGCCAGGCTGGTCTCAAACTTCTGACCTCAGGTGATCCGCCTGCCTCAGCCTCCCACAGTGCTGGGATTACAGGTGTCAGCCACCGCACCTGGCCTGTGGCACTTTTTTTTTCTTTTTCTTTCTTTTTTTTTTTTTTTTTTGGAGATGGGGTCTTGCTCTGTTGCCCAGGCTGGAGTGCAGTGGCTTGATCTCGGCTCACTGCAACTTCCGCCTCCTGGGTTCAAGCAATTCTCCTGCCTCAGCCTCTCGAGTGGCTGGGACTGCAGGCGTCCACCACCATGCCCGGCTAATATTTTTTGTATTTTAGTAGAGACGGGGTTTCACCCATGTTGTCCAGGCTGGTCTCGAACTCCTGAGCTCAGGCAGTCCACCCGCCTTGGCCTCCCAAAGTGCTAGGATTACAGGCGTGAGCCGCCATGTCCAGCCAGCCTGTGGAACTTTTTAAGACTAAGAATTATCTTACACTCTTCTGTTTCCTGTTACTGGCACACAGTGGATGCTTAATAAATGTTTGTGAATGAATGAATGAACAAATGAATCTTTTCACACTCCCCAGCTGCTGACTCTGGAACAATCCTGTGCCTCCTGAGGGCAGAGAGGATCCATGGTCCCAGGCTTGGCCTCAAGGTAGCTTGCAGCGTGTCTTCCGTGTTCTCTGTTTCCTGGGTCAGGAACCAGGCTTGGGACTTGTTTCATGTTGACAAGCGCTGGTTTTTTCTGTGACCTCCCTGGAGCCCTTGTCCCTGCCTTGGCTCCCTGGTTGGAGTCTTGGGGACTTGGAGACTGGAATTTTGCTTCAGTGCCATCTTTCAGTGATGCAAATCCTACCCCAAGCCTGGGTGCTCAGTTTCTATTGCATTATTTTCTGCCTTCTCCTTGCTTTCCCTTCTTGCTGGGACTTCTTGGAATCTCCTATCTTCTCTCTTGAAGGACCGCCATGGTCTCAGGGTCCAGATCCACTCCTTTGAGACTCAGTTCTCCACCCCCCCAAGCCCCGGTTATGGGAGCAGGGTAGTGGTAAGGTAGAGGGAGATTGGTGGTACTATTTCATGCTTGTTGAATGCTGGGATTCCTAACCTTTTTCAAGCACATTTGAGAATCTGATGAGAACAATGAGCTCTTTCCTCCAAGAAAACTCACAGATGCAATATTTTGTGTATTAGAGCAAATAATCTTGGAGAGTTTCAGGATACCCTGGAACGCAACCATAAACTTCCTTATGGACATTTTCCAAGACGCCAAGCCCATCACATGTGTTACATTTACGAATCTTCATTATCCAGCATTTCTGACAGCTTCCAATAAGGCACTGTGGCATGGTGGCAAACACACACAAACACAGATTTTGGAGCCAGAGGGATGTAGTTCAAAATCTGGCTGTTTCCTTATTAGCTGTGTGATTGAAGGCAGGTTAACTACTCTCCATTTTCTTGGCTTAGAAATGGGAATGACCATGTTTACCTGGAAGAATTGTCTCAATGGTTAGAGACACTGTGGTAGAATGCACAGCCTGGCACCTAGAGATGATTCTGTAGAGGGAGCAGCTACAATTACACATAGAAACCATTTTGTCCAGTTCTATTTAAGTTAAAAATTCTTTGCATGTCTCCTGTTTCTCTCAAGAGCACTTTCTTATACTGTAACCAGAGAGGAGGATTGGGAGTTTCTGTTAGATGAGGAGAGGGAAGGGTGGGGTCAAAATGGAAGTGTGGGAGGGGAAGTTTCTGGACAGCGTCTAGGGGACCTCAGAGTCAGATGCAGTGAGGGGCTCTGTAGGCCACATAGAGAGAGCACAGGCAGAACCAGCCAGGATAGGTCTGGGCACAAGCCGACGAGGAGCGTCACGCTGAAGCTTAGGAAGGGAAGCCATTGGGCTGTGTGTTGCCCTCTCAAGTGGAAAAGTTAATGCTTAGCAGAGTGAGGTCCATGACTCACGGCCTTGCTATGCTGAGGTCTTGGAAGAATGAGGTGGTTAGTCCCACAGGCAGCTGTGTGCTGGGAGCCAAAGCAATGTGACATTAGCTAAACAAAACCCACTACCTCCTACATTCCACAGCAGCAGAGGAGAAGCAAAGGCTGAGGAGTGATTCAAAGTGTGGCCACTAATGTGAGACTGCCTGGGTCTCAAATCCTAGCAAGACCATTTATTAACTGGGTGACTTATTTGTTTTTTGTTTTGAGACTGAGTCTCGCTCTATCCTTTAGGCTGGAGTGCAGTGACACGATCTCGGCTTACTGCAACCTCTGCCTCCTGGGTTCAAGTGATTCTCCTGCCTCAGCCTCCCGAGTAGCTGGGATAATAGGCACCCATCACCATGCCTGGCTAATTTTTGTATTTTTAGTAGAAGTGGGGTTTCACCATGTTGGCCAGGCTGGTCTCCTGACCTCAAGTGATCTGCCCGCCTTGGCCTCCCAAAGTGCTGGGATTACAGGTGTCAGCCACCGCACCCAGCCAACTGGGTGACTTTGAATGTTACTCAGCTTCTCAGTTTCCTTAGCTGTGAAAGGGGGATGAAAATAGTAATATATACCTCCTAGGGTTTGTTTTTTGTTTTTGGACAGGGTCTTGCTTTGTTTCCCAGGCTGGAGTGCAGTGGTGTGATCTTGGCTCACTGCAGCCTTGACCTCCTGGGCTCAAGGGATCCTCCCACCTCAGCCTCCTGAGTAGCTGGAACCTATAGGTGTGTGCCACCACACAGAGCTAATTGTTGTATTTTTGTAGAGATGGGGTTTCATTATGTTGCCTACGCTGGTCTTGAACTCCTAGGCTCAAACAATCCTCCCACCTTGGCCTCCATAAGTGCTGGGATTACAGGCGTGCACCACCTCACCTGGCTTCTCCTAGGTTTTTAAGATTAGATGAATGCCGGGCGCAGTGGCTCATACCTGTAATCCCAGCACTTTGGGAGGCTGAGGCAGGTGGATCACTTGAGCTCAGGGGTTTGAGACCAGCCTGGGCAACATGGCAAAACCCCATCTCTAGTGAAAAAAAAAAAAACATAGAAAAATTAGCTGGGTGTGGTGGTGTGCACCTGTGGTCCCAACTACATGGGGCGCCGAGGTGGGAGGATCTCTTGAGCTGGGAGGCAGAGGTTGCAGTGAGCCGAAATAGTGCCACTATACTCCAGCCTGGGCGACCTCGCGAGACCCTGTCTCAAAAAAAAAAAAAAATTAGATGAGATAATGCTGACAAAGCATTTTGTACTCGAAGATTAGCTTTTATTTGGGTAGGTATTTGGGGACTTGGGGACCCAAAAGAAGCCTCTGCTCTTTGGACTTTGCTACAAGGAAACTTTAAGCACTTGCTGGATTTGCTCGTGTGCTCATCCAGGTAGGTGTACTGTCCAGGCTCAGACACAGAGAAGAAAGATCTTGTGTCTTCAGAAAAGGTGGCCTCGGAGTAAAGGAAGCCCCAAATTATCCGCTGGTCTTAGAAAGTTTTCATCTACTAATGACCTTGTACCGAAGCCTATGGGAGGGAGTCCAGCTTAATATTGAAGCTGTGTTGGCATCTTAGCACACTCAGATGCAGCATGAGCTTCAGAGCTGAAATTCCAGGTTTAAATCAGGGCATCACTGCCAGGTGTGAGCTCAGATAAACGTCTTAACTCTTTGAGCCTCAATATCCTCATCTATAAAATAGCAATATCAGCATCTCAGAGGTTAGCTTTGTTGGCTTCTTTCTGCAGCAAGCCAGAGATGCAGAGGCTCTGGGTAGCCTTGGTGAGAGAAGGGCAGAACATCACATCCCTTAACTCCATGTAGACCTGGAGATGGGAAAACCTTGTAGACCAAAAAATGCCATTTCATTTGGAAAACTGTGATTCAGGTAAACACCCATCCTAAGCGATGAATGGGGAGATGTGGGTGCAAGTAGACCCTTGGGTAATGTTCTTAGAATAAATGAATGGCCCACGCTCTTTAATTTTTTTATAAATGATTGCTGTCTCTTCCTTTATCTCTTTTGCAGATGAGAAAAAGAAAACAAAGAAAGTTGATAATGAATTGAACCCTGTCTGGAATGAGGTGACTTCATTGTTTTTTCAACTTTGTTTTAATAGATAAGCTATTTCTGATTGTCCTATCTTTGGGTGAGAGGTTACCTCTTCCCTTCGGAAGGAGAATCTCTACATTTCACCCCCACCCACTCCGTTTCCCTTTGTGTTCACCAAGAGAGCAGAGCAGTTCAAGGAGAGTAGCTCACCAGCGACCATCTTCTGTACAGCAGTGGCGCGGCAAGGGAAGCCTGGACTGGCAGGAGAGTTGAGTTCTTACCAGGCACCGCCACGAGCTTGCTGTGTGAGCTTGGTCCACTTATGTTGCATATCTGGGGCACATGTGCAGAGCAAGGGTGGGATTAGATCATCTCCAGAGTCTCAGAAGGAAGGCCTCATAATTAAAAACATGTCTGCATGTGACAAATCAAGAGTGTATCACATGATTCTCTGTGTGTCTAGCTGGGTAATGACATGTATTGGTTTTATGTTGATAAAAGTGATGTCCAGTATGCTTCATGTGGAAACTTTTGAAAACTTCAATTAATCTTTAAAAAATTAACTTGGGTCCCACTCTCTAGAGGCAACTACTATTAACATCTGTGATGTATCACTAAGTGTTTATTGGAGGAATATATTTAATGAAATACGACATCTGATAACACAAACTAGCAGCATATAGCAAATGATTTCCTCTCCTACACTTTCTTGCTATTATATCCTAAGCATATGCCCATATTAATTCAAAATTATTTTAATAATTCAAAAGTATTTTAATTCAAAAGCATAAAATTATTTTAATAATTCAAAAGCATAAAATTCAAAAGTATTTTAATGACTGTGCAATATTCTACTGAAGACATATAACTTATTTACCTCCCCCCACTGTCGACCTTATATCTATTTTAGAAGTGGTTCAGTGTTTAATATTTTCACAAATAAGTGAAAAAATTTAATTCTTCCCACTGAATAGGATTTTCCTACTCTCTCTCTGTCTCTCTCTTTTAAACCACCCAATTATTCATGAAACTTTAACTTTTTAACAGTTGATGGCCAGCTCCATTGTGTTTTTCAAAAGCTGGGTCAAACCTCCCTGGACAAGAGCAATAATGAATGTCTTTGTTATTTTCACCAAGTCACTAGGCCATGAAGGCTCCCCTCCACCCACCCACCTTTCTCTCCCAACTAGTTTCAATATCTCTATAAGATAAAGACTAGAACCTTCTGGGTTTTTTTTTATTTGTTTGTTTGTTTTTGAGATAGGGTCTCCCTCAGGTTGGAGTGCGGTGGCGTGATTAAGATTCAATACTGCCTTGAATTCCTGGGCTCAGGTGGTCCTCCCACCTCAGCCTCCTGAGTAGCTGGGACCACAAGCGTGCACCACACCCAACTAATTGTTTTATTTTTTGTAGAGATGGGCTTTTGCCGTGTTGCCCAGGCTGGTCTTCAACTCCTGAGCTCAAGTGATCCACCTGCTTCAGACTCCCAAAGTGCTGGGATTACAGGTGTGAGCCATTGCGCCTCGCTAGACCTTATTCTTGAATGAAGTGAAACAAAAAACTTTTTAATGCCTTGGGGGTTTTTTTTGTTCTTTTTTTGTTTTTTTGTTTTTTGTTTTTGTTTTTGTTTTTTTGAGATGGAGTTTCGCTCTTCTTGCCCAGGCTGGAGTGCAGGTTGCTCACCGTAACCTCCGCCTCCTGGGTTCAAGCAATTCTCCTGCCTCAGCCTCCTGAGTAGCTGGGATTACAGGCATGTGCCACCACACCCAGCTAATTTTGTATTTTTAGTAGAGATGGGGTTTCTCCATGTTGATCAGGCTGGTCTCGAACTGTCGACCTCAGGTGATCCACCCAGCACCCAAAGTCCTGGGATTACACGCATAAGTCACCACGGCTGGCCTTTTTTTTTTTTTTTTTTTTTTTTTTAATTAAAAAAAGACAGGGTCTCGCTCTGTCACCCAGGCTGGAATGCAGTGGTGTAATCATATCTTACTACAGCCTCGATCTCCCAGGGCCAAGCGATAGCCCTGCTTTAGCCTCCTGAATAGCTGGGACTACAGGTATAAGCCACCATGCCCAGCTAATTTTAAAAAACATTTGTAGAGATTACATCCTGCTATGTTGCCCAGGCTGGTCTTGAGTTCCTGGTCTCAAGCCATTTTCCCATCTTGGCCTCCCAAAGTGCTGAGTTTACAGGCGTCAGCCACTCTGCCCAGCCTTTTTAATGCCTTTCTGAAACGCCCAGCAGGTCTCAGGCAGGTTGAGAGGGAATTCCACTTATCTGTAATTTCCCCAGAATCCAGAACACAGCCAGCTGGACTACAAGCTCCATGAGAGCAAGAGGCCCCTTGGGTTGGTCATTGTGGATTCCTAGCACCTGACAGAACTCCAAGAATAAAGCAAATAAAAAATGCATTTATGTGAGAGTGCTTCCTACTTCAGATTTTGAATCATCCCAACTCATCTCTTCAAATTTGAGATTGAGATCAAGCCACGTGACCAATGGCAGAGAGAGATGTGCTGTCATGCGAGCTGGCATGTCCTCTGCAGGGAATCAGCCATCTTATTCCATTTTGTTTCCAACATGTTTTTTTTTTCTTTCCTTTCATATTGCAGATGTACTTATCAAGTAAACTGTTTTATAATTGAAACCAAACACAAATGAAATGTCAACCCCAAACCCACTGGGATTGCTGGTGCTGGGTGTGTTCTTTTTTTTCTTTTTTCTTTTAAGATGGAGTTTTGCTCTTGTTGCCCAGGCTAGAGTGCAATGGTGCGATCTCGGCTCACTGCAACTTCCGCCTCCTGGGTTCAAGTGATTCTCCTTCCTCAGCCTCCCAGGTAGCTGGGATTACAGGCATATGCCACTACGCCTGGCTAATTTTGTATTTTTAGTAGAGATGGGATTTCACCATGTTGGTCAGGCTGGTCTCGAACTCCTGACCTCAGGTGATCCATCTGCCTTGGCCTCCCAAAGTGCTGGGATTACAGGCATGAGCCACTGCGCCCGGCTCTTTTTTTTCTTTTTTGAGACAGGGTCTTCCTCTGCCACCCAGGCCAGAGTGTAATGGCACAGTCATAACTAACTGCAGCCATAACTAACTGGGCTCAAGCAATCCTCCCCACTCAGCCTCCCAAGCAGCTGGGACTACAGGCACACACCACTGCGCTCTGCTGATTTTTAAATTTTTCACAGAGACAGAATCTAAGTTGTCCAGGCTGGTCTTGAACTCCTTGCCTCAGCCTCCCAAAGTGCTGGAGTTACAGGTATGAGCCACCATTCCCAGGCTGGGTGTGTTCTAAGAGAAGCTCTGAGGCCACGTGTGGTGGCACATGCCTGTAATCCCAGCACTTTGGGAGGCCAAGACGGGTAGATCACATGAGGTCAGGAGTTTGAGACCAGCCTGGCCAACATGGTGAAACCCTGTTTCTATTAAAACTACAAAAATTGTCCAGGTGCGGTGGCTCACGCCTATAATCCCAGCACTTTGGGAGGTCAAGGCGGGTGGATCATGAGGTCAGGAGTTCGAGACCAGCCTGGCCAACATGGTGAAACCCTGTCTCTACTAAAAATACACAAATTAGCAGGGCATGGTGGCAGGCGCCTGTAATCCCAGCTATTCGGGAGGCTGAGACAGGAGAATTGCTTGAACCCGGGAAGTGGAGGTTGCTGTGAGCTGAAATTGTGCCACTGCACTCTAGCCTGGGCAACAGGGCAAGACTCTGTCTCAAAAAAAAAATTAGCTGGGTATGGTGGTACACACCTGTAATCCCCAGCTACTGAGGAGACTGAGAACTTGTTTTTTTTTAGAAGTGCTAAAAATAATTTTTTAAGAAGTTCTGAAACAAGTTTTCCTTCCATTCCAAGCCCACTACAAGGAGGATCAAGTCATCATTTAATTATTACCTAATCAGTCAAAGGCATCAGTGACGCTTTATCAATCTTTTTTTTTTACTTTTGTCATTAGGAAGCAACTTACTGCATTAAAATGAGAGTCTCAGAAAGGTCGGTATATTATAGCATTGACCGACCATGGTGGAACTTAAAATGAGAGGCATTTTAGAAAATGTTTTCTTAGATTATTCATCTTCTTTGTTTGATAGTAGTATGATTAAGAAGAGCAGATAATTTAAAACTAGCCATTGAAGAAAATGTTTTCACATATACCCTGCATTTTATTCTTTTTTAATTTTTTTATTTTTGTTATTATTATACTTTAAGTTCTAGGGTACATGTGCACAAAGTGCAGGTTTGTTACATATGTATACATGTGCCATGTTGGTGTGCTGCACCCATTAACTCATCATTTACATTAGGTGTATCTCCTAATGCTATCCCTCCCCCCTCCCCCCACCCCACAACGGGCCCCAGTGTGTGATGTTCCCCATCCTGTGTCCAAGTGTTCTCATTGTTCAATTCCCACTTATGAGTGAGAACAACACCCTGCATTTTATTCTTGCAGCAGTTGTGGTAGTCGTTGAGTCCAGCTCTTGAGTATGAAGCAGGGGTGTGGTCACCTGGTTGAAGCCACAGAACCTAGAAAGCAGGAAGCCAGGAGTTGTCTACAGGTCCTCTAAGTCGACATCTGGTTTGCTTTCCTGCCCCCTCAGCTGCCTTCAGGTTTAGAATTTAATCATTTCTGCATAACTTCAAAAGATTGTCATTGGTGAAAATAATGACCCAACATGTAGTACTGGTGCATCTTAGTGTAATCTCTGCTCCTTCTAACAGCCTTTTTTTTTCTCTTTTTTCAAAACCTTTCTGTGAACAGATTTTGGAGTTTGACTTGAGGGGTATACCACTGGACTTTTCATCTTCCCTTGGGATTATTGTGAAAGATTTTGAGACAATTGGACAAAATAAGTAAGTTGTTTTCACCTGTTTTTCTCATTTTAGGTATTACTATCTCACTGTTGTTTATTTTGTTGAAGAGACACATCTTTAATAACGTATTATAATACTTCCAATATAAATGTGCTTTAATTCCATGCCCCGCTCCCTTCTAAGCCAATAGCAGATGTGGCTAATCCATCACAGCACTTTTTCCCAATGACTGCTTTTATTCCAAAAAAGCTGCAAACACCGAGCCACCTAGACTAGTTTATCAAACTTGGCACTTAGAGTGAAGCCTGTTCACATGCCTACAACTTCTTGGTCAACTGCACTTCCTACCTCTGGCAGTTTATCTGAACTGTAGTGATATTGGATACAACCCAAATCACTTCTTCTGATTATTTGTGGCCTATACATGTCTCATTCAAGTTTTACTTTCAGCCCCATTTCCATGTTAATGTCTCCTTCGCCTTTTAATCCCAACAGACCTAAACAGACCTTAATCCTTGCCTTACTGCCTCTTTCCTTTCACATGGGGAAGGGTCACGGTGGTGCCCGTGGTGACACTGAGGGTTGTCCTCTGAGTAAAATTGGGAGACTTCCCAAACAGGTTCCCGTGGGACAGAATGATCTTAGTATTAATAAATTCACCCTAGTCCTGGATCTGGACTTTGGCCTTGTAGACCCAGTCGTATGTTACCAATTCAAACTAACCAAGTTCACAAGAGACTAAAGGTTTTTTTCTTTTTTTTGACTCTGTCACCCAGGCTGGAGTGCAGTGGCACAATCTTGGCTCACTGCAACCTTCACCTCCCAGGTTCAAGCAATTCTCCTGCCTCAGCCTCCCAAGTAGCTGGAATTACAGGCGTGCACCACCACGCCCAGCTAACTTTTATATTTTTAGTAAAGACAGGGTTTCACCATGTTGGCTAGGCTGGTCTTGAACTCCTTACCTCAGGTGATCTACCCGCTTCAGCCTCCCAAAGGGCTGGAACTACAGGTGTGAGCTACCGTGCCCAGCTGATACTAATACTTAAAACCAGAATACCTGCTTATTTTCCTTCTGGTGGAAGTCAATTGCCTAGTGACAGGGCATTTCTACCCTCCAACCCATGAATTTTCCTTCAAGTCATACCACATGGGAAGCCAAATTACTTTGTATCCTCGATTTCAAGATGTTATTGTTTATAAAGTATACTATCAAATTAATAAATGGTTAGGGGCCAAAAAAAGCGTGATATTTAATGCCCCCATCAATTGTAAGAAGCATTTCAGTTTTTAGTAATGTTAGTACATTTAAAAATGTATGTCTTAGGCACATCTGATATAATCTGAAGGCTGCAGTGAGAGCAAAAATTTAGGATAAATTAGTTGAGGTAGGTGGTCACATGCTCTGATTGCTTGAGACAGTCCTGGTTTGCTGTCCTAGCACAGTGATTAATAATGCCCCTTTTGCAGTCAACGTGGCTGGGTTTGGACAGTAAATTATTATTATTTTTTGTTTTTGAGATGGAGTCTCACTCTGTCACCCAGGCTGGAGTGCAGTGGCGCAATCTCAGCTTACCGCAACCTCCGCCTCCTTAGTTCAAGTGATTCTTGTGCCTCAGCCTCCTGAACAGCTGGGATTGCAGGCATGCACCTCTCCACCTGGCTAATTTTTGTGGTTTTTGTTTGTTTGTTTGTTTTTTGAGATGGAGTCTTGCTCTGTCGCCCAGGCTGGAGTGCAGTGGCACGATCTCAGCTCACTGCAACCTCAGACTCCTAGGTTCGAGTGATTCTCCTGCCTCAGCCTCCTGAGTAGCTGGGACTACAGGCGTGTGCCACCATGCCTGGCTAATTTTTGTACTTTTAGTAGAGATGGGGTTTTACCATGTTGGTCAGGCTGTTCTCGAACTCCTGACCTCATGATCTGCCTGCCTCGGCTTCCCAAAGTGCTGGGATTACAGGTGTGAGCTACTGCACCCGGCCTATTTTTGTGTTTTTTAGTAGAGATGAGGTTTCACCATGTTGGCCAGGCTGGTCTCGAACTCTTGGCCTCAACTGATCTGTCCACCTCAGCCTCCCAAAGTGCTGGGATTACAGGGGTACAGTAAATTAGATGGTCACTCCAGTTATTGGGGTCTTCTGCTTACCGGCATCAAAATAAGAGAGTCTGCACAGACATGGACTCCCTGGACAGTGCTTTGATAGGCACTCCCATCTTCGCCTTTGATGACATCCTTTTTACCATTCTCTGTTGCTGACCGATGCCCCCTGCATATTTTTCTGTAACTATATAAATACATTCTGGGCCAGGTGTGGTGGCTCATGCCTGTAATCCTAGCACTTTGGGAGGCTGAGGTGGAAGGATCACTTGAGCCCAGGAGTTAGAAACCAGCCTGGGTAACATAGTGAGACCCCATCTCTAAATAAATGAATACATACCTGCATACATTCTAGCAGGTTCTGGTCCCACTCTCTTGCACTGGAAACTATTCTAGCTTTTTAAGTTTCTGTCGCATATCTCAGCTGCGAACTATTATATGATTATTTATTCCCCACCCCAACTCCCAAAAGCCAGTTTTATTTCCCATATTTCAAAGTTTTGGGGAAGGGGAGGAGAGGGGAGGGCCTCACACTAGCCTCCTGCATGTTACTAAGACTAGGCCCTCCTCTTCTTTGCTTTCTTCTTTCTGCAAATGGTACCACTGTTTATATTCTAGACCAGGCCTCTCCAACAGAAATACAGTGCAGGGTGCACATGCAATTTAAAATTTTCTAGTTGCCAGATTAACACAAATATGAAGAAATGGGTGAAATCAATTTTAATAATATATTTAACTCAGCAGATTCAAAATGTTATTTCAACATGTAATCAATGTGTTTGAATCACTGTGATATTCTGCACACATTCTTTCTCTTACTCAGGCTTTGGAATCTGGTGTTTGCTTCACACTTACAGCACCTCTCAATTCAGAGACTTACCACATTTCAAGTGCTCTGTAGCCACGTGTAGCTAGTGGCCACCATATTGGACAGGATGGTTTCAGATCCTGGGCTTAAAACTTCAGACCTCTCTGCACCCTATCCCTCTTGCTTTTTTTTTGAGACAGAGTCTCACTCTGTCACCCAGGCTGGAGTGCAGTGGCGTGATCTTGGCTCACTGCAACCTCTGCCTCCCAGGTTCAAGTGATTCTCCTGCCTCAGCCTCCTGAGTAGCTGGGATTACAGGTGCACACCACCATGCCCAGCTAATTTTTGTATTTTTAGCAGAGACAGGGTTTCACTATGTTGGCCAGGCTGGTCTCAAACTCCTGACCTCAAGTGATCTGCCCACCTTGGTCTCCCAAAGTGCTGGGATTACAGGCGTGAGCCACTGCACCCAGCTCCCTCTTGCCTCTTATCCAGTCTGTCCTCAGATCTTATGTTTTCTTCCTTTCCAAAGTCTGTGCTTGTGCCTGTGTTTCTTCCCCAAGCCCACAGCCACCAGCCTGGTTGAGGCCTTCCTCATTTTATGCCTTATCTATTTTAGCATGGCAATGGGCTGGCCTCAAAACTCTCATCTATGGTTTAAAGTCCTTGCTTTCCTGAAGGTTACGATACTTAAGGAAAGTTAGAAAATAAACAAATACACTAAAAAATATATACATAATATGTCGGGTACCATGAATGCTGTGAGCTAAAGAAGAAACTGTTATATCCCATGAAGAAAAGCAAATCAGAGGAAAAGGGAAAGTTGTCAAGGGTGGGGGGAAAGGAGATCCCATTTTATGTGAGGTGGTGATAAGGTGACAATTGAGCAGAGACCTAAATATAATCACAAAAGTAATTGCAATTTTGCACCAACCTAATATAATGAAGAACTGAGCCATGCAGTTCATTGGGGGGTTAGGGAGTAGGGGGGAAGAATATTCTGGGCAGAGAATAGCAAGTGCAAAGGCCCTGAGGCAGGAGTGCACTGGGGATGCTGGAGAAACGTGAGAAAGGCAGCCAACCTGGGGCACAGTGAGGGTTGAAAGTGCAGGAAGGAGGTGAGGTCAGAGAAACCACAATATATGTGGCTTTGGGGGCCAAGGCACGGGCTTTGGATTTCATCCTAAGTGGAATGAGAATCCGTTAAAAGCTTTTGCTTATGATCTGACATATTTTAAAAGGATCACTCAGGCTTTCTGTGTAGAGACTGGAGGTAGGAACCAGTTAGGAGGCAGGAAAACAATACTGGGAGACCATTATATATTTATTTTAGACCCATTGAAAACACAGTGGGGCCCTCAGATGACAGCAGTGATGGGGAGAGGTCAGCCCCCCACCGTCAGGCTCACCCTGGCACTCATTTCGGGCATTTTTGTGCATTTCTAGAGATAGAGTTTGTTGTAACCAAGTGAGTTATAGAGAAACGTCACACTTTGAGACTAATTCAGGAGTCCTTTATTAGCTGGCGAACGAGAGACAGCTAGCGCTCAAAATTCTCTCAGCCCCGAGGAAGGGGCTAGATTTGTTTTATACCGTGGTCTAAATAGGGAAGGGGGGAGTTTAGCTGAAGCAATTTTTACAGAAGCATAACTGGCAAAAAGTTAAAAAATTAATTGGTTACAAAAGCAGTTACAAAAAATAACCAGTTCCAGGTGTAGGGGCTTAAACTATCACAAAGAGATAAATGCAGGGGCTTTAGGTGCCATCCACCGAGCACGTCCCCAGGAGCTGCTGGTGCAGCTTGCCTCAATGTCTTATCGGTAAGTGCATTCCTGGACGTGCTTTGAGTCAGTTTACACTAGTCATGCCCTTAAGGAAGGGAGGTAAAGGGGCTGTAAGTGAAGGAACTAAAATGGAGTCTGTCTGGCTCTTTCAGCTAAGAGAGACAATCAGGTTAAAACAAGGTAGAGTATCACAAGTTCACGTGCAGTCTATCTGAACCTGCACATTTTCATATTTTTCTGAACCTATGACATGCATAATTCTGAACAAAGAAAATATGATAGGTCCTGTTCTAAGAGGGTCCTTCTAAGGTTCAGGGGCACCATGCATCGTGCTGAGCTATGTTGCACTTGGTGTTATGATGCCTATTGAGTATAAAGACCAAACGAGGCTGGGTGTGGTGGCTCATGCCTGTGATGTCAGCACTTTGGGAGGCCGAGGCAGGCAGATCACTTGAGGCCAGGAGTTCGAGAACAGCCTGGTCATCGTGGTGAAACCCTGTCTCTACTAAAATACAAAAATTAGCTGGGCGTGGTTGTGCACACCTGTAATCCCAGCTCAGGAGGCCAAGGCACAAGAATCACTCGAACCTGGGAGGCAGAGGTTGCAGTGAACTGAGATCACACCACTGCGCTCCAGCCCTGGTGACGGAGTGAGAAAAAAAAAAAAAGACCAAATGAGCACGTGGTTACTCTGATATTATGATGACGGGAATTGTTAGGCATAACAGAAAAAGGTAAATTCTAGGCCAATTATGAAGCTGGTCTTGGTTACTTTTTCAATCTTCCCCCCTCCCATCTTCCATCCCCCTGACATTTGCTGGGCACCCAGTGTCTTTAAGTTTCCTGGCTCCCACTGTGGTACCCGCTGAGGCCTGCCCTCTGAGCCACACCCTGCATCTTCTGCCAATTCTTTTCCTGTACAAAACTTACCTGTCCTGTGGCTCAGTCCTTCAAGGTCCTGCTTCAAGGCACTTTCTGAGAAATTAATCGGGTGATGCTATAATAGCTGCTAATAGTTAATTTCCCGGTAACACTGACTTTTGGACTGAAGGCCATCAGTGACTTACTTGAAGGAGTGAACAAGATGAGAACTTCAGACCCTATGGCCAGGTCATTGGAGGAGGTGTTTTCACTAAAAATTAGAACATTATCTCTCATCCTGCAGATTCCACTGCATAGTTTACTGTCTTGCAGTGGAAGGCCGACCCTGCGTCAGCTCTGTAATGAACAAGGCATGATTTCCTGCCCCTCCACCGCCTCTGCTCTTTTGTAAGCAGTGTGCCTCCCCATCCTCAGCTGGGAATCATGATCATTAGCTTAGTTTCCACCAACTAACCAATACACACACCTTGGTCAGATTACCTGTACATTTCAGAAACAAACTTTTTTTTTTTAACCATCTGGGAATAAACTATATGTGTTTTCAAAATATTTGTGTATTTTGGGCCCAGATTTTCTTTTTGGCTTTTCTACTAAAGTTCTGGCCTTTGAGGATCTGCTTACTGCTCAGTGTGGGACCGCTTCCCTCACCTGAAGTGCAGGGTTGGGGCGGAAGGGTTTTCTACAGCTTAAGGAATGTCCTGCCTGTTGACTTTCCTGTTGCCATGGCGATGGCCTGTGCAAACATGAGCCCTCACTTTGCATCTGCTGCTCCCCGGCCTATTAGCAAACAGTTCCCAGCTGCCTCGGTCAGCTGGGCTCCATGCCCACACCCGCATGGGCTAGACCCAGGCAGTCCCAGGCTCACAGCGCCTGTGGGCAGTGACACCTCCCCACCCCTCAGGCACTGGGAGCGGGTTGCCTTGTTCAGTGTGGACTCTCCTCTTCCTCACTTTACAGTCATCCAACCAGCCATTCAGAGGGAATGAGGGTGAGAAAGGAGACAGAGGAGCCTCTTGGTCACATAAGGAACATGAAATGTTATTTTTTAGAGGAAATGTCAGAGTGGAAAGATTTTCCCAGAGGCTGAAGAATGAAAGTTCCCTTTGCAGGCAGCCAATGGTTATAGCTTTGTGAGGACTTAGCATGTGCCAAGGGCTGTGCCCAGCCCTTTGCATTCATTACCCCAATTGATCCTCACACACACCTCATATGATGGGTCCTATTTTTCCTCAGAGAGGTTTAGTAACCTGCTCAAGGTCACACAGCAGGTGTGTGTTAGAGTCAGCTCATCTATATCCAGGCCTGTACACTTGACTTTTATGTTATACTGAAAGCCTCTGACTACCTATAGTAAACAAAATGTAGGTAGAATGATCAATTATCTCTGCTGAAATAGAAGTGATTTTTCTTCCTAATTTTGACAAAAAAAAATTTAATTCTCAATATCAGTGTATTGCTACCTTTTATAAGCTCCACCCTAGGTAAAAATTTTAAGCATTTTTATACTGTTGAGTAGGAAGTCACTTATGCCTATATTCTGCAATGGACCAGATATATGAAGAGACTATATCTCATCTCATTTGCTCTTCACAGTGACCTTGAGAAGTAGAGAGTAGACTTGAGCCTCAGAGGGGTGGAGGCTGGGACCCTGATCTGTTGGCATCCTGGCCCTACCCTTGAGTTCCTAAAAGTGCCATCTTCAAGAACCTGTACATGTAGAAATAAAAGATATTGACAAGTTTTCAGATTTGTGTGTCTGTGTGTATGCACACGTGGACACACATGCCCAGGAGAAAAAAGAGGTACTGCGTAGAGTTTTTGCATTTGCTGTTCCCTTTGCGTGGAATGCTCCTTCCCTCAAACTGCAATAGATGTAAAATCTTGTCATTGGGCCTCACCATGTCTGATCATCCAGCCTAGAGCAGCCCCTCCCTGTCACTCTTTATCTTATTACTCTGTTTTATTCTTCCAAAGCCCTTCTTATTAGGGAGCTCATGTGAGTGTAAGAATGGGAAAAGGAGTCTGTGTGAGCAAATACATGCTAGAATTGTGTTTTAGACAAGTACTCAGGGTATGTGCTGGTCCACACACCTGCTATATGTAGCTCAGCATTCACCACCATCTGAAATGTTCTTTTCTATTTACTTATTCATTTGTTCTCTCTCTACTGGATAGTAAACTCCATGTCACTCTTGTTCAATGCCGTAAGACCAGCACTTAGCACAGTGCCTGGCATATAGTAGGCTCTAAATAAACGTTTGTTGGATGAATGAGTGAACAAGTGAGTTTATGATGCTCCTACGTGGATGACATTTACCATTTAAGAAGCACCTTGCAGCTGTCCTGTCAGCTCACTGGTAATGGGCCACCAGTGTGGAATCTGTCCACCTCGGCTCTCTGAAACAGCACCCTAGTTCCAACTTGGGTTTAAGCTGCAAAGGGGTCAGGATACAAAGGTCAGAACACAAGAGAAACAAACCTCTCTCACAAAGCTCATGCCATTTTGTAGAGAGATGTGGAACTCAAGGCTGAGCTCACAGGAAGGCAGGAGAGCATGGTATTTGAAAGTTGGGATTCTGGAGCCAGGCAGAAGCCGATTAGAGACCCAGCTCTACTGATTACTAGTGGGTGACCTGGGCAAGTTACTTACCCTCTCCAGGCCTCAGAATTCTCATCCTTAAATTGACTGTAGTTTGGAATTGACTGTAGTTCCGTTATGCTAAGGGATTAGATTTACCCTCCCACCTGACACAACTAAAACAAAATACATGCAACAGTAGTTTTCAGATGTTGGACTTTGCTGGCACAGAACAGTGATCTCTAAGAGATGGGAGATAAATGAGGTGAGCCCTGAGAGTTCCCAGCTTAATGCCTAGAGAGACTCATTTCCATGCTGCAATGCAAGAAAAGGGATCCTTGTTGTCTCCCAGAGTTGGAGAGGTGCAGGTGGGAGTCTAGAGATGCCAAGGTTAGTCTAAAGATGCCAAGGTTACTAGTGGACCAAGAGGAGAGAAACACAGACACACACACACACACACACACACACACAGAGAGAGAGAGAGAGAGAGAGAAGAAAGAGGAGAGAAGAGAGAGGAGAGACAGAGAGAGCACTTCAGAGACTTGCAGAGAATTCCCCTTGAATCTTCAGCTGAGAACTGAGTGAGGAAACTGCTTGAGGCAGGACTAGAAAGAGTTTATGTTCCCGCCAACCGGGGGAAACACCTTGTAATTCATAGGGAAGGATTTTGCCTCCCTAATGTAGGTAGAAAACAATCAATAGAAACTGACCCAGAAATGGCACACAATCAGTAGACATGGACAGTAAAACAAGTATTATAATTCTTTAAAAAAAATTTTTTGTGAGACAGAGTCTCACTCTGTTGCCCATGCTGGAGTGCAGTGGCACGATCTCAGCTTACTGCAACCTCCGCCTCCGGGTTCAAGTGATTCTCCTACCTCAGCCTCTGGAGTAGCTGGAATTACAGGCACACGCCACCATGCCCAGCTAATTTATGTATTTTTTTTACCAGAGACGGGGTTTCACCATTTTGGCCAGGCTGGTCTCGAACTCCTGGCCTCATGTGACCCGCCCCCCTCGGCCTCCCAAAGTACTGGGATTACAGGCATAAGCCACCGTGCCCCGCTGAGTGTTGGAATTCTATTCTATAGATTCAAGAAGGTGGAGAATTGCTTGAGCATGCTAGTAGGGACATGGAAGATAATTTAAAAAAATTAACTTGGACTGCTAGAGATGACAATTACAATGTCTGAAATAAAGTGACCATAATTATCTGTCTCAGAATTTGCATGTCTAGTATTCTTTCTGCCCTCCAAATACATGTACTTGTGCATGCAAAACCACCATTATATATACTTCCACACCAATGCAGAACAAAGTTAGAAACAGTTTCTGAATATAAATCTCAAGCAAGGCATCTGTTTTGCCGTATTGTAGGAAGGAGATAACAAAAAGGCCTGACAATATACCTAGAAGGAAATGTATTCCAGTTCTTGTGTAAGAGGTGTGGGCATGTGGCCAGCTGTACAATCATGAGATTAGACAGAACTTTGGTTTTGCTTCTTGTTGGTTGGGTGACTCTTGGCAAATTTCTTAATCTTTATAATGGGGACTGTGATACTTCCTCAATAAATAGTAGATATAGGGCAAATTTGATATAATTAAGAAAAAATTACTTCAATTTCCTGATGAACAACAAAATAGCTAATTCTTTTCTTCTAGGTTTACTGTGTGTCAGGGACGATGTTAAAACTGTTTCAGTTACAATCGCATTTAATCCTTATATCAACTATGAGTCCGTCAGACAGTCTGATCTTCAACTCACAGATGAGAAAAATGTGGCTGAAAGAGGTTCATTAAATTGTAAAAGGTCACTCAGCTCTTTAAGTGGAAGCATGTGGATTTTACATAGGTATGTTAAAATCCTCTTACACAGAGCCCAGACTTTCCAAGGTTTATTCTGTGTGTGTGTGTGTGTGTGTGTGTGTGTGTGTGTGTGTGTGTGTTCAGGTTGAGGGCCAGGGTGCTAAAACTTGAAAGTGAGAGGTTGTTCGGGGGAATATAGAATTAAAGGAAAAGGATATAGAATTAAATAAAAAAAGGAAAAGACCTAGCTTACGTTGTGAAATGTACTAACTCTCGGCCGGGCACGGTGACTCACGCCTGTAATTCTAGCACTTTGGGAGGCCGAGGCAGGTGGATCACGAGGTCAGGAGTTCGAGACCAGCCTGGCCAACATGGGCAAACCCCCGTCTCTACTAAAAATACAAATATTAGCTGCGTGTGGTGGCAAGCGCCTGTAATCCCAGCTACTCGGGAGGCTGAGGTAGGAGAATCGCTTGAATGCAGAAGGCAGAGGTTGCAGTGAGCCGAGACCGTGCCATTGCACTCCGGCCTGGGTGACAGAGTGAGACTCTGTCTCAAAAAAAAAAAAAAAAAAAAGATACAAAAATTAGCCAGGCATGGTGGCGGGCACCTGTAATCCCAGCTACTCCAGAGACTGAGGCAGGAGAATCGCTTGAATTCAAGAGGTGGAGCTTGCAATGAGCTGAGATTGCACCACTGCACTCCAGCCTGGGCAACGGCGTGAGACTCCGTCTCCAAAAAAAAAAAGAAATGTACTAACTCCCTAGCTTGTTTTAAATTAGAAAAAACAAAAGACTGCGTTTGGAATAAAATTAATTTGGTAGGGCAAAGTGTGGTATTGCTTATAAGACGTTTTTCATTCCCTAGTATATGAAATACCTTGTCTTTAAGCTTTTATTACTTTTATTTCTCCTAGTTATAAAGCTCATTTCTGACCTTGCCCCATGTAAATGTGACAGTGGGAGAAGGTGGTCTTTCTTCTCCTGGGGTTGGTTGGTGAGGAAGGATAGGATAGCCCATGGATTGAAACAGGTTCTTCTCACTGGAGTAGCTTCTCAGGCTGTACAAAAATCTAAACTAGAAGCAGATGTTACTGTGGGGCAGAACTCTCAGTTCTGATTTCTTTTTAGTTCTGTATTAGAGCAATGACACTGAAATGATCTGAGCTGGTTTGGGCTGGCTGTCTCTATACGGGGAGAGGCTGAACTGCACTTTTTGGAAGGCAGATTAAGTAGCTGCTGCAATCCTGTTGGTATCTGTTAAGATCTTGTGATTAAATAAGATTGGGCCACAGCCCTGGAGAAAGATACCCAGAGAGGCTGAAAGAGAAAGGCATCTCATAAAGGCAAGAGCTGTAATTATCTTCTGATGGCTCTTTGGCGGGTGATCTCTTAGGACAGGAAGATTTACAACCTGTAAATAATTTGCAAGGTCATTGGACTATCTTCAATGATGTATCAGCTAATTTATTCATGCCACAAATATTTACTAATGCCTACTATGTGTCAGACACAGCTCTAGACACTGGGGGTACTCCATACCTTTTATGGAGCTAACATCTGAGTAGAGGGAACAGATAAATACACATATGACATAACAGATGGTGATAAGTGATACGAAGAAAATAAAGGAAGGTAAAGGAGAGAAAACAGCAGGGTGAGGTCTGAGTGGGTGCTGGTTTAGATAGGGTTGTTGTATAAGGGTTTGTTTTGGGGGTTTTTTTTTTCGAGACGGAGTCTTGCTCTGTCGACAGGCTGGAGTGCAGTGGCACAATCCCGGCTCACTGCAACCTCTGCCTCCCGGGTTCAAGTGATTCTTCTGCCCCAGCCTCCCGAGTAGCTAGGACTACAGGCGCCCGCCACCACGCCCGACTAATTTTTTTATTTTTAGTAGAAATGGGGTTTCACCATATTGGCCAGGATGGTCTTGATCTCTTGACCTCGTGATCCACCTGCCTCGGCCTCACAAAGTGCTGGGATTACAGGCATGAGCCACTGCACCCAGCCTGGGGAATCTTTTATAATGGGTTATGAAGTTTACAGACTTCATTCAGATTCCACTAAATTGGATTTTATGAGAATTCAGCTGCAGCTGACATTTACCTCTGGTCTAACTCTGAAAAGAAAAATTGTTTCCCAAAAGGATTTGTGGTATATGTAGTATTAAGGGTGGGGAAGGGCTATTTAATGTAGGTAAGATAAAGAACTGGTTTTAAGAACTTTACATAGTGATTACATAGAAATGGATGTGGGTAGTTACAAAGGGTTCTTATCTATTCATTCATGCCCACCTGCCCAGCCCCCTGCTGATTCAGACCAGCTTTCACTGCCAAGTACTAGCCAGGAGCCCTGTCTTCATATGCTTTTTATACATCTCTTTTTCTAGCATAGTGTCTGAAATAATAATACAAGGTGACTGTTAAGCACTTGCCATATCATCCTTTTAATCCCTGCAACAATACCATTAAGTAGGAGCTGTCATTATCCCCATTTTATAGATGAGGAAACTGAAGCTCGGAGAAGTTAACCTGTACGCAGCCTGAGTCTGAATTAGTCAGGCCTGCCTGCCTCCACGTTCCTAGTCATCAGGCAAAGCTGTCCCTCCTTATCTTACAAGGTTCAAGTTCATGAAAGAGTGAATAAATGGATGGATGAAAAAACTACTACTTTGATTCTAACGGTTGAGGGAATTAACTGGAGACAGAGCATCGGAACTCCACTGAACCATCAGAGCAGGCAGGCAGGCAGGCAGGCACAGAATTGGTCAGGTGAAAATAACAAAATAGCAGGTGACCATTTCTTCAAGAAATAATATTCAGCATCTCCTCCATGCCAGAGGAGTTAGCCTGCTCCTCGCAGCCACAGACTCTGGCCTCAATGCCTCACTGACCCGGAGGGCTTTGGTGAGGAGACCTGGGCTTCCACTCAGCCCTTTGCAGGTGTTACCTGCAAAGGTAACAGTGATACCATAGTGGCCAGAGTTGCAGAGGTGGGAGGGGCTGGGAAAAAGAGCACAGTAGATGCTGGCCACGAAAATCGTGCAAATCCTGCCACAGCCTTCAGGCTATGTCAGTGATTCCAAAACCAGGGCGTGGAGTGAGCTAAAAGTAGAGGCGAGACTTGTGCCAGCCAGGTTTGGGAATCACGGTTGAGGATCAGTGTTTCTACCTTTTAAAAAGCCACACCCCCTTTCGATGAGCAGGAAAAGAGCCGCAAGGTTCTCTGGCAGTCCTGGCCTGGAGTCAGGAGCGGAAGTTCCTGGGGGGAGCGCAGGTCACTAGGCCTTCCTAGGAGGTTTTCATGGAGTTTGCCTGCTACAGTTTGTTCTATTAAATAATTGGACTTCGATGCGTGGTTCTCAAACGTGAGCCTGGATTCCCATGCTGAATGTTTTCAAAACCACTCAAGCCCCCCTCTCCCCAGATCCCGCGTTGCCTTCTGCCTTCCCTATCCCTAGCCCTCTACCTCCTCCACTTTACTCCCACAGCCATTGGGA
This sequence comes from Homo sapiens, assembly GCF_000001405.40. Taxonomy (NCBI): domain Eukaryota; kingdom Metazoa; phylum Chordata; class Mammalia; order Primates; family Hominidae; genus Homo; species Homo sapiens. Next base: position 93,438,642 of record NC_000010.11, on the reverse strand, counting down.
GTCACTGTCTAGACCATTGTTTCTCGGACTTCCTGGGTATTAAGAATTACCGAAAGGAAAAAGTCGGACTCAGGGATCTGGGAATCTGCAGACGCCCTGGTGAGGGACGTCTGGGGAAGCACATTCTGAGAAATGTTTTGGGAGACGATGCGGAGGCCGAGTGAGGGTGGGCGGGCAAGTGCAAGTGGAGGGGTGAACCGAGGCGCAGCCCTTTGCGGGGATTTTACCTTAGCAATAGTTTCCTGTGATACGAGCTGCTGCCATGGGCGTGTTGAGAAAGAATTATTCAGTGACACCTGGTACAGTATGGGCAGGAAGGCTTCATTCAGGACTGAGTTAGCTCAAGTGACCCCTGCAACGGAGACTCGTGGGAAGGAAGAGAGATGGGGTGCCACTCAGATACAGCATGGGCAAGTAGGAATTGATAGCCAAGGAGGAGTGTGGGGGGTCAGTGGATGGAAAATTCCTAAGAGGAAATGTCACAGTCAGGGGGATTCTGGCTAACCCAACCTAACAGGATTCTTGCTGAGGACATCACGTGGGGGATGGCAGAGAATGAGAAACCCGATCAGATATGGAGGGTGATCAGATCTCACGGATGGGGGTTGTTTGCTAAACTGACCGAGTAGGATTCTCTGCTAACACTGGATTTCATAAGGAAGCACAGGCTTAGGAGGAGGCTCAGGAGCTCCACTCAAGTTTGGCCAAGCAAAGACTCTTTGTCAGCTGACACGGCGTCTCCTACCAGTCTAGTTCACAGGGAGCATCCTTGGCTCTCCTGCCTTTTGGCGGGGGATCAGGGCAGGAGCTTGACAGATACTGGCCCAGGAGAGGGAGAAGTGCTGGGGAGGGAGATGGGGTCCAGCCTTGGAACCCCAGGGCCATAGGCCTGCCAAAATGACAAGGCACGGCCAACTGAGAGCCCCTGCTTCGAGGGTGGGAAGCTCACCATCTTTTTAGGTTTCCTACAGGGGACCTAGGAGCAGCCTGGAATCGTGTTTGTCCCCAGTCAGGTTGGGATTGCTGTTCCTGCTTAGAGGTCGGGAAGTTGAGACCGTGCTGCGATCTCTAGAGGCAGAAACAGTGCAACATGTGATTTATTTCTCAGCCTCCAACACATTTTTTCCTTCCTTCATGAAGGAATTTCCAAGTTACTCCTCCTCCAGAAATCATGTGGGCTGTGTCTCTGCTGCATAGAGGAACAACTTCGTATACGTGAGCTCCCCTGAGTAAGAGTCAGCCGGCAAAGCCCTTACTCACTCCAGAGGCATGCGGCCCTTCACATTTGCGCCGTGCTAAAGGGGAGAACATTTTCCATTTCTCTTTTGTAAACAAACTATACTCTGTCTATTTTAAGAAGAAGAAGAAAGAAGAAAAAAAAAACAGTTTAAGCGGCTCTTAACCAATACTTGCAAGACTAAGTTGACTGGTTTACAATTAAACTCTTTCATTCCCCCAATCATAACATCTCATTTTCAAGTAGTTGCTCCCATTGTGTAATATTTGATGTCACATAGAGACTCGACTCCAAACTCTATGACATTCGTGGGCTGAAAGACAAAGGAGCATGACTGGCTTTTTCTTCACTTTGAAGACATCTGCAGTTTATTAATTCCACAAGGAAAGCTGGAGGGCCAGAGGACGTCGAGATTCTTTCACTAAAAAATTTCCTTTTGAGACAGTAGTCCTGTTTTAGTGTTGGTTGGAGTTCATGGGGAGACTTACTTTTCCATGAAAATATAGAGCAAGGCTTCCCCCTCACTGTCACACTATAATATTCTAGCATTTTTATAGCATTAGTAATAGAAAAGAAAAAAGACTCTTGGTTTAGTGTCACCTCCTTTAAAGGAAATTGGCTTATGGTCAGACCAAACTGTTCTTATCCCCTGTGTAAGAGGCCAAGTCATCATTTCCCAGTTTTTCACAGTATTTTGTATCCAGGCAACGTCACAGAAAATAGGCCCAGCCAGGAGTGCTCTGGGAGTCACTGCAGAGCTCAGACTTATCCATGGGGCGTATTTTCTTCAATTCACAATGAAAACTCCTAGAAGTTCTGTTTGAATTTTTCCTGAAGTCAGCTTGTTGTAAAAATGTTTTTGGGATTAAAGTCTTTGCAGGCCGTCATCTAAACACACTATCTTTACTTCAGAAAAAATAATAAATAAATAAATCCAGTTTTCTTTTATGTGTCCCCCCTACAAAAGCATCAGAATTTTAGGAGAAAGCAAATCTTTCTTTCCAAATAGGATATGGAACTAAAGATTTCTAAAAGAAGAAATTGAGGTTAGCCTTTATAATTGGTTTCTGTTATTTTACTCCCTTCCTGGTCAGTGATCTGTTACTACCCTCTCTGGGGGAAGGGAAACTAGCGGATACTGATTGGGTCAGAATGGAGGTTGTAAAACCACTCAAGGCCATAAAAGGTCAGCAGGAAGGCTTTGTGTTTTAGGTAAGCCTGCTCTTTCCAGTTAACCATAAGCCCCACTATTGTATTACATAGCACGAGTTGCATTCCACATTTCTGTTATTGGCCTAACCTTCTCTCCTGACACTCTTGTGTGAATTCTAGTTTGATTCACGACATTATAAGACAATCTCTTTGAAGGCAGAAACCCTGCCTAGCATTCTAGATGGTCTAACACGAACATGTTCTAGGAGATTTTTTTCCCTCTAAATTAGAGAGTAGGACTTTAAAAAAAAAAAGAGAGAAAATAATTTATTATTATTATTATTATTTTTGAGACAAGGTCTTGCTCTGTTGCCCAGGCTGAAATGCAATGGAACATTCACGACTCACTCAGCCTCCCAAGTAGCTGGGGCTACTGGTGTGAGCCACTACAACCAGCTAATTTTTCATTTTTTGTGTGTGCCAAGGCTGGTCTGGAGCTCCTTGGACTCAAGTGATCCTCCTACCTCAGCTTCCCAAAGTGGTGAGATGACAGGTGTGAGCCACTGCACCTGGCCAGAAAAGAAATATTTAACATTAGATAGTTTCCTGTAGACATATATAGAAAGCATCACATATACAAGCCTAGCAACAGATTGTTAGAGCTGGAAAGCATTTGAGAAATTTTTTGCTTCAATCCACTTGTTTGCAAATAACGAAGAGTTGGGTGACTTAGCCAAGTACTTCAAGAAAGTGGGGACACAGAGTTATGAATAGAACAGGAGTTGTTTTCAACCTGGGGCAGTTTTGCCCTCCAGGGAACAACTGGCAATGTGCCTCGAAGTTTTTGATGATCACAAATGGTATCTAGCTGAACAGTATAGCCTCCCATAAAAATAATTAACGGGTTCAAAATGTCAGTAGTGCTGAGGTCGAGACACGCTGGTCCAACCCCAGGCTGGCCCTCTTTCTACTTCAGCATTGTCCCAGCATGTTGCACTGTTTGTTCTAAGATTTGTTTATTGATGACAGAGATTCAGGTCATTTTGACTTTAGCAGAAGCAAATCAGTACATATTCAAGTGTGCAGTGTTGCTGTCTTAGTCCTAGGGTTAGGCTATGAATTATGAAATTGCAAGGAATGAAGTCCAGTTTGTTTCCACATCTTTCATCGCATTTAGACATTTAATACCAGTTGGATGACTTTTAAACCTCTAGTTTTTACGTTTTGATTTTCTTGAAAACTCAATTTGCTGATTTCATGACTTAAAAACCATGGAAATAAATTCTCCTTAATACTCGTGCTGTGTGGCTGAGAGAGATGTGGAAGAGATTTTCGGGGCTTTCACCTTGTTTGGAGGCTCATCTGTTTTGTCTGGTGGAGATGGAGTAATGGGTGTCTTCAGTATGTCACGGGAATAAAAATCTAAGTAAGGAGAAAAAAAATACTCCTGTAAAAAAGCCTAAAAAACATACTGATCTAAAAACATACTCTGTAAAATTCCCATCCAATCTTTTTTTCTGTTAATGTAAAAGATAGTTTTATTTTTAAAATTTCCTTAAAAGATAATTTATTGTTTTGAGAAAAAAATAATAACAATAAATTATGGTTTTGTAACATGTAGAAGTTAAATGTATGACAGCAGCAGGAAAAGCAATAACAACAACAAAACAGGAGAAAATTCCCACCAATTCTCAGCATTGACTGAGAATTAATTTCTGTATTGACCAAAAAGGGCTGAAAAGTTCCCTATTGTCCCTCTGGAGGCAAAAATTTTCTTTTCCATTGCCAACTACAGATTCTTTTTTGTTTTTTTTTTTTTTTTTGAGACAGGGTCTTGCTCTGTTGCCCAGGCTGGAGTGCAGTGGCCTGATCTTGGCTCACTGCAACCTCTGCCTCACGGTTCAAGTGATTCTCCTGCCTCAGCCTCCCAAGTAGCTGGGATTACAGGTGCGCACCACCACACCTGGCTAATTTGTTGTATTTGTAGTAGAGACGGGGTTTCACCATGTTGGCCAGGCTGGTCTTGAACTCCTGGCCTCAAGTGATCCACCCACCTTGGCCTCCCAAAGTGCTAGGATTACAGACATGAGCCACCGCACCTGGCCCCAACTACAAATTCTGCTTGTGATATTAGAAGGGATGAGAGTCCATCGCAGTTGTTGATCGTCTTGTGTGGTGTTCTTTACAAGAAAGTGCACTTTTCCAAGAAACCATGTACAGGGGGCTCCTGTCATTGGGTAAATTGGGTGAAACAGGGTGCTATAGCAATTTCCTGGTCTTGTGCAATATCCTATTCATAGAAAGTGAAGGCACTTATTAATATTGCCAAGTCTCTGGACCTATGTGGTTGGGTTACAGACCCCAGCGTTAAAATCTAGTCCTATTTCTGAAGACTGAAGAGGATTGGGGAGAATAATACAGTTGCTGCTAACATCTATCACTTCCAAAAGATGTGCCTATGCTGCCATGTGGCGTACCCGGAGCACCTCTGAGAAACAACTTTTACTTTCTAATTTTTAAATATACTGTATTATATTTTAAAATAAAATGCATTTCCACAAGATGAATTTTCCTGATTATCATGTTTGCCCAAAAGCCCAGAGTTACATAGAAATGTTCAATTACAGTTTCCTCACCCGGATATTTTGGCATAAGGAATCTCTTCTATCACTTTAAGGACTCAATGTTTAGCTTTCTATTTTTATGCTAATGATTTTCTATGTTATCTGCTAGTACAAGTCAGTGCCGATGTAGACAGGATATAAGTAAGTAACAGTTAAAAATTCTAAATATTGGGCCAGGCGCGGCGGCTCACGCCTGTAATCCCAGCACTTTGAGAGGCTGAGGCAGGTGGATCACCTGAGGTTGGGAGTTCTAGACCAGCCTAACCAACATGGAGAAATCCCATCTCTACTGAAAAAATACAAAATGAGCTGGGCTTGGTGGCGCATGCCTGTAATCCCAGCTACTCGAGGGGCTAAGGCAGGAGAATTGCTTAAACCCGGGAGGCGGAGGTTGTGGTGAGCTGAGATCACGCCGTTGCACTCCAGGCTGGTCAATAAGAACGAAACTCCATCTCAAAATAAATAAATAAATAAATAAAACATTCTAAATATTTCTTCTGTCCGTTTTCGGGATACATACTGAAAGCATGTGACTCTCTTGTCTTTCTGATTGGATTTCACACAAGGAACTTCCTCGCTTTACCTACTCTCATTCATGTTTCATGTTATAACCCCAATTTACAGGCTCTTTTTCACAGGTTACATTTTTATATAGACTGGCTAATGTGTGTTCTATATGTGTTTTTGATCATGTTCCCCAACTATAAAAATGTTTTGAGTATTAATTCTCAATATATGTAGACTTATTTATTCTTTCCTTCATTCAGGAACCTGCTGTTAAGTATCTACTATAATCTGGTACTGTGTTAGAGTAGTGAGTAAAACAGGCAAGAATCCCTGAGTCGAGGGGGCTTTCCTCATGAGCAGAGACATGAGGGTACTTCTGTACCAATATGTTAGGTATGATAGGAGATAGATGGGTAAGTGGCAGAGGCTGATATTATCCACCAAGTTCTAGGAAGAGAGAAGTACACACACTGAACGTTTGAATGCTGCACCATCAAACAGGGGACAGCAAGCTAACCCTATCAGTGAACTAGCAACCTATTTACAACCCTAGAAGGTCTACTTGGGGGGATATTTTCACAGTGGGCAAAGATTTATGGGTCCTTTTACATTTCTATTACAGAGAAATGCCTTCCTCTCTTACTGAATTTTGTCCTACTTTTCTCTCTTCCTGGATTCTGGCGGGGGGTAGTGGGGTGCTATATTTAGTCTTTCTTTTTTCTTTTTCTTTTTTTTTGAGACAAGGTCTCACTCTGTCGCCCAGCCTGGGTACAGTGATACAATCATAGCTCACTGCAAGCTCAACCTCCTGGGTTCAAGTGAGCTTCCCATCTTATTCTTCCATGTAGCTGGGATTACAGGCATGCATCATCACACCCCATTAATTTTTTAACTTTTTGTAGAGATGGGGTCTCATGATCTTGCCCAGGCTGGTCTCAAACTCCTGGACTCAATTGATCCTTCTACCTCAGCCTCCCAAAGTGCTGGGATTTCAGGCATAAGCCACTGTGTCTGGCCACTCTATTCAGTCTTTACCTCTTGCCCCTCTATCTCATTCATGACTGTTGAAATTTCAGGCTGAGAGTGGTGACTCACGCCTGTAATCCCAGCACTTTGGGAAGCTGAGGTGGGCAGATCACCTGAGGTCAGAGTTCAAGACCACCAGCCTGGCCAACATGGCGAAACCCCATCTCTAGGAAAAATACAAAAATTAGCTGGGCGTGGTGGTGGGTGCCTATAATCCCAGCTATTTGGGAGGCTGAGGTGGGAGAATCACTTGTACCTGGGAGGTGGAGGCTGCAGTGAGTGGAGATCACCCCAGTGCACTCCAGCCTGGGTGACACAGCAAGAGTCTGTCTCAAAAAAAAAAAAAAAAAGAAAAGAAAGAAATTTCATAGGCACCAGAGTTTGACTCTTGTAATGGAGAAGTGATGGCAGATATGTTTACTGCCAAAATGCCCTGCGAGGCTAATAGCAAAATGGCCCACATCTCATTATAGTGACTTCAATGATTTAACAGATGAAGAGGTAGGGGTTGAGAGGTCCTGAGTCATTGGAAGCCTATCTCCTACTTAGGCTGCTATGTGCTTTCCTGTTTTCCCTGCAGATTAATTGGCACGGCGACTGTAGCCCTGAAGGACCTGACTGGTGACCAGAGCAGATCCCTGCCGTACAAGCTGATCTCCCTGCTAAATGAAAAAGGGCAAGATACTGGGGTGAGTGTTTTCTCTCTTATTGAATGGCTTTGAAGTGAGATGATTGAGCAAAATTTCATTAAGAAAAAGGTCTAAGGCCGGGCGTGGTGGCTCACACCTGTAATCCCAGCACTTTGGGAGGCCAGCACTTTTGGGTGGATCACCTGAGGTCAGGAGTTCGAGGCCAGCCTGGCCAACATGCCGAAACCCCATCCCAACTAAAAATACAAAAATTAGCTGGGCATGGTGGTTGGTGTCTGTAATCCCAGCTACTTGGGAGGCTGAGGCAGGAGACTCGCTTGAACCCAGGAGATGGAGGTTGTAGTGAGCCGAGATCATGCCATTGCACTCCAGCCTGGGTGACAAGAGAGAAACTCCATCTCAAACAAAAAAAAAAAAAAAAAGAAAAGAAAAATGTCTAAATTGTCAGAACCAATTGGTAAAAAAGAAAAAAGAAAAGAAAAGGAAAAGGTATCAATTGGTAATTAGCTAACCACACACACAAAAAATCTGGTTTTGAGATTTTTCTGGTGATCTTTCTCAAGTGTGTGTGCTTTAAATAAAAAACTGGGCCCGTTTGCAAACGACATGGACCTTATTTTATACTTTCAATCACAGAACTAGCAAATTTGATAGATTTGATTTTCTATGAGATAATTCTATAGAGTGAGGGTGACCCCCTCTAGGTGTAGCTCTGTGCTTAGCCATGTGGGTGTTAACATTTGTGTGGTTATGTATAATTCTGTGTGTCAGATATTCTTTGAAACATTCTGTAGAAGGCAGTTCATTGACATAAGCTTGGAATATGAAGACTGTAATATCATAATCTTTTTTTTTTTTTTTTTTTGAGATGGAGTCTCACTCCGTCACCCAGGCTGGAGGGCAGTGGCATGATCTCGGCTCACTGCAACCTCTGCCTCCTGGGTTCAAGTGATTCTTCTACCTCAGCCTCCTGAGTAGCTGGGATTATAGGCACGTGCCACCATGCCCAGTTAATTTTTATGTTTTTAGTAGAGATGGAGTTTCACCATATTGGTTAGGCTGGTCTCGAACTCCTGACCTCAGGTGATCCTCCCACTTCGACCTACCAAAGTGCTGGGATTACAGGCATGAGCCACCACGCCTGGCCTCATAATCTTTATTACATTGGGTGCTGGATGTTTTCTGGTCACAGCCTCTCTCAATAAGTACATCTTGCTGGGCGCGGTGGCTCACGCCTGTAATCCCAGCACTTTGGGAGGCTGAGGCGGGCGGATCTTGAGGTCAGGAGATCCAGACCATCCTGGCTAACATGGTGAAACCCCATCTCTACTAAAAATACAAAAAATTAGCCAGGCATGGTGGCACGTGCCTGTAGTCCCATCTACTTGGGAGGCTGAGGCAGAAGAATCGCTCGAATCCAGGAGGCCGAGGTTGCAGTGAGCCAAGATCGCGCCACTGCACTCCAGCCTGGGCAACAGAGCAAGACTCCATCTCAAAAAAAAAAAAATTAAAAAAATAAGTACATCTTAATATTTTCTGATGCAAGACCAGAATTCTCTTTCTCTAGTGCATGTGCTTTAAAAAAAAATGACTCAAGTGTCGCAAGTCCCAGATTTCATATAATTAATAAGAAGCACTCATAAAGATACTGTACTTGGCCCATAACTTCCAACCCCTTCATTTTCCAATCAATTTATTTTTCTTGGGAGCCTGGGCAAAGGGAGAGAAATTTACATTAAAAGATGCAGTCCCTGTAAGCAAAGCTAGGCTCTCAACAGCCATATGAGAGAAAGGCAGTTTTGCTGATCTGGTCTCTAAAACTTATAGATTTGCCACAAATCAGCATTGTAATCAAAACACACATTTAAAATGTTGGCTATCATCTGTTTACCCAAAACCTAGCTGAGAGAAATGATTCTGAGGAAAGATGGTATAAGTCAATGATTTTTCTGCCTTCTTTTTTTAAAGCACAGAAGAAAGCATATGTAGACCCCTAGAATGGCAGAACTGTTGTGATTCAGTGGAGTGTGTTAGTCCATTTGGCACTGCTATAAAGGAATACCTGAGGCTGGGTAATTTATAAAGAAAAGAGGTTTATTTGGCTCACAGTTCTGCAGGCTGTACAAGCATGGCACCGATATCTGCTCAGCTTCTGGTGAGGCCTCAGGAAGCTTTTACTCGTGGGGGAAGGTGGAGAGGAAGCAGGCGTGACACATAGTGAGAAAGGGAGCAAGAGAGAAGAGGGGGAAGGGGCCAGACCCTTTTTAATAACCAGACCTTGCAATAACTAATAGAATGAGAACTCACTCATTACTGCAAGAATGGCACCAAGCCCTTCGTGAGGGATCCGCCCCCATGACCCAAAAACTCCCACCAGGGCCCAACTCCACTATTGGAGGTCACATTTCAACATGAGATTTGGAGGCAACAAACATCTGAACCATATCATGGAGTAAGGAAAGTAAATGGCCTCAAGCCCTGCCCCCTGTAATTCCTCTTACCCTTTTGGGGGTCCCTGGAGCACCTCTGGGAATCCTGAGGTTATAGAACACAGCATGAAAACCACAGATCAAGGGGGTGGTTGTCTGTGTGTTCTTCTAGGTTTGAAAAGTTTGATTCTTAGATTCAGTTTAGCAACTAAGCCCTTCAGTGCTCCCTGCGTTCAGCCATGAGATGCTGCTCTTATGATTCTTTGTGTGCTGTGAAACTGTGGCTAGGGTCGTATTCCTTATCCTGTTCAGTCCCTTCCAGAGCAGTAGTTCCAAGACACACGATGTGCCAGTATATGAGGGAGTATTCACTGATGAACAGAAAAATGGAAAAAGGGCAATGCACTGTGTGTGTGTGTGTGTGTGTGTGTGTGTGTGTGTGTGTGTGTGTTTACCAGATGTAGGAAAAGTGGCAAATGAAAGCATAGGATGTGTATTTAAATTCACATACAGGCTGGGCAAGGTGGCTCACGCCTATAATCCCAGCACTTTGGGAGGCTGAGGTGGGTGGATCATCTGAGGTCAGGAGTTTGAGACCAGCCTGGCCAACATGGTGAAACCCCGTCTCTATTAAAAAAAAAAAACAAAAATTAGCTGGGCATGGTGGCACGTGCTTGTAATCCCAGCTACCCAGGAGGCTGAAGCAGGAGAATCACTGGAACCCGGGTGTGAGGCGGAGGCTGCAGTGAGCTGAGATTGTGCCATTGTGCTCCAGCCTGGGCAACAGAGTGAGACTCTGTCTCAAAAAAAAAAAAAAAAAATTCACATAAAAAACGAATAATTTCTCAGTGTAACTATGTCCTAAATATGATGTCCTGTCCAGATGTCCAGATTTTATCTGGTCACCTTGTGTGTGTGTGCATATGTGTGTGTGTACGTGTGTGCCATCCTTATTTGCAAAGGACTCCCTTTATTCTGAGGTTTGTCTCTTCTCATTTTTGGTGTTAAAATGCCTCTCTTTTATAAAATGATTGTGATAGTAGATGATAGTTGTGGGCAGGTGTTTGGCAAAATACAAGTTAGCAACCCAATGTCGATTTCCCCTAGCAAATTGTTTGAAATTTTGTGGGTCCATGAAATTAAAAAGTACTGTATACAGCAAACTCTGCCCTAAAATAATGCTCCATGTGAGAAATTGATCTCAGCTCTTATAAGTAGGAATAACATTGTCTCTTGTAAGGAACTAGTATGTTTCCTTCTGTTGGTAGTGAAAGCTACATAATGTTTTCAGTTTCCCTTTTCATTTGGCTCTAGGCATTTCGGAGGTCACAGATTATGCAACAGAAATGGCAATTATATTTAACTTTATGGTTTGCATATTTGTTTCCTCTTTAGCCAGATTCAATTCTCCTTTTTTTATCCTATTTTATGAATCACAACTTTATATACATGTTTTGTTAGTCACTTTTTTTTTTTTTTTTTTTTTTGAGACGGAGTCTAGCTCTGTCACGCAGGCTGGAGTGCAGTGGCACGATCTTGGCTCACTGCAACCTCCGCCTCCCGAGTTCAAGAGATTCTCCGGCCTCAGCCCCCTGAGCAGCTGGGATTACAGGCACCTGCCACCAAGCCCAGCTAATTTTTGTATTTTTAGTAGAGATGGGGTTTTACTGTGTTGGCCAAGCTGGTCTCAAACTCCTGACCTTGTGATCCACCCACCTTGGCCTCCCAGTGCTGGGATTAAAAGTGCAAGCCATTGCACCCAGCCTTGTTAGTCACTTAAAGTTCTCTCTGTTTTTTTTTGTTTTGTTTTGTTTTGTTTTAAGACAGAGTCTCCCCGGGCACGGTGGCTCATTCCTGTAATCCCAGCACTTTGGGAGGCTGAGGTGGGCAGATCACGTGGTCAGGAGATCGAAACCAGCCTGGCCAACAAGATGAAACCCCATCTCTACTAAAAATACAAAATATTAGCCGGGCATGATGGTGCACGCCTGTATTCCCAGCCATTCGGGAGGCTGAGGCAGGAGAATTGCTTGAACCCAGGCGGCAGAGGCTGCAGTGAGCCGAGATTGCGCCCTGCACTCCAGCCTGGGCGACAGAGTGAGACTCTGTCTCAAAAAAAAAAAAAAAAAAAAAGACAGTCTCGTTCTTTTGCCTAGGCGGGAGTGAGTGGCACGATCTCAGCTCACTGCAACCTCCGCCCCCTTCAGGTTCAAGCAATTCTTCTGCCTCAGCCTCTGAGTAGCTGGGATTACAGGTGCCTGCCACCATGCCCAGTTAATTTTTGTATTTTTAGTAGAGACAAGGTTTCGCCATGTTGGCCAGGTTGGTGTCGAACTCCTGACCTCAGGTGATCCACCCGCTTCGGCCTCCCAAAGTGCTAGGATTACAGGCATGAGCCACCGTGCCCAGCCCTAAAATTCTTCTTTAAAAAGAAGCATGAAAATAAATCTCAGCAATTCATAATGAAATAAGCAATGAGCAAACAAATAAATTAATCATTTACAGTGACCCTCTGTAATTGTAATTCTGTGATGGGAGGGCATCTCCAGTCTAGGATGGAGGTGTGTGACAATTCACACCTGCTTGTCACAACTTTACTCTGTTGATGAGGTGGCCCCTTAGCAAGGATACACTTGGCAACCTGTGACAGGGAGCTACTTCCCCACCCTGCCTTGGCTGTCAGTGGGAGGATAGGAACAGTCGAGCTTGTGTCCCTCTCCCCGTTTCCAGCCTCGCTTACCTACTCCCTCTCTCTTACCCCTTCCAAGACTTTGGCTCCTGCTGAAGTCACTTGCATTGAGTCTATAACATGCTGGTGCCCTGCACTGATAATATTTGCAACGAATTATTTCTACCCAGGCCACCATTGACTTGGTGATCGGCTATGATCCGCCTTCTGCTCCACATCCAAATGACCTGAGCGGGCCCAGCGTGCCAGGCATGGGAGGTAAGCTGACCCTTCTGAAGGCCCAGCCACCCCCAGGGGGAGGCTGCTAAAGACACACAGGAGAGTGTCTGGAGAAACCCTGCCATTGATCACAAGCCTGTAGCTCCCTGCCCACCCAGACAGGGGCCCCGAGAGGCAGGTGGGGCTGCCTGAATTGGGACATTGCAATTGTTTATGAAATGCCCTTCAAGGTAGAGGGGAAGGGTGAACCAACCCTTTACTGAACAACCTCACGGTGAGCACAAAAAGCACATGCCGGCTCCAGCAGAATGTCCCAGGGCTTTGCTTCAGGTTTGTGGCTTCCACCCCATACAGTGTCTCCAGGCTGTTTGGCTCAAGGAGTGGCCCCTCTGCTCTCCTCTGTGTGTCTCCTCACCTCCCAAAGGTGCCACCACCGGGCTCTGCTCTCAGCACCAGTCTCATGGGCATGGCTTTCGACTGGAACCTCCTTCACTGTCTCCCCTAACCCCGGCCCCATCTTGTCCCCAAACAGCCCCAGGTCCTCTAAGCAATTGCTTCTCTTCAGCATAGCCCGCATTGTCCTTGGTCTCTGACATGGGTTGCCAGTCATTCAGGGCCATCAGGTGCCAGTCTAGGTGGGGTTGGGGCTGAGGGCTCAGGGAGGGAGGGCCTACAAGACAATCAGTCCTCTCATGCAGCTGAGTCGGACCCCCTCTCAGTGTTTTCCCAGGATGACGTGATGCTAAAAGTCTCTGTCCCTTCCTCAGCCGTAAGATGCATGACCAAGGCACAGTCTCGGCATGTGTCCCAGGAAGGGAGGGGCCCCTTATCTCACCACACTCACCTGCTTCCTTGAAACTCTCCCTCCTGGCTGGGCGTGGTGGCTCATGCCTGTAATCCCAACACTTTGGGAGGCCAAGGCAGGTGAATCACCTGGGGTCAGGAGTTCGAGACCAGCCTGGCCAACATGGTGAAACCTTGTCTCTAATAAGAATTCAAAAAAATTGGCCAGGTGTGGTGGTGAAGGCCTGTAATCCCAGCTACTCGGGAGGCTGAGACAGGAGAATTGCTTGAACCCATGAGGAGGAGGTTTCAGTGAGCCGAGATTGTGCCACTGCACTCCAGCCTGGGCAACAGAGTGAAACTCCGTCTCAAAAAAAAAAAAAAAAAAAAAAAAAAATGGAATTCTCCCTCCTGGGAGGAAGTCCTGCACTTGTTGCTGAGGTGGCTCCTCGGGGCTCATCTTCTTCTTGCTTCTCTTGGTTGGGAACTTGGCTCTCCGGCCGCCCGAGGGTTCACTTTACACCTGCAGCAGCACCCTCCCTGCCTGTCCTGCCCAGTCCCACCTGACTTCTCATCTTGCTCAGCCTGACCTCCGCCCCTGCCCCTGCTTATGCACCCATTATGAATGTTTTGGCCCATTTTTTGACTAAGTAGTTGTGAGTTTCCAGTGAGGGTTAGGTGGCTTCCTCTTGGTGACAAGACTGAGATGGCCCCAGCACATCAGCAGCATGCTCTGCCCATCGCCCTCTTCCTAGCGGCACCCTGAGCATTCTACTTGGCTTTGGACACTCAGCCCTGCGGGAGCGCTGCAGTGGCTCAAGAACATCCATGGCTCCCTTTGCTTCCACAGCAGTGATGACAAAAAAAAACAAACAAAAAACCACGAAACACAGAGGACACAGGCCAGCACCAGTAACACCATCAGGGGCAGAACTGAGTGGTCCCACCCATTTCCCTCAGACCTCCGCTGCCGATGACTATTGTCACCAGCATTTGTATCTGTGTGGGAAAGGCACTAGGCGCTTTCTGGCCTGCACAAGGCAGCCCTCATTGATGGGCTATCTGGAGTAGCCTCTGAATTGGAAAGATCAGGGCATCTTTCTTCATACTGTCGTTTCTCCTAAGCTAGACCCTGTTTATTAGTTTCCTAGGTCTGCTGTCCTAAACTACCGCAAACTGGGTGGCTTAAGCAACAGAAATATTCTCTCGCAGTTCTGGAAATCAAAAGTCTGAAATCAAGGTGTCAGCAGGGCTAGTTCCTTCTGGAGCCTCTCAGCCTTTCTCCCAGCTTCTGTTGGTTGCCCGCCTTCCTTGGCATCTGTGGCTTGTAGATGCGTCACCCCAGTCTCTGCCTCTGCTGTCACATGGTGTTCTACCTGTGTGTCTTGGTGTCTTTGTTGCTTTTTTCCCCTCTAGGATATAGCTCCTGAGTGGCTCAAGGATCTTCCTCTCTATGTGTCTGTTTTTGATTTTTTGGTTTGTTTTTTTTTTTTTTAGACAGAGTCTGGCTCTGTCGCCCAGGCTGGAGTGCAGTGGCACGATCTCGGCTCACTGCAAGCTCCGCCTCCAGGGTTCACGCCATTCTTCTGCCTCAGCCTCCCGAGTAGCTGGGACTATAGGCGCCCGCCACCACGTCCAGCTAATTTTTTGTATTTTTAGAAGAGACAGGGTTTCACCGTGTTAGCCAGGATGGTCTCAATCTCCTGACCTCGTGATCCACCCACCTTGGCCTCCCAAAGTGCTGGGATTACAGGCGTAAACCACTGCACTCGGCTTTTTTTTTTTTTTTTTTTTTTTTTTTCAGATGGAGTCTTGCTCTGTCATCTAGGCTGGAGTGCAGTGGTGCAGTCTCAGCTTATTGCAACCTCTGCCCCTAGGTTCAAACAATTCTCGTGCCTCGGCCTCCCGAGAAGGTGGGATTACAGGCGCCCGCGACCACACCCGCTTAATTTTTGTATTTTTAGTAGAGATAGAGTTTCACCATGTTGGTCAGGCTGGTCTTGAACTCCTGACCTCAAGTGATCTGCTTGCCTTGGCCTCCCAAAGTGCTGGGATTACAGGTGTGAGTCACTGCACCCGACCCCTCTCTGTGTGTCCATGTCCAAATTTCTTATAAGGCACTGGTCATTGGATTGGGACCCACCCGAATCAAGTTAAGATAAGGTCACTGTGGATTAGGGTGAGTCCTAACCTTCTCTTAAGGTCCGTAACCTTATCTTAACTGTACAGAAACCTTATTTCCAAATAAGATCACATTCTGAGGTTCCAGTGGACATGAATTTTGAGGGGACAGTATTCAACCCAGTACACTGGCAGATAAAAGACAATTTCATATGTTGATTCCATTCCAAGAGCCAAAATATTAAATGGGTCCTCTTGTGTTACCCCTTCTGCCAGGCCTTTAGGAAAAAAAAAATACTGTGGTTCATTCAAGTAAAAAGAGTAAACTTAAAGAGATCAGCGCCACACCATTTGTTAGTATTTATAAAGTAAGAACATTGCTTGCTGGGTTTATTTTATTTTATTTTTTTGAGATGGAATATTGCTTTGTCACCCAGGCCGGAGTGCAGTGACATGATCTCTGTTTACTGTACCCTCCGTGTCCCAGGTTCAAGTGATTCTCATGCCTCAGCCTCCCAAGTAGCTGGTATTACAGGTGTGCACCACTATGCCCGGCTAATTTTGTATTTTTAGTAGAGTTGGGGTTTCACCATATTGGCCAGGCTGGTCTCGAACTCCTGACTTCAGGTGAAATACCCACCTTGGCCTCCCAAAGTGCTGGGATTACAGGTATGAGCCACCACGCCTGGCCCCAACTATTGAACTTTTAAACCTGCTGGCGAGAAAATCCCTGCCACCCAAGGCTCCTTCTCCTTTCCTCTTGGTTTAAGCCTTTGTTTGTAGCACCAGTGCTCCCAGCAGGACAGTAGACTGAAGGAGTCCACCATCCCCTTAGGAGTCTGGCTCACAGCGGGCTCAGCACCAGGGAACTGCACAAGCGCAGCCCAGCTCTCCCACGGAAGTTCTTTAGAATCCCTGACTTTGCTCAGCTAAGACAGGAAATGAACCAAAACTTGGGTTCCTTGTATTTGGATTTCAAACAAAGAAGGTCACCAAGTGTTGGTCTGCAAATGAGCTGTGTCTGCAGGGCAATTTTATTTTTAAATGCAAGATGACAGAGTGAAATTTCTATGTTTGATCTTAGCCAAAAGTCTGAGAAGTAATGTGAAATTTCTTTATTACAAAAAATAAACCGGGCTCTTTGATCTGGAAGTGCTGCCTTTGTTCTATAAATGAATGTTTGCCGGGGCTCGGTCAAAGGTGGCATTCTGTGTGTCGGCTTCCTAATCTGGCTAAGAGAAACTTTCCTTCAGCATTTAAAAAAAAAAAACAAACCTCTAATAGCCTCGACTATCTAGATGTTTCAAGGGAAAACATTTCTTTTCCCTAACATAGTGTCTTAGTCTGTTTGCATTGCTATAAAGGAATACCTGAGGCTGGGTAAGTTATAAAGAAAAGAAGTTTATTTGGCTCATGGTTCTTCAGACTGTACAAGAAGCATGGTGCCAGCCTCTGCTTCTGGTGAGCGCTTCAAGAAGCTTCCACTCATGGGGGAAGGGGAAGGGGAGCCAGCATCACATGATCAGAGAGGAGGAAAATGAGAGAGAAGGCAAGGGTGCCACTCTCTTTTAAACAACCAGCTCTCAGGTGAACTCATTCATTACTGCGGAGAAGCCACCAAGCCTTTCAGGAGGGATCCACCCCCATGACCCAAACACCTTCCAGTAGGCCCCACCTCCAACACTGGGGATCAGATTTCAACATAAGATTTCGAGGGGACAGATATCCAAATTATATCACATGGTAATTCAGTTCAACTGAGCAAAAGGTATCTTTGAGCACCTACTGCAACCCCCTGCTAGGGAAGACACCAGGAGAAAAAACAACTTACAATCTTGGGGGAATATAAGACAAACAAATATGAGACAGAGAACAGCAAGACAGCCATACCTCTTGGCATTGCATACCTTAATGACATAAGCAGGACATCTGGCCCAGAATTTGCTTTTTTTCCCTTCAATTAACTTTCTTTCTTTCTTTCTTTTTTTTGAAGTGGAATCTCAGTCTGTCGCCCAGGCTGGAACGCAGTGGAGTAATCTTGGCTCATTGCAACCTCCACCTCCCCGGTTCAAACAATTCTTGTGCTCAGCCACCTGAGTAGCTGGTATTACAGGCATGTGCCACCATGCCTGGCTAATTTTTTAATTTTTAGTAGAGACAGGGTTTTGCCATGTTGCCCAGGCTGGTCTTGAACTCCTGACCTCAAGTGATCCACCTGCCTTGGCCTCCCAAAGTGCTGGGATTACAGTCATGAGCCACTGCACCCGGCCTCCCTTCAACTGACTTTTAAAGAAACCCTAAAACTTTACCATTCTATGTAAAAGTAATGTCTGCTTCTTCTGATTTATATATTTTCAAATTCTTAAAATTTGAGCTTGTTTTTCTTTCCTCGAGCAAAAAAGAAATATCTGCTTAATAAAATGTAAATGTCACAGAGATACATGACACGGAAAGTGAAAATCTCTGCGTCCCATCCTCCTGAGATAACCACTGCCAGCAACTTCTGCTATTGATTTTAAAGGTTCTTCTCCACATAGTGGCTCCTGCAGAGGAGAAATTAGAAGTATTTATGCTGGAATACAAAAGTTAAGATTTTTAGGAAAATTTGCCCCTGCCATTTGTAGAAGCTAGCTATGATCACATATCACAGGAAGTGAACACCTGAGGGCTTCTTTTTTAAGGAATTCTTTCTTAGAGCTTTTATATGAAGATGACAAAAGGTAGAGACCTTAGGGCACTGGTGGCTTGACTGAAAGTGTGTGTTGTCAAAGATGTTCTTTTCACTGACCCCCCTGGAAGACTGTTCCCATGACAGAGGGGAGGGCTGACCCAGTCTCCAGGCTTGACCTGAAAACCTGTTACCATGGCAACTTAATTCGCCAGATGTCAGTCTGCTTAACTGGAGCCTACATTCCCGTAGCTGGAAGAAACTATTTTTAAAATCTCACGTCTATTTTTGAAGCACCATCTGTTAAATTTGCGCTCTGTCCAAACATAGACATTCAAAAACTCATTCATAGCCAGACTTCACTGCTTCAAATGTCTTTCATTCCACGAATCCCAAAGTCATTTGCTTAAAATTAATTTTTTTAATGGAGTTTTTGCTCTGTTGCCCAGTGATCTCAGCTCACTGAAACCTCTACCTCCTGGGTTCAAGGGATTCTCCTGCCTCAGCCTCCCAAGTAGCTGGGATTACAGGCACCGGCCACCACGCCTGGCTAATTTTTTAAATTTTTAGTAGAGATGAGGTTTCACCATGTTGACCAAGCTGGTCTTGAACTCCCGACCTCAGGTGATCCGCCAGCCTCGGCCTCCCAAAGTGCTGGGATTACAGGCATGAGCCACCATGCCCAGCCTTAAAATTAAATTTGATCCAGTTCAGAAAATATTTATTGACACCTGCCTATGGGACATACAGAGGTGAGAAAGCCATTGTTTTACCACCAAGGAGCTTGCAGTTCAGTAGGAAGGTAAGAGATAAACATGAATAACTATAGCCCAGAGCTGAATGTAATACATTCCTCCAGAGAGATTGACCAAATTGTTATATAGGAAACAATTGCTTTCAGAAAGTACTTTTTCAGCTGTGTATTGCAACTCTGTATTCATGGTGCCTAGCACAGCCCTTGAGAAGTCATAATTGTTAATAAATGCTTGGTTGGTTGAGTGAATGAATGAGTGAGTGAATGATAGATGGGCACTGAATATGGTTTAAAAATTTTTTTTTAAGAAGGGCATTTTGGGGCCGGGCACGGTGGCTCATGCCTGTAATCCCAGCACTTCAGGAGGCCAAGGTGGGTGGATCACCTGAGGTCAGGAGTTCGAGACCAGCCTGACCAATATGGTGAAACCCTGTCTCTACTGAAAATATAAAAATTAGCCGGGCGTGGTTGCATGCATCTGTAATCCCAGCTACTCTGGAGGCTGAGACAGCAGAACTGCTTGAACCCAGGAGGCGGAGGTTGCAGTGAGCCGAGATTGCGCCATGGCACTCTAGCCTGGGCGATAGAACAATACTCCGTCTCAAAAAAAATAAAAAGAAGAAAAAAGGAAGGGCATTTTGGGGAACACTAGTGAATATGCCAAAGCTCCTGGCTCATTCAGAAGTGTGTTGAAAGTGAAGCATGTTCCTGAGGGTAGTAGGTCCCAGGCTGGGATATTTGTCCTTGATGGGAAGACCATGGGGCTCCATGAAAGGTACTCCATGACAAGGGACTGACTTGGTCAGAGCCTAACTGGAAAATGATCCATGTGCCAGAAGATTGTTGCAGGCACTGTTTCCAGGATTGGGTTTCTAATCAAGTGGCTTTGTCTAGTAAACTGATTATATTAGTCCAATTTTTCTCTAGGATATTTAGGAAAATCAAAGTGCTCATCATAAACAAGTGGTTCTCAACATTTAGACACAGTGAAATCATCAAGGGATATCTCTAAACGTGCAGTCATCTGGCGCCCATCTCCAGAGAGTTTAATATAGCTCATCTGGAGGGGAGCCCCGAGTCTGTATGGAGAGCCTGATGCAGGCAGATTTCGGAGTTCACTTTGAGAAACGCTGCAGTCGTACATTTTGCCTGCTGAACGTGATGTTGTCCAGAGGGAGACATAGATCTCTGGGCTTTGTTATCTAGACTGGCTCACAGCCTGATTCCTCAATTGCCCCGCAGGACTGCATTTGCATCCCTGCTTCTTAGGTTCCTCCATGGTACCTTTGCTCTGGTCTACATATTGGAACATGCTAGAAAATTCTTAGGGCACATTTATTGTTATTTACCCAGGAATTGGGGTGGGGTAATGAATTGCTTACAGTAGGACACAAACATTTATTTATAAAACTTTTAACATTTTAGAAATTCAGAAAAAAATTATTCTACATTCCAGCTAAGAAAATGTGTTATCTCCAAAATATTACATGTTTTCCTGCTTCAAAACTTACCCTTTCCTGTTCTGCATTGTCCTTTTAGCTTACACTGAAGATAATATGATATCAGCCCTTTGTTGTGCTTGGGCAATGACCTTTGGCTCAAAGTGATAAAATTCTGGCTTAACCAGTACCACCACTTAACAAGACTTCATCTTGAAAAGCAGAATTAGGATCAAAGGCAGAGGCCAGGCACCGTGGCTCATGCCTGAAATACCAGGACTTTGGGAGGCCGAGGCAGGAGGATCACTTGAGCCTGGGATCACTTGAGACTAGCCTGGGCAACATAATGAGACTCCATCTCTCCAAAAAAATAAAAATAGTTAGCTGGGTGTGATGATGCACGTCTGTAATTTCAGCCACTCTAGGGGCTGAGGTGGGAGGATTGTTTGAGCCTGGGAGGAGATGAGAGGAGAGGCAGAATGTTTGGATAAAGGGGGCTGCCAGGGGCTGAAGTGGGGTCTGTGTTCCAGCCAGGAGGATCCCAGTCCAGCCAGGGTGACCAGCAAGTGCTCCTTTTCCTCAGCCATTCCTAGGAGTTGCCTTCACTGGGAAGCTCTAACAGGGATCCCCCTCCCTGGCAAGGTGCAGACAAAGTGGGATGATGGAGGTGGGGGGACAATGACCTGCAGCTCTGGTGACATCTGATATCTGAGTGACTGATATCCCACTCTCTTCTGCTTGGTAGGGAGAAGTGGTGCTAGAGAACAGTATGGGAGCCTGGAGGAAGAAGGGACATTGATATGCACTGGGGAAAGGCACAGTTGGGGATGCCAAAGGCAAACTTGACTGTATCACGAGGTCCTCTAGGGCTGCCAACTCTTCAGCACTGAGTGGGTGGACAGATGCCATGTAGGCAAGTGTCATTATCACAAGTGACTGCACACAAGGGCAGTTGGCAGGAATATTGCTGCTGAGCGTCTGGAAAGAGGATCACAATACATCTCAGGAATGATTACATTGCTGGAGCTATGATGGAGAACCATTTCCAAATGTTAGCGGAAACATCACAAGTAAAGAAGAGTGGATCACATGCAGTTACTGATATTCAGAAAGGAGACAGGTCAGTGTTGGATGCAGTGAGAAGCTTTGTAGGATTTGACCAAGTGACATTATAATTATTGGAGAGGCAGGATGGCATTCCTACAAGGGAGTTGTGAAGAGCTTGTCATAGCCGGAGATGGACAGTGAGGAATCTTGAACCACTGTGAATCAACAGATCTGGATTTGAGCATTGGCTCCACTATCAAGCTGTGTGACAGTAGGCATGTCACTTAACCTCTCTGAGCCTCAAGTTCCTTTCTTACAACATCAGGAGGTTGGATTTAATAATATGTAGGGTCTCTTCCAGCTCCGAAGTTCTATGATTCTATTAAAATGGCCTGGTCATGGCCGGGTGCAGTGGCTCACGCCTATAATCCCAGCACTTTGAGAGACTGAGGTGGGTGGATCACTTGAGGTCAGGAGTTCAAGACCAGCCTGGCCAACATGGCAAAACTCTGTCTCTATTAAAAATACAAAAATTAGCCAGGCGTGGTGGTGTGCGCCTATAGTCCCAGCTACTTGGGAGATTGAGGCTGGAGAATCCCTTGAACCCAGGAGGTGAAGGATGCAGTGAGCCAAGGTCATGCCACTGCACTCCAGCCTGGGTGACAAAGTGAGACTCTGTCTCAAAAAAAAAAAAAAAAAGCCTGATCAAAGCCAGGGTTCATATATTATAAGAAGATGGGATGAGAGAAGTTTCTTTTTCTTTTTCTTTTTTCTTCAGATGGAGTCTCGCTCTGTTGCCGAGGCTGGAGTGCAGTGGCGCGATCTCGGCTCACTGCAACCTCTGCCTCTGGGCTCAAGTGATTCTCCTGCCTCAGCCTCCCGAGTAGCTGGGATTACAGGCGCCTGCCACCACACCTGGCTAATTTTTTTTTTAAATTTTATTTTTAGAGAAGGGGTTTTGCCCTGTTGGCCAGGCTGGTCTTGAACTCCTGACCTCAGGTGATCCACCCGCCTTGGCCTCCCAAAGTGGGGATTACAGGCATGAGCCACGACGCCCGGCCGAGAGAAGTTTCTTTGGTGATTACTTCTGTTTGCGAATGCCAGGATGAGCAGCTGCGCTTTGGTTCAAATAGGCTGAATCAAAGAGCAGAAAGTGTTTCAAGGATTAAATGAACAAATGCTGCAGAAAGTTTGAGTAAGAAGAGACCTGAGGCTGGACCGTTGGATTTTGCAACATGAAAGTCTTTAGTGGCCTAGACAAGAGCAGTTTTGGTGGACTAGGAGGGCAGAGGGCTGGCTGGAAGAAGCATGAGAATCAGAGACAGAGTGAAGAATGTGAGTAAAAATGATTCTTCTGAGGAGTTTGCTCCCAAGAGGGGCAGGAAAAATGGAGCAGTAACTGTAGGGGGCACCGTGGAGTCAATGAAAGTTTTGTTTTTTAATATTCTGGGTGATATTTCAGCGTGTTTATATTTTGATGGGAATGATCCAGTAGAAAGGGGGAAACCGATGAACGTATAAAGAGGCAAAACTCCTTAAGTAGCAACAGGAGATAGGATCTGTGCAAATGCGGAAGAGTTGGCTTCAAGTCAGGGAGCACAGATAGTTCAGTGACTAATTGTAGCAGGAGAGAAGGCAACAGATACAGGTAGATGATTGATTTGGAGTTGGAAAGATGTGGAAATTATCTTCTAATTGCCAATTTTCTCAATGAAATAAGAAGCCAGGTCATTAGTGGACAATGAGAAAGATAGAAAGGGTGTTGGAAGCTTTCAAGATGCAAAACAGGTGGCCGTTCAGAAAGGTAAAGTGATTTGACTGTGCTGGTTAATTAGTGGCCATCTCAGACCAGGATTCAGGAAAGTTTTGGGATAGATATCTTGGAAATGTGGTAAGATGGCCAGGCAGCCCTGTGAGGACACTTACAGTTTGTGATCAGGAAATTAAAGTGAGATCAGTCCAGTGAGATGTGTGTGCTTCCCAGCCAAGTTCAGCTGGCTGGGTGCAGAGGTGAAGTCAGTGGAGGGTTGAATAAACCAGGTAAGCACAGTGAAGTGAGAGGGGGAAAGGGATCGAGGGGCATGCAGTGGGGTGGTTGCAGTGTTAGGTGGCAGGATCTAACCTGGGGTAGGGGTAAAGCAAAGACATGGAGGAAGTGGGGTGCAGGGAAGGCAGTGTGCTCATTAGATTGGGGCTGCTTGTGGGCTGGAGTAAGAGAGGAAGCAAATTGGAAAGATACAAAAGATGGCCTCTCAGCCAGGCGCGGTGGCTCACGCTTATAATCCCAGCACTTTGGGAGGCCGAGGAGGGTGGATCACTTGAGGTCAGGAGTTCGAGGCCAGCCTGGCCAACATGGCGAAACCCCGTCTCTACTAAAAATACAAAAATTAGCAGGGCGTGGTGGCAGGTGCCTGTAATCCCAGCTACTCAGGAGGCTGAGGTAGGAGAATCACTTGAACCTGGGAAGCAGAGGCTGCAGTGAGCTGAAATTGTACCACTACACTCCAGCCTGGATGACACAGTGAGACTCCACCTCAAAAAAACAAACAAACAAACAAACAAAAACACAAAACCACAAAAAACAACAAAAAAGATGGCCTCTCTAGTGGACTGAATAGTGGCCCTCTAAAATGCATGTCTATATGGAACCTCAGAATATGACCTTATTTGGAAACAGGGTCTTTGCAGATGTAATTAGTTAAGATAAAGTCACACTAAATTCAGTGACTGTAGTTTCTTGTTTGTTTGTTTTGTTTTTTGAGACAGAGGCTCTCTCTGATGCCCAGGCTGGAGTGCAGGGGCATGATCTCAGCTCACTGCAACCTCTGCCTTCCAGGTTCAAGCGATTCTCCTGCCTCAGCCTCCCAAGTAGCTGGGACCACAGGTGCACGCCACCACACCTGGCTAATTTTTTAATATTTTTAGTAGAAACGGGGCTTTGCCATGTTGACCAGGCTGGTCTTGAACTCCTGGCCTCAGGTGATCCACCCGCCTCAGCCTCCCAAAGTGCTGGGTTTACAGGTGTGAGCCGCCAAACCTGGCCCACTTGTTCTTATGAGAAGACGGGAGGACACAGAAGGAGAAAGGCTGTGTGACCACACAGAGGCAGAGACTGGAGTTATGCAGCCACAGGCAGGGCATGCTCAGGATTGCCGGGAGCCACTGGCTAGGAAGAGACAGGAAGGATTTTTCCCTCGAGGCTTCAGAGAGAGAACGTCTCTGCCAACATCTTGATTTTATACTTGTAAGGTTTGGAACTGTCGGGGAATACATTTCTTTCTTTTCTTTTCTTTTTCTTACCTTTCTTTTTCTTTCCTTGCTCTGTCACCCAGGACAGAGTGCAAGGGCATGATCATGGCTCACTGCAGCCTCGACCTCCTGGGCTCAGATGGTCCTCCCATCTTAGCCTCCCGAATAGCTCAGACTACAGGTGTGCACCACCACACCCGGCTAGTTTTTAAATTTTTTTTGTAGAGATGGGGGGTCTCCCTATGTTGCCCAGGCTGGTCTCAAACTCTTGGGCTCAAGCGATCCTCCTGCTTCGGCCTCCCAAAGTACTGGGATTAGAGGTGTGAGCCCCTGCGCCTAGCCAGAGAATACATTTCTATTGTTTTAAGTCACCCAGTTTGTGGGACTTCCTGCGACAGCCTTCAGAAGCTAATACAACCAGCAGCTTCCTGTTCAGTGGGTGATTCCTGACTTGGTGTGGCCCTCTGTGGTTGTGAAAGAGTTGCTCTTTGTAGATCCACTTGGCTGTGGATCACATTCAGGCCTGGGTCTCACGAACAGGGCCTGCCAGCACAACTGCTAGCATTTCACTCATGACACAGCTTGCACATCAGGGTGTGTTTAACAGTGCCATAGGGGCCCCCTCATTCTTTGTGGAACCCATAGCATTCTTTGTGGAGCCCGTACCATTGTTTAATCCTCTGCAGCTTCCTGCCACATAAAGGGGAGGTTTCCTGCTTGAATATTCTTCTGCTGCAAGGCACAGAGGCTGGCTGTCACCATGGCTTAGGCTGGTTTCCTCTGACCCATCCCTTTAGCCTAAAGTCTGAATAGCAGAAGACGTTCTTTGTTATCTGCAGGCTGATTCTAGAGCATCCACTGAGAATGTAATAAGTACTTGTCCAGAGTCCAGCATTGCAAAGGGGTATGATTGACCCCGACTTTTTCTCCTGCTTACTGCCATAAACAATCACCAGCCTAAAATGCTGTAATTATGGCAAGGAGGAAGTACAAATCACCAGCCTAAAATGCTATAATTATGGCAAGGAGGAAGTACCACTTAGGCCCAGGATGATGGAAGGAAGTTCGTCTTCGCTGCTTGGAGGAACCCAACAGCTGTCAGCCCCAGCCATTGCTCGGTCCAGGACAGGTTTACCGAGGGGAAGCGCCTGGCCCCCAGTGCTTCCCCGAGGCTGGTGCCAAGGTTGGGAGGAGCACCCCTTCAGCCATCTGGGTGTTCTTTCCTGAGAGTTGTTCAGTAGTTTTTCCAAATGTGAAGGCACATTTGTGCCTGGGATCCTGTTCCCCTTCCCATTTGTTTACTCATTCCACATTTATCAAGCACTTTCTATATACTTTGTGTAATGAGTTCTGTAAGGCATGGGGCAGAAACAAAGAAGCAAAGGCAAGCTCCTTGCTTCTGAAATGCCTGGGAGTAGGGGAAGCCTATGGGTTGACAAGCAGGTGCAAGACTATGTGGTGAGGACTAGAAAGAACAATGTGTGGCGGGTAGGAGAGAGCGGGACTAACTCCATCTGGAAGAGGTGGGGAGGGCATGTTGGAAGACAGTAAGTTTCATCTGAAACTTAAGAAGGAGAGGAACTTACCTGGTAGAGAGTAGGATGAAGAAGATTCCAAGAGCTTGGATCCAGGTGCCCTAAGAGAGACAGCAGGTAAGCCCTTCTTTTGAAGTCTCTTCAAGAATAGGCAAGAGGAGGTCCAGATCATCTTGCAGAGGACAAAGATTCCTTATCTTTGACTTCCATGAGGTTTTCCCAGTAGCCTGAAAAAGATGTTGAGGTACTAGGAGCATAACATGTCCTTCACCTACAGCCTGGTTTTAAACCCAGTTTTATACCAGAGAGGCAGTGTGAAAACTTGGTCCTGGTTTTAGCTCAGCTTCTAATAACTTAACCACAGGCAAGTTGCCTTAGCTTTCTGGACCTCAGTTTTTCTGTCTGTAAAATGGGGTGAAGGGTAGGTTGGATCAAGGATCTCTAAGGTCCCTTCTAGGACAACATTCTGTGGGTCCATGGCTACTTGAAGGAAGTGTGAAGTGAGGATCTACAGAGTGTTGAGTCAAAGGATCAGAGGACAGAGTAGGGAGTCACACTCAGTGAGTAGGAGACAAAAACAGGGGCCCACAGAAGAACCTGAAAAAGCAGATCGGGGGAGGAGAGCTGCAATGATCTAAAAATATGTATATGAGCACTGGTGTCCAAGGCTGTGGAAGATCCAATATGGAGATACAGAAAAGGGCACGGAGCTTGGCAAAGAGAGGTGATTGACTTTTGAAGAACAGAAGCCAGGCTAGGATGGGCGAAGCATGAATGAATGGATGATGAGGAGCAGGGCCCACCCTGGGCTAAATTGCAAAGCAGTGCATGTGGAGGCCCCCTTTTCCCTTGTGGCTGCCTCTTCCTCACTTTGGGACCCCTGCCTGCTGTGCTGCCCATGGACTGCTCCAGTGCCCCATCCCCACACCCCCCATAGCTGGTTCCAGGAAGTGTCCTGTGCTCCAGAAGAAGCCCCTTCCAATTGCAGTGGTCTGAATGGTTGTGTCCCTCCACAATTCACACATTGAAATCCTAACCCTGAACGTGATGATATTAGGCAGTGAGGCCTTTAGGGAGGTGATTAGGTCACGGGGCCAGAGCCCTCATGCATGGGATTAGTGCCGTGATCAAAATGGGCTCAAGGGAGCTCCTTTGCTTCTTCCATCATGGGAGGCAGAGAAGGCTCCAACTGCAAACCAAGAAGTGGGCCCTCACCAGACACTGAATCCGCCGGTGCCTTGATCTTGGACTTCCCCACCTCCAGAACTGTGAGAAATAAATTTCTGTTTTCTAAAAGCCACCCAGGTTGTGGTATTTTGTTATAGCAGCCCAAGCAGGTGAAGACACCAACCAAAACTGATTACACAGCAAAACTAAAAAATAAACAGTTAATTTATTGGGTGCTTCTGTATGCCAGATACTGTGCTAAAGGCTTCGCCTATAGATAATTACACCTTTACAGTAACCCTGTGGTAAATACTATTATTTTCCCCTCTTTACAAATGAAGAAACTGAAGCTTAGAGAAATTAAGAAACTTACTCAGACTCACATAGCTCGAAAGTGGAGGGTGGGGAGTGGATTGAGCCTAGGCCACGTGGCTTCAGAGCCCAAGATTTCAAGAGCTATGCTACATAGTAATCTGATGAAACTCATTCATACCAGGATGTGAATGACTGACAGGTGACTGTCCTTGGAAATTAAATCTCTTTCATAATCTTGCATCGTAGAGAAGGAGTTTCAGAATCCAAAAGCAGGGTTCTAGACAGGGTGGCTTGTCTTCTAGGCTCTCTTAGATTATATTGTACAGATTACCAGAAGTTCTAACTCTTTGTGTATTAAGAAAAGAAAAGCTAAAGTTTGTCAGCGAGTTTCAAAGAGCTCGTGAATAAAAGAAAGAGGAGAGGTAGTAGGCAGAGTTGATTTTTGGTTTTTGGTTTTGTAGGGAGAGAAAGATCTGTGTCTACTTGAAGGCAGAGGAAAAGCTGCAATAGAGACGGAACCCCCAGAGGTACACAAGAGAGAGGAGACATTTGGGGAGCCTGAAAATAATCAGGAGGTAGTAGGATCTGCAAATATTCAGGAGGTAGCAGGATCTAATGCATGGCAGAGGGTTGAGATTTTCACTCTGCTGAGCAGGGTAAACCTTTTCCTGAGTGCAGAGGGAAGGTAGAGGGATAAAGGAGGGGACACGTGTGTGTTAAAGTGACAAACCAGGAGGAGGAAGGAAGAGCAAGATGATCACCTTGGTGCTTGGCAAGAAAATGAGGAGAGTTTCTCTTCTGCCATTAGGGTGGAAAGAGCAGTTGTGAATTAGGAGGCTCAAGCAGGAAACAGTACAAATAGATCACGAGCAGATCTCTAGAGAGAAGATCTGCAGTGGGAGGGATGGAGTTGAAGCTTGTCATTGCAAGACTGCAGTGTTCCGTGATGTTTCTTCCTTTTTCCATCCTAACACTAATGAGAACTCAGCAATCCCTGGCTGGGTCCAACGGTGCCATCTCCTCTCATTGTCCCTGTGATCTCTGCCATTCTCTTGGTCTCTTCGAAGGCAACCTGAGCAACAGCCCCGATGTACTGTGAACACATTTTCCTAAAGAATTTTTCCAAGTCACAAGAAGTCCCAAGTCAGTGTCACCAAGAGGATCTCCTTCACCTGCCACTTTAGGAACACTTAAAACATAATGGCAGACAAAACCGTGTCCTGGAAACCTGAGCCTTTGGACATTTACAGGATAAGGGCTATCCCTCACTGGGTTTCTTTCTGATATTTTAGGAGATGGGGAAGAAGATGAAGGTGATGAAGACAGGTTGGACAATGCAGTCAGGGGCCCTGGGCCCAAGGGGCCAGTTGGGACGGTGTCGGAAGCTCAGCTTGCTCGGAGGCTCACCAAAGTAAAGAACAGCCGGCGGATGCTGTCAAATAAGCCACAGGACTTCCAGGTAGCAACGGCCTGGCGTTCTGCTTCTTTGTTTAATCTTTATATTGCCCATCTTCTGGCAATTGCAGTGATGTTTCAGTGGACCTATTCCAATGGACAATGGCTCAACCGGTAAAGAGAGATGTCAGTGTATAAACCCAGTAAGAAAAGCTCTCCATCTTTCTTCTGCAGGCACAAGTGGGTTTAGTCTAGCCAGCTGATGGTCTCCAGAGAAATAAAACTATAATTCTCCTTCCCTTTGGCAGAAGGAAAGAGCTAATCAAAGAATAGAAGCGCAAATACTGTGTTTTTCGCAGCTCTGGGCCCTGTCTTAGATTTGGAAGGCAGCTATGGAGTTAGTTCATCACTAGGCTCAGCAAGACCAGGTGCATGACTGGAGTCTGAGCAGTGACCTCCACCTGCCCTGCCCTTTCCCAGGCCGGCTTTGAATGATTTCATCCCTACAGCTGCTCTTGGTCTCTATAACCCAACCCCAGTTCCCATCTTGGGAATGACCCTAGGTGGCTCCACCCAATTGGTAGCACCTGGTATAGCACAAAGCTGCCCTGGCCTGGTGTTAGCAATCCTAATAGGTGAAGGAAATGAAGCAACACCTGAGGATCCTAAGGATCCCACGTGCTGGGAAAGGTTGGGTAACCATCCCCCTTCTGTGCTGCAGATCCGCGTCCGAGTGATTGAGGGCCGACAGTTAAGTGGTAACAACATAAGGCCTGTGGTCAAAGTTCACGTCTGTGGCCAGACACACCGAACAAGAATCAAGAGAGGAAACAACCCTTTTTTTGATGAGGTAAAGGGGTTGAGAGGGCATGTTTCTGCTCATGAGTCCCACTGGGGAGGGAAACACGGGAGCAGCTTCACTGGTGAAGACACCACTGAGTTCCAAGTAGAGATCACAGGAACAAAACTAGGTGTGACCATGTGAACGCATGGCAGGGTCTTGGAAAAAGCCCTGGAGTTTAAGCTTCATGGTAAACCCACTTCTGCTATTGGAAAAGGAGAAATAGGTAAGTAACAAATATAGCTTTTTTTTTTTTTTGAGATGGAATTTCGCTCTTGTTGCCCAGGCTGGAGTGCAGTGGCGTGATCTCGGCTCACTGCAACCTCCACCTCCGGGGTTCAAGTGATTCTTCTGCCTCAGCCTCCCAAGTCGCTGGGATTACAGGCATGCACCACCACACCTGGCTAATTTTATATTTTCAGTAGAGGTTTCACTATGTTGGTCAGTCTGGTCTCGAACTCCTGAACTCAAGTGATCCACCCGCCAACAAAGTGCTGGGATTACAGGCATGAGCCACCGCGCCCGGCCAGCATTTATTTAAATAAAATTGTTCACTTGGGACAATCTAAAAGATATCTAGCTTTTAGATATCTAAAAGCTAAATGATGTGAAGATCCAAGGCTAAGCAGGTATGGGGGTACACACCTGTAATCCCAACACTCAAGAGGCTGAGACGGGAGGAGTGCTTGAGCCCAGATTTTCAAGACCAGCCTGGGCAATATAGTGAGATGCCTTTAAAAAAAGGAAAATTACCTGGTCCCCTCTGTCAGTGGTTCTCAGAGATGCTGTTGCCTTTCTGGTGTTTTTGTGATAACTTCTTGATGATCCCTTCGACCCTTATGAGAGAGGACATGATGTCTCCTAAATCTACCTTTGCTTATTCTAATTAGCAGGGTGTCTCTGAGGGACAACTCTCGTGACTAATCCAGTTTTTTAGAGGTGTCAAAACGTACTTGGCTGCAAAAATAATATATGTTAAAGGAAAGCAGTTATTAGCACACAGGGGCTTTGTTTGTTTTGCCCCCCATACTGATAAATTTTTTTTTTTTTTTTTTTTTGAGACAGAGTCTGGCTCTGTCGCCCAGGCTGGAGTGCAGTGGCGTGATGTTGGCTTACTGCAAGCTCTGCCTCTTGGGTTCACGCCATTCTCCTGCCTCAGCCTCCCGAGTAGCTGGGACTACAGGCGCCCGCCACCACGCCCAGCTAATTTTTTTTTTTTTTGTATTTTTAGTAGAGACGGGGTTTCACCATGTTGGCCAGGATGGTCTCGATCTCTTGACCTCGTCATCCACCCACCTCGGCCTCCCATAGTGCTGGGATTACAGGCGTGAGCCACCACACCCGGCCTTTTTTTTTTTTTTTTTTTTTTTTTGAGACAGAGTCTCTGTTGCCAAGGCTGGAGTGTGGTGGTGCAATCTCAGCTCATTGCAACCTCCACCTCCCAGGCTAAGGCAATCCTCTCTCACCTCAGCCTCGCAAGTAGCTGGGACTACAGGCACACACCACCACGCTCAGCTAATATTTGTATTTTTAGTAAAGATGGGGTTTTGCCATGTTTCCCAGGCTGGTCTCAAACTCCTGGCCTCAGGTGTTCCACCTACCTTGGCCTCCCAAAGTGCTGGGATTACAGGCATGAGCCACTGCGCCCTGCCTCCCATACTGAGAACTTAGCCTGTTCTACTGCCCTCTTTTATAACACTCCTCAAAAATACATGATACCTTGACAATCATCTCAAATGCCACAAAACTCCATGACTGGGCTGTGGGGAGAAATGATATATTTAGGGAACTTTTCAGAGTCTTGGCCAACTGTGCTGAGGAGACACATTTCTGGGATTCCTCAGGCCTATGTCTCCTGCTCTGTTCTCCAGCCCAGGCCTGTCTTACCACACTACCTCTTCATTCCCTACGGCTCTAATCCCAGCTCTGGCGTTTGTCCTTTTTTTTTTCCTACTTCTTTATTCAGAAAAGAAATGATTTCTTCTATGCCGCGTTTCTATTTCTTCCTCTTCGTTCAAACTGGCTTCCAGCTCTGCAGAAGGTCCTATTTTCTTCTCACCTCTAACCTCTAACCTCTCCCCTCAAAGGAATCGCAGACGACAGCAGGCAGCCAAGTACAGTAGTATACACATTCTCATGAGAGGTAGGGGCTGCACAGAGATGGGGCACTGGAAATGGACTTCAGGGAAGGCAGAGAGATTCACGTTGGAGGGCAAGACTGGATGGGTGGGGAGGAGGCAAGATGCTGGATTACTTGGGCCTAACGCGTAAACCCTGTCTATGCATTGATAATGCAGGCTTCCTGTTGACTCAGCTGCATTCCCAGGAGCCCAGCAAACATCTCCACCTTCCTCAGAATTTTCCCATTTTAATGAGTTTGAGGGGGATTAGACCTCTTGGCAAAAGAGAAGTCCAGTACATTAATCGATAAAAAAATTTTACGGGATAGGAGAAACAAAAGTAAGATGATAAAAACAAATATATATATATATATATATATATATATAAAAGAGGTTTACTAAAAAAATTTCTAGCCTGGCCAGGCGTGGTGGCTCACGCCTGTAATACTGGCACTTTGGGAGGCCGAGGTGGGTAGATCATTGGAGATCAGGAGTTCAAGACCAGCCTGGACAACATGGTGAAACCCCGTCTCTACTAAAAATACAAACAATTAGCCGGGTGTGGTGGCACACACCTGTAGTCCCAGCTACTCAGGAGGCTGAGGTAGGAGAATTGCTTGAACCTGGGAGGCGGAGGTTGCAGTGAGCCAAGATTGGGCCACTGCACTCCAGCCTGGGTGACAGAGCGAGACTCTGTCTCACAACAAAAAATTAGCCTGGCATGGTGATGGGTGGCTGTAATCCCAGCTACTCGGGAGGTTGAGGCAGGAGAATTGCTTAAAGCCTGGAGGCGGAGGTTACAGTGAGCCAAGATCGTGCCACTGCACTCCAGCCTGGGCAACAGAGAGAGACTCCGTCAAAAAAAAAAAAAAAAAAAAAAATCCTAGCCTGTATATATCTTTTTAACCAAGTAATATTAAACTTGTTATCACCAATAATAGGAACAAAAATGATGTGGTGTCCTCATGTGAGATAATGGAAGTAATCAACATCACCTGTGTCAAGTCTTGTCAAATGGCCAATTTGCATCCGACAGTGAGGAAACATTCACACAAATCTAGACTGTGGGATATTCTACAAAACAACGGGCATGGTGGCTCACGCCTGTAATCCCAGTACTTTGGGAGGCCAAGCCAGGAGGATCACTTGAGGCCTGTAGTTCAAGACCAGCCCGAGCAACATAGTGAAACTTCATCTCTATTTAAAGAAGAACAAAAGGCAAGAAAAAACACAAGAAACAAAAAAGGAAATAGCACTGTTCTATATTTTTATATAGCTTCCTTTTGGAAGCTGAAGAGACTCAAAAACGAAATGCAACGTATGATTCTTGCATAGATCCTAGATTTCTTTGAAAAGCTAAAGTTTTTTTGTAGGGATGATTGGAGAAATTTGAAAATTGACTCTGTTAGATGTTAAATTTCTTGGTTATGATAATGGTGTTGCAATTCTATAGGAGGATGTCCTTGCTCTTAGGAGATGCATGTAAATGTATTTTGAAGGGGTGAAGTGTCATGATCTCTAAAGCTTTCTTGCAAATAGTTCAGTTTAAAAAAGAGATAAAGCAAATGTCCAAAAATGGAACAATTGGTGAACATAGGTGAAAGGTGGTATTTATTTTACCATTCTTTCAGCTGTCCTGTAGATTAGAAATATTCCTAAGTAAAAAGTTGGAGGAAAAAGTCTCAGTTGGAGTAAGTGTTCAATCTTTTAGGATTAACATTTATTAGCCTAACATGGTTAAACCTCCTATATACCTAATATTCATATCCCAAGAATCAACCTTCTTAAAATTAGCTTTTACAATGTGGTCAATATTGACTTTGCTGAGGCACTAACTTAATCTAATGGGCAAAATTGTCTTGAAAGGTGCTTTCTTGGAGTAAAATTAGAGTCACTAGACACTAATAGAGCTAAAGATATTAGAGAAATTTAAAACACACTCCAGGTCATGCCAGCTCTAAGCGCTCATTTTGATAAGCATTGCAGCATGAAGTCACCTTGGATCTTTTTCCCTTTTTTTTTTTTTTTTTTTTTGAGATGGCCTCTCACTATATTGTCCTGGCTGGTCTTGAACTCCTGGGCTCAAGCACTCCTCCCATCTCAGCCTACTGAGTGTTGGGATTACAGGGGTGTACCCCGATACCTGCTTAGCTTTGGATCTTTACATTATTTAGCTTTTAGATATCTAGCCCCAGGTGAACAATTTTCTTTAGTTAAGTAAATGCTATATTTGTTACTTACCCTTTTCTCCTTTTTCCAACATGAAGAAGTGGGTTTACCATGAAGCTTAAACTGCAGGGCTTAAACTCCAGGCCTTGCCATGTGTTCACATGGTCAAACCTAATTTTGAATTTGTGTTTTGCATTTTTTAGGAGGGCCCCCAAAATTATAGTATCAGATTCCCCTAACCCGAATCCCCTGTTAACATTTAAACATCTGCTCTATTGTTTTGGCAGTTGTTTTTCTACAATGTCAACATGACCCCTTCTGAATTGATGGATGAGATCATCAGCATCCGGGTAAGGGTCAGCAAGTAGGAAGGTACTGCTCACTCACTGCCAGGCAAAGCCAATCATTTCTTCACTACTCTTCTTTCTTCCAGGTTTATAATTCTCACTCTCTGCGGGCAGATTGTCTGATGGGGGAATTTAAGGTGAGTGACAACAGTCTGCTTCATTCAACTTACAGAAAGATGAGAACTTTCATAATAGAAATCTGATTCCTATGTACGCATCTTGGTGGCATCTTGGGAATGTGTAAGGGTTCAGCATGATGACACTTGCTGAAGGCTGCTTGGGGCTTGTCTATTTCCAAAGTATAACAGTGAACAGAGCTCTCAAAGCAAGATGCCCTGAAGCTGCCATATCAGGGCCCTTCCCAGGGTTGTATCTGGATGGAAGCAAATCCACTGCCACAAAGGGAAGGGGTGTTGACCATGGCAAGAAGTCCACCATCTACCTCCACTTACTGGGGGCCCCAAAGCTCCATCTGCAAAGCCAATTATGGTAAATTCAGAGTGTGAAAGGAAAGCCAAACAAGGCAAGAGGTTCAGGGTGCTTCTATAAGTAGCTCTCACTGGAATGAAAGGACAAATACTTGGTTGGCTTCTTCCCAGCAATTCTACATGGAATAGGCTGCCTCTCCAAGAAAGGAGCACCAGTCACTAGAAGTCCTAGAGGATGATCTGGGTCAGGCAGACCTGTGTTCATACCCTGTCTGCCACCAAGTAGCCACATGTCCCAGAGGAACTCAATCTCTCTGATCCTTAGTTTCTTCATCTGTAAAATGGGATCATTGAGAAAATTAAATGAGATAGTATGTGTAAAGCACCTAGTACAGCACCTGGCACATTGAAGTGCCCAGTCAATGGTTATATTAATAGTAGCATTAGCTGGAGGAGAAGGAGGAGGAGGAGGAGAACTGGACAGGAAATTGGGCCAGGTGAATTTCTGTAGGATGACCAATGGTCCCACTTTGCCTGGGACTTTAGTGGTAAAACTGAGGATAACCCAGGCAAACTGGGTCATATTGGTCACTCTGCTTCTGTGGTCCCTTCCAGCCCTAAGACTAGCTCATTCATTCAATAGTGACTTACTGAGGGTCTTCCATGTGCCACACATCAGACAAGGCACTGGGGATACAGAGAGGATAAGACGGAAATGTTGGGTCTCAAGGAAATTTAAGTGTAATCAAGACATGATATTTAAATATAATGATGGCTTCTTTAAAGTGACTAGACTGATTTTAAAATCTACTTAGACTACTTTCGATTATTGTTTTCCCAGATTGATGTTGGATTTGTTTATGATGAACCTGGTAAGTAATGTTCTCCCCATCAATATGAAGTCTTAAATTCATTCCTTCTAACTCTGAAGATGATTCTAAGAATCAAGACAATTTGGGGGGGATCAAAGAATTAAAGTTAAAGGAATTTTTTAAAAAATATTTTCTTAATGAGGGAGAGGAGAGGATACTTAGTGGGAATAAATAACAGTAGCTTAGAAAAAATGTCTAATTTTTTATCTTAACATTCAAAATAGATGATTTCTATGTTTTGTGAGGATATTTTGATCTTATCAAAATTAAATTATAAAACTCGTTGGTACAACTTAGAGAGTCTTGTTTGAGTTACACGAGGACAGAATGGTGGGGGTGGGGTGTAGGGAGAGTACAAAACAGAAGACGTGAAAGTGGACACTCATCTGGGGAATTTGGTGTGTCGTGAAGAGGCTTCCAAGAAAATGCAGCTTATCTTATGGCAGAGGAATCACAGACTTATCAGTACCTTTTTAGCATGTCCATTTCCTTTTACTCCTTCTCTATTTTAGGCCATGCTGTCATGAGAAAGTGGCTTCTTCTCAATGACCCGGAAGATACCAGTTCAGGTTCTAAAGGTTATATGAAAGTCAGCATGTTTGTCCTGGGAACCGGAGATGAGCCTCCTGTGAGTCCCTACATTCTCTACTTTCTACACTTCTCACTAAAAAAGAAGGCCAAGAGTTAAGCATGTGGGCATGGGTAATTGTGAAATGGAGCACAGCTTCCCGTCAATACCCTCAGATTCCCCCTATTCTTCAGAAGCTGTTCTTTTCTTCATCATGGAATTATTGTTCTAGCTTACTTAAACTCTTATCTGATGTCTATGAGTGAGCATTTAATTGAGAATCGATGAATGTGTTTTTACAACGTCCTTGCCTCATTAGAAAGACTGCTTTTATCTAGAAAGCATGACCTACTTGCAGAATTAGGCATTGCTACCTAAATAGTTAGTGATTATTCTAGGAAACTGGGTGGCAAACTGCAGAATATAAGTGGCCAGAGAGAAGTTGAAGGGACATCAGGATCACACACACACACACACACACACACACACACACACACACGCACAGGCTCTTACTATTTGGTGCTCATAAAATGACAGAATGATACAAAAACATGAGCATTGATTTTGTGGAGCAGTTTTGAGGTTGAAGGAAAACTGGTGGCTGATGGCAGGCTGAACTCTTAAGCCCCAAACACAGGAAATCTTAATGGAAACGATTCTGAATGGTTTCATTTTATAAGCATTAATTTGGCTTTTTCCAAGTGCTGCTTTTCTGTATGTATAATTTAAATCATGTGCCCCTAATAGCCTGAGAGACGAGATCGTGATAATGACAGTGATGATGTGGAGAGTAATTTGTTACTCCCTGCTGGCATTGCCCTCCGGTGGGTGACCTTCTTGCTGAAAATCTACCGAGCTGAGGACATCCCCCAGAGTATGTACTGATTTAATCTTGCCCCAGAATTGTTGATTATGTGTGTGATGAAATGTGTTAAAAATCAAACTTTAATAGTGATTCGTGTCCCTATCGTATGTTTTTCTTCTGAAAGGGCTTCATGGGCTTATTTTCATTCATTCTGGCCCAGTTGAAAGCTACCTGAGCAGGCTCATGGCACAGCTAGTTGGTTGCTGATCATGTTCCTTGTTGAGTACCTGCCTTTGGCCCATTTGACTCTCTCTCTTGCTATTCTATATCTTCTCTTTATTCTAGAGGATGCTAAAGAGATATGAGCAGTCAGCACTTCCAACCCCTTTTATCCCAAATGAAAATGTGAACTGTTATTATCAAATCAAGGTGTTTGCTATCCAGCTATAAAAAAAAAATAGCAGAAATTAGCTGGGCATGGTGGCGGGTGCCTATAATCCCAGCTACCTGGGAGGCTGAGGCATGAGAATCACTTGAACCCAGGAGGCGGAGGTTGCCGTGAGCCACACCACTGCACTCCAGCCTGGGCAACAGAGTGAGACTCCATCTCAAAAAAAAAAAAAAAAAAAAAAACATGCTGAGCAAAGGGTAGTAATGTCCCAATGACTAGAAGTCTGCCACTATTGTATTATGAAATATATTCAGCAAGAGACTGGTTGCATTTAAGGGATCGCTTCTAGTGATTCCATTTATAGGAACTAGTGTGGTTATCCCTCTGTCACTGCTGATGGCCCAGCCTCCTATTTGCCTTGCTGGGCCTGTCTGGTTCCTGCTGGGCTCTGGGACATGGGACCCTTCTCCAAGTCCCCAGGAGGCTGCACTCACTATACAGGCCATGGATCTCTTCAGGATTTGCTGCTTTTCTTGGGAATCCTTTTCCTCTTTTAAGATCCTATGGTCTTAAAAGATAGTATTGTAGGGCCTCCCCATACCCACCTTTCTCTCAAAAATGTGTCAAATGGGCTGGAGGCAGTGGGTCATGCCTATAATCCCAGCACTTTGGAAGGCCAAGGTAGGAGCACTGCTTGAGGCCAAAAGTTCAAGACCAGCCTGGGCAACATAGCAAGACTACTGTCTCTATTTAAAAAAAAAAAAAAGAAGAAGAAGAAGAAGAAAGAAATACATAAAATAAGGTAAATTAAAATCCTGATCTCTATTTACTTTTTAGCTTAACTATAGATTGTAGTTGATTAAATATATTATTTGTGATTATGTCAAATTTTCTTGAATTTCTCTGAAACAGACTAGGACTATATCATTTTGACCTAGAGCACCTTTCTCCCAATTGAAAGCAGGCCTGAGTTTGAGAATCATCTTTTACTCTCACTGAATGAACTTTGTTGTATTTTTTTTCCTCCATAAAAGATCAAGTTTTTGTTTTATTTTATTTTATTTTGAGATAGAGCCTCACTCTGTCACCTAGGCTGGAGGCTGGCATATACTGGCTTGATCTTGGCTAACTGCAAGATTCAAGTGATTCTCATGCCTCAGCCTCCCAAGTGGCCGGGATTACAGGCATGTGCCACCACACCTGGCTAATTTTGTTTGTTTGTTTTGAGATGGAGTCTTGCTCTGTCACCAGGCTGGACTGCAGTGGTGTGATCTTGGCTCACTGCAATCTCCGCCTCCCAGGTTCAAGCAGTTCTCCTGCCTCAGCCTCCCGAGTAGCTGGGATTACAGGCGCGTGCCACCACACCCAGCTAATTTTTGTATTTTCAATAGAGAAGGGGTTTCACCATGTTGACCAGGATGGCCTTGCTCTTCTGACCTCATGATCCACCAGCCTTGGCCTCTCAAAGTCCTGGGATTACAGGCATGAGCCACTGCGCCTAGCCTGTTGCAACTATTTTGATGTATAAGAGAACTTTTAAAATTTTGCCAAATTTCTGGGAATTGAATTTAATTTCTGCTGTATAACTATTACCTTCCAGTGGATGATGCCTTCTCACAGACAGTAAAGGAAATATTTGGAGGCAATGCAGATAAGAAAAATCTCGTGGATCCTTTTGTAGAAGTTTCCTTTGCTGGAAAAAAGGTTTGTACATGATCTAAATGCAGATGCTGCTAGTAATAAATATCTAAAACTACTGTGCTTTCCTTGGAGTGAATTCCTGCTTACTCTTTGTTAAAATAGCCCCCTGATGAGCCAGGCACTCTGAGGGAACACAGATTATCTGAGTCTGAACACGCCAGACTTCTCCACAGGTTTATTTTGGAGTGGAAAGTATGCAGAACACAAATTAGAAAATTCAATCTTTTGAGAGATTAAAATAGGGAAGGCTACCACTGAATTTCTGGAATTGCTTTTCAGGTCCAAACGTTATCTTAACCTTAGGCAAGCTCTCTGGCCAGCCACACCCATCCCTGGTAAATGTTGTAGGACAGAGACCCCCCCCCAGTGCCCTGTTGCCCCTTCCTGTCATGTTTCTCACCTTCCATGCCCCAGTAAACTGTTGAAACCAGAGAATGGGTCAGGGAAGCCCCATCCCACTCCCCTGAAAATATCTGGGAGACTCTTGGTGTAGGGACAGCTATAACCACCACTTTTACCTACAGAGATGGTCAAAGATTGGAGAGTTGAGAGTTGGGTGAGATTCTACAGTAGAATAATAGCACATCATGGACAGTTATAGACAAAAAGAACTAGCATCTTTTATGTGTTCGAACCATATAATTATGAAAGCAAGATTCGGCAAACCACATACACATACACATATGACTGGTGCTTTTTTCTAAAAGATTCAGTGGGTGTGGTAGAAAAGCCTTCAGCTCTGGGGCAAAATGAGGCCTGAATTAAATTCAGGCTTTACCCCACTTCATAGGCAGGCAAATCGTTTACCCTCTGAGTTTCCATTTCCTGAACTATAAAGGGAGATAATAACAATCACAGGATTGTTGAGAGGTTTGATTCATTCAAAAAGTCATTAAGTACCAGATTCTGTCCCATGTGCTGGGATATAGAAACGAACACATGGGAATAGAAGAGACAGACAATAAACAAGCAAACAAGAAACTGAATAATTTTAAATGGTGCCCAGTGCTACAAAGAAAACAAAGCAGGGACAAGAAGTGATTGGTGCAGGGGAGGAGTGTTTATCCAGGTTATCAGGTGAGACTCCTGGAGAAAGTGACAGTTGAGCAGAGGCCTGGATATGCAGAGATTGGGGAGGGAGGCATCCAGGCAGGGAGAAGGGCGATGGAAGGGCCCCAAGGAAGAAAATGTTAGCAGGGAAGGCCTGCCCATGTGGCTGCGGTAGAGCCAGCAAGCGGGGAAAACTAGGAGGTCAGTGAGAAGTAGGGTTGGGACAGTAGGGCTTCATCAGCCCAGGGAAGGATTGGGGCTTTATTTGAAGTGTACTTTGAGGGCCCCCTGAAGATGTTACACAGAAGTGACATGAAAGTCAGGAGGCAAGAGAGGGTGTGGAGTTCAGATAGACAACCGCAGGTGTCCTGGGGAGAAACATTTCAGGATCAGCTTGAAGACATTCCAGGATCTGCTTGAAGACGGAAGTGTCAGGGTGTGGCTGATTCTGGTTCTGAGCCTGACCACCTGAATGAAGAGCGATGGAAAGACTGGAACAAGAGTCAGTTTGGGGTAGAGGGCAGGGAGGCTGGCGGGCAGGGTCAAAAGATCTGTCTGGATGTGTTAATGGTAGATGCTTCCCAAACGGTATGTAACAAATGCTCTATCAACCTTATCTCTTGCTTTTTTACATTAATCTAATGTTAGAAGCCTGACAATTGAAAACTAATTAAAAAAAGGTTAAAAGCAAGCTCCTAGTGCCTCGAAACAGCAATGATTAATATTAAACCCATGTCATATTTTACAAATCATCAAGAAAAATAAAGTTTAACCAGGTTCCTAAGTATATAAGTAAACTGCTAAAGTCATAATCTAGTATGCATAGATTGTAAACTTTTAGAAATTAGAAACTTGAAAACCTACACTTTTGCTTTGGTGATTTTACAGGTTTGTACAAACATAATTGAGAAAAATGCAAACCCAGAGTGGAATCAGGTCGTCAATCTTCAGATCAAGGTTTGACTTTATTTTCTTTCTGAAAAAGTAAGAATACTTACTTAATAATTACTAAATCATTGAGAAATAACTACTTTTTTCTGTCTCATTTTTTTAGTTTCCTTCAGTGTGTGAAAAAATAAAACTAACAATATATGACTGGTGAGTTGAAAATACGTATGTGTCTAATTCAACATAAAATAAACATTGGATATTGTGAAACATTACTCTGGATTGTCTCTTTCTGGTATTTTGCTTTCCTTCCAGAGGAGAGGATAAATTGCTCCTGGAACTGGGCGTTTCTTAAAACAAAATTTAATAATAGTGTTACTGCAAAAAAAGCTTCGATTATTTCGGTTCAACTGCTCATAAACAAAAGAAGGGGAACGTGCTGAAAATGCCCCAAGATAAGAAATCAGGGATTTAATTATCATTAGGCTGTCCAGAATAGACTTCAGAAATACAGTCAAGCATTTCTTGGGAAGAATCACCAAAACATTCTGAGAGCAATTCATTGTTATTGTTTAAAAAGAAAATGGTAAAACTACCTCAATGAAGGCAAGGAAAAGTCCTTGAAATGTTCTGATAGAATTTTTAGTAGACCAGCCTTCTAGCACTGATTGGCCATAACAAGACCATTCTTGGAATGTTCTAGTTGGATGTAGCATTCAGCAGGCACCCTTAGCTCCCTGACAGTGGAAACATGACAAATATCGTTACCATCATCATGATCATCACAATCATAATTATGTAATGTGCCTATAATTGATTAATTCATTTTATGACAATGGTATTGAGTGTAGCCATAGGCACATCTCTTGGCCTCTCTGTACAATTGCAATTTCATAACTTCAGAATAAATTACCTTACTAGACCAGTGTTTCCAAAGGGTGACTGGAGGACCATCTGTATCAGAATCAATTGGGATACACTTATAAATGCAAATTCTTAGTCCCCACTCTAGGCTTATTGAATTAAAAATGTGGGCAGGAGATGAGGGTGAGAAGTCTCTAGTTGATTACTAAGTACAATAAAGTTTGAGGCCCACTAGACGTGATTATTTCTGAAGTCTGGGGTATTTTCCAGCTCTAACTTTTTTTTAATTGTTGAAATGAAGACATATCTTCCTAGATGGAGCTCTGAACCTTTTATTTTTTATTTTTTTATTTTTATTTTTTACACAGGGACCGTCTTACTAAAAATGATGTAGTTGGAACAACATATCTACACCTCTCTAAAATTGCTGCCTCTGGTGGGGAAGTGGAAGGTAAGTCACTCAACAGATCTAGAACAAGACTGGATACAGAACTTTTCTCCAGTCTGAGAAAAAAATGAACTGGGGTAGCCACCTCACAGTAGGTTTGGTTTCTTAGAAGCCAAATGTGATGAACCTAGTGAACCATTTCAATGATGTTTTGGTGATGGCCTGCAAAACAATTAATCATTGAAGTATATAAGTAAACTGCTAAAATCATAATCTAGTATGCATATATTGTAAACTTTTAGAAAAAAATGAAATTTACAGTTTGAAGATTTTCAGCTTTCTTGCTCCCATCCAAAACTTCTTTCCCAATAGCGGTTTTATGAAATTTTTGTGTCAATACAGAGAGCTAGCACCTTATTTTTTAGAGTGGCATTGACCCAAGTCCACCCAAATATAAAATAATACTCCCTTCTCAACCGAATCCCTTGGCAGGAACAGTAAGGTCAGATGCCAATGAACCATGTAGTCCTCACTCCCTAAGATAATGTGTATTTGGTCTTTACTCTGACAAGCATTGATAGCCAACACATTGTTCTTTCTGTTGTTTTCCAAACAATTTTCTTGAGAACTATTTGCCTATACCTGGCATTATGGTTTTGTGCATATGCCAGAAATTGTAACAGGGAATGAAGGAAAGCAGTTAAGATGATAAGAGAAAAAATTAATGTTAACACAGTAATACCAGCAGCTTATTTATTTTTTGAGATAGAGTCTCGCTCTGTCACCCAGGCTGGAGTGCAGTGGCGTGATCTCAGCTCGCTGCAACGTCTGCCTCCCAGGTTCAAGCAGTTCTCCTGCCTCAGCCTCCCGAGTAGCTGGGACTACAGGCGCATGCCACCACGCCCAGCTAATTTTTGTATTTGTAGTAGAGACAGAGTTTTACCATGTTGGCCAGGATGGTCTCCATCTCCTGACCTGGTGATCCACCCTCCTCGGCCTCCCAAAGTGCTGGGATTACAGGCGTGAGCCACCGTGTCCAGCCCAGGAGCTTATTTTTTGTGACCAAAACAAAAATTATTGTAATTGCCAATAGATTAAATATATTGAGAGATTAAACACATGAAACAAAGTGAGAGACTTTGAGACAAAATTTTATCTTGGGCAACTCAAGGTTCCTCTCATCCTTATCTTGTTTAAGGTCTTTTTATAGGTTTTGAAAAAACATTGTTAATTCAAGCAATGGATAACATAAATAAGAACCTGGTTATTATATATATACATATAATACTATATATACATGCATATATATATACACACTATATGTATGTATATATAGTATTAGATATTAGAGAGAAGGTAAAGAAGGTATTAGAGATATGGTGAAGAACATATAGATTTCCTCTCTCCAGAAGTGAAAAAAAAAAGCAATCAGAAGACGAGGTGGTGGCCGGGCCCAGTGGCTCACTCCTGTAATCCCAGCACTTTGGGAGGCTGAGGTGGGTGGATCACGAGGTCAGGAGATCGAGACCATCCTGGCTAACACGGTGAAACCCCGTCTCCATTAAAAATACAAAAAATTCTCCGGGCGTGGTGGTGGGCACATGTAGTCCCAGCTACTCTGGAGGCTGAGGCAGGAGAATGGCGTGAGCCAGGGAGGCGGAGCTTGCAGTG
Source organism: Homo sapiens (assembly GCF_000001405.40). Classification (NCBI taxonomy): domain Eukaryota; kingdom Metazoa; phylum Chordata; class Mammalia; order Primates; family Hominidae; genus Homo; species Homo sapiens. The sequence goes on along the minus strand of NC_000010.11, from coordinate 93,394,533 downwards.
AGCCGAGATCGCGCCACTGCACTCCAGCCTGGGCGACAGAGCAAGACTCTGTCTCAAAAAAAAAAAAAAAAAAAAAAAAAAAAAAGACAAGATGGTGACCAAAGGAGATATAGTACAATTATAAATGTACATGGCTGGGCGCAGTGGCTCATGCCTGTAATCCCAGCACTTTGGGAGGCCAAGGTGGGTGGATCCTTTGAGGTCAGGAGTTTGAGACCAGGCTGGCCAACATGGTGAAACTCCATCTCTACTAAAAATACAAAAATTAGCCGGGTGTGGTGGCAGGTGTCTGTAATCCCAGTTACTCAGGAGGCTGAGGCAGGAGAATCACTTGAATCCTGGAGGTGGAGGTTGCAGTGAGCCGAGATTGCACCATTACACTCCAGCCTGGACAACAGAGCAAGACCCCATCTCGAATGAATAAATGAATGAATAAACAAATAAATAGCTATATGTGGCATTATTTTAAGCAAATGGTAGAAGGTAAGAAAGAGATTCCATCTGAATGTTCTCTGCTGAGTAGCATAGTGATTATAACACTGGAGCTGCAAGGAAGGAAATGTAATCACAGACCTTTCCTTTTCTCTGCAGAGAATATTTATATGGTTGCTAGAATGTAAGCACTATTTATTGTATTTTGATTTTTAAAATTTAACCTATAGCCAAAGCTCTGAACAAAGTGTAGATGTCATCACCCATTACAGTGTAAAAGTGTGGAAGATAGAGATGAGAAGCAGAAGGAGGAAGGGGAGTGGAGGTAGGGCAGGGGTGCTAATAGTCTCTTCTCTTCAAGTCAGGAATCTAAATATGACTATAGATGGAATCACAAAGGTGACCATTACACGAAATAAAAATCATGCTGGAACTATATGGGGGGAGGGTAAAGATGACTGAAATCCATTATTCATGAGAAGTCATTAAATAATATCTAAAGATAATTATTCAGAAATAGTGGCATAAGCATTTTGCTTAGTGACATGGTGGTAACATCCAGAAGAACTAAAAACAGAGATTGCTACAAGCAGTTTTAGCTTCTGTCTCTGGGGCCTCTCATTGCAGGCCCTGCAGACCATGGGGTTACAGGGCCTTAAAATAACAACGAGCTGTCAACATCGCCCTCCCCCCGACAAAGAAACAAACCATGCTTTCAATCAAATAATGTGCAATAAACTCCAGGCCTTTGCTTACACAGCCTCAGACCACATTTACTTGGATTTTCTGATGTTGGTCCCAACTAAGCCGTAAGATAAGTAAATGTTTTATTAAAAACGTGAAATGCTGGTAACTTCGCCAGGCCCCCTCTGTCCCCGGGAAGCTAGCTCTTCTGCTTCCTGGCTGCCTTGGTGCTGGGTGAGATTGAGTTATTCATGTGTGGTGGTTCTGCCCGGGTCATTTTGCATTTAACCGATGAGAATTGTATACATTACAAAAGGGTCATATGTGACTTGGGTCTGAATTTGGGATTTTTCTGGTGTTGCTAAATCACATACCTGGCACTGGATTTGATTAACGTTTTCAATGTCTGTTTTATAATGCCCGTGTTCTTCTTGTTTAACCAGTCATATTTTTACTATATAGATTTCTCATCTTCGGGAACTGGGGCTGCATCATATACAGGTTTATGCTTCGTAATTTTGCTCTCTGTTATATCTTCCTAGCTAATATTATCTTATTAAGAATGTATCGACTGTCTTTAGAACTTTTTTTTGACATTTTGCTGTCTCAACATAGTTTTGCTAAAGTAATAATTTTTGTGTAAGTGCCATACGGTTGTCCTGCACGGCTAAGCTTAAAAGAAATATGCTAACCAGGCTTTGCTCCATGTCCCATGCTTTCAGCTAAATGCACACCATCGTATTTGGCTTTATTGCAAATAATTGATTGTGAGATATAACATTTTCTGTTATTGTTTATGTTCAGTAAGTAGAGAAATGGACCACTAAATCAATTGTTCTGAAATGTATCAAGTAACTTTCCCCCAATTTCAACGTGAATCTCTAGGTTGAAAAATACTGAACGTTTTTTACTTTGCACCCTGAAGATCTTCACCTCCCCCAAAATGAGGGATCATAACACATTCTTTGGTTTGCACAGAACTCGTCATTTTTTGCAAGTTTGCTCAATACTGTCACACACTTGACCATCACAATTCTCCTAGGGCAGATGTTTTTGTTCCCCTAATAGATGAAGACTCTGAGGTTTAGAGAGGTTCATTATCTGTCAGATAAGCATGATTCGCCCTGCCATAATAATCTCCCAGGGTTGTGGTAAGAAGGGAAAGAGATATTGCATGTGGGAAAGCTTTGCAAACTCTGAAGCTGTGTGCAAATATAAGGTGATATCATGTAATTATGTAATTGACACAATGCCCAATTCTTATTTGCTTTAAACAATCTATTTCATTATAATCAGACTTTATATGAATATTAAGTAGTCCTTAGATTTGCAGTGGACTTGGCAGATGTGCAAGCACTTTATTCCTTTATTTGTTTAACCAATCAATGAATATTTATGTAGTAGTATCACATGATAGAACCAGTAGTAGGTGTTTAGGAAATCAAAATAAAACATACTTAAATCCTGCCACTCCCCCTGAAAAGTGATACTTTAGTCACAGAGATGTGCAGCTATGTAGGATTCTAGAAACTAAAACATACAGTAATTATTTGTAGGAATCCAAAACATGAAGGGGATTCAAAAAGGTAAAGGAGGCATGGAAAATATTGTTGGAAAGTGGGTTGTAGCTAGGTCAGAGGAAATCCTTGATGGCCAGGGTAAAGGATTTTTATTTTATTTTATATAGGCTTTTCAGCAAGGACATTGGGAAGTTTGATGTGTCCACTGTGCATTAAACGGACTAGGAAACTTTGGAGGCAGGAAGAGATTTAGCTTATGAGAGAATGGGTTTTCTTTTTTTGTTTCTTTCTTTTTTTTTTCTGAGATGGAGTTTTGCTCCAGTCAACCAGGCTGGAGTGCAATGGCATGATCTTGGTTCGCTGCAACCTACACCTCTTGGATTCAAGTGATTCTCCTGGCCCAGCCTCCCTAGTAGCTGGAATTACAGGCACCTGCCACCATGCCTGGCTAATTTTTTTTGTGTTTTTAGTAGAGATGGGGTTTCGCCATGTTGGCCAGGCTGGTCTAGAACTCCTGAACCTCAGGTGATCCGTCTGCCTCAGCCTCCCAAAGTACTGGGATTACAGGCGTGAGCCACCATGCCTGGCCTAGAGAATGGGTTATCCCAGGAGACTATACTAAGATGTGAGCACATAGAAGGAGAGTTCCTTCTGTTAATGCACAATGAAACAAGTCAAAGGGGTAACATACCAGAAAAGAGATTTGTTGGACAAAAATAATTAAGCCCCTGGCATTAAGCTGATATGCAGTGGATCATTCTTGACAATTTGTGTTTCAATCCCTGGGGATCTTTAACAAAAAGCAAATACACATGACAGCACAGTCATTCAAGGGAACCAGGTGGAGGAGAAGTGAGGTTAGACCAAAGGAATGGATGGGGTAGTGGAGGGTGTCCTTTTCTGAGCTTTGAAACTCAAGATCTGGGGTTAAATCTGCCAATTTGTGGGACTTTTGACAAGTTGCATCACTTCTGTGGGCTTTGGCTTGCCCATCCATAATGTGACATGACTATGGTGCCATAGCTTTAACATCCATTCTTACTGGAATATTCTGTGATTCAACTTCTTCCTCTTTTTTTTTTTTAAATCTTTTTTGTGTGTGATTCAGCTTCTAAAAATAACTTCCTTTTCTCTCTGTGAGTCTCTGCTTTAATTCTCTATTCGCACCCAACATCCCTCCACTAAAACAAAATATTCTAGCACACAGAAAGAAGTCCAAACCCTACTTATTAGTGATCAATTAATCGTCTTTGCAATGTTCCATATGCCACAATGGATAAAGCCAAGCCAATTTATATGTTCATGTATAATAGTCATTCCTCCTGTTTATCTGTCTTGAAGATGATAACATGATTCAGAGAAATCTCTGTTGGAGAAACTGTTGGTCCCTCTTTGTGTTTCATAAGAGATTTCCAAACAAGTGTGACATGTGGCATCCTAGGCTGTTACCAAGTCTCAACCTTAGGCTGCGTGCACTAGTTTTGTACATCTTAATTTTCTAAATTTTCATTTAAATGTTTCTTTTTTTCTTGCTGTCTTCACTGAGATTGCTATTCAGCTCTTTTCTGCCTGTGTCCATGATTTCTGTCTCCCCACAAATGTGTACACGCCCATTTAAACATGCAGAGAGCTTCACGTAATGAAAATGACTGTGCAGTATATGTCTATAGGGTTAGGTAAATTATTTATTAATGGGCATCATTCTGATGACGCTGCTCCACATTTATCTTTCTCCCTTAGTTTTAAGCATAGAGTTGGAAAGGGCCATAGATATGATCTGGTCAACCTCATCGATAGCAGGAATTATCCTGAGAACATGCTGAAAGATAGGCTGAAGCCTTTGCCTCAACATTTCTTCTAATTGTCCCTAATGCAGCCTGTCCCATTGTTTGTCATTTCGAATTCACAGAAAGTTCTGCCTTATACAGAGTGAACCAAAGCTGATCTCCCTGTAGCTCCCAGCAGTGGTCCTTACTCTGCTTCTGGAGACAAGTCCATCCCTCTCCCATGGGGGGCCATTCAGGCTATTGAAGGCAACTCTTATATTTCCCCACCCTCACCCGCAGTTTCCCCATTTTCAGCTATTTAATTATATTGCCCTTAGTGCCCTTCATTGAGGAGTTGTCTTGCTAAGACCAGGTAGCAAAAATAAGGAGCTTATCAGATGACCACCAGAGATAGAAAGCAATGAATGGGAATCTTCATGTCATTTATGAATATCACATGGTCTTACAACCACAGGCAGGCAGTTTATTATTACATATAAAATTTAAAAATGTCTTATATTTTTAACAGCATCTGCTAGAGTTATACTAACTACTGAAGATTAAATGACACTTTAGAAGAACAAATAAAGTTCATAAAATATGTCATTTAAGTGACTTCCCAAAACAATATAATCTTTTGCCCCAATTGGCAATGGCATGTTTAATACAATGCCCATTATAAACTTGCAAAAATGTGAAGGTCAACTTCAAAGTCTAATTGCTCTTTATTTAAATAGCATTATCTTTTTATAAAAATAAGTTTATCTGCGCTACCCCCAAATGTTTTTATTTAATATTTTATGTAGCAATAAGAAAAGAGAAATATGGCAAACCTCATGGTGCTTACAACTTGCATTAATACAACTAACTCCCAAAATGGAGGAAAATAGTCTCACCTAACTAACTAATAACTAATATTTATTTCAATAGATTGAATGTTAAAAGCCTAACACCTCATGATGATGTTTCTCTCTCAGTAAACACAGGAGAAACAGAGGTAGGCTTTGTTCCAACGTTTGGACCTTGTTACCTGAATCTTTATGGAAGCCCCAGAGAGTACACGGGATTCCCAGACCCCTATGATGAGCTGAATACTGGAAAGGTTGGTTTCTCAATTAAGGTGGTTATTAATCAGCATTGGTTAAGGTGATTATTTCTTCTTATAATGTCTGATCAAGTATTGCAGGATAGAAGTTTCATACTCCCTAAGACTTAGAATGCAAAGATAGGAAAAGACTGTGGAGATCATCTCACTGGGGGATGGCCAATGGCCAATGGCCATTTCCCCCAACTTCTATGCTTATGGTAGACATCAATAATCAATGCTGGCTCTCTTTCCTAATAAGCCCCTGGGCTGCCTTGGAATTCTTTTCAACATCATATTCCAGGAATTTACCAAGCACTAGGCAGTGGCATGCACCCTGAAACCCTTTATTACCCTTGATCTGATCAATCCTTTCATTTCATAGATGAAGACATGGAAGCCCAGAGATGGGAGATGCTCTTTTTACCACAACAGAAGCCAAATGTCTTTTAGGTTATCTCCCAAGGCTCAAGAAAGAGACCAAGCTAGAGAGAAAAAGCCCTCAGAGGGGAAGGGTAAAAGACTGGCTGTGGAGGTGGGGACCCTTCCGTCCTTTCCAGAAGGTTCTATTGCCAGCACTGCTGGGTATGGTGGGAGAAGTATCCACTCTTCATCCTCAGGCTCAGCTGCACCCAGAACTTCTTCCTCCTACATCTTCCTCCTTTACTTCCTGGCTATTCTGAGACTTGCCCTGGTTGCCAGCATGGCAGCCTCCCTATTCTGAGAAGAGGAGAAAAGCAGCCAAGTTAACCCAGATAAATGCAGAGCTTCCCTGCTGAAGTACGGTGAAGGGAGACTTAGAGCCCCATCCACCCCCCACCCCCCACCTCCCAGCCTCCACAAACTCCTTCTGGAGCTAGAGCATGGTTTGAAGACCTCTGACCTTGGTCACAGCTAAGATCTTTTTCAGCCCTAGCATCCCAAGGTACTCTTTGAGATCTGTCCTAAAGCCAATGGCTCTCTTTCAAACACCAGAGACCTGAATCCAGCTGGGAGAGTTGCCGACTGATTCATTTCGAAGGTTAGGGCCATGGGAAGGAGAAACTTTTTGCAGTTGTATTAGCCTGACTAGAGACACAGAATTCTTTTTGCTGTTGCTGCCTAGAGGAATAATCCTGGATTATTGCCTTTCAGGGGGAAGGAGTTGCCTACAGAGGCAGGATCTTGGTTGAATTAGCCACTTTTCTTGAGAAGACACCACCAGATAAAAAGCTTGAGCCCATTTCAAATGATGACCTGCTGGTTGTTGAGGTAAATGTTAAAGTGTGAGTAATGCATGGTATAGAAAAGGAGACCTCCAGGGACTGAAGGGGTAGCTGGGGGAGTCGGAAGGCAACCCAACTCACAATGAGGCCCTCATCTGGATGTTTCTACAACAGCCCTATGAGGATCGCTTCATCCTTTGAGATGTTAATACCCTATTGAAAACTGGCAAGAACACTGATACCCACAAACTGAATGACCTGTTTGCTAACTGGCGTTGGGGGTCATGGGGAAGTGGCCATAACAGCCACTTCTTGCTGGCACCAAGAGCTGTAGGTGCCACCTCTACTCATTTCCATTTTCAGAGGTGGCTGGTGGGCCTCAGGCTTCCCAGCACAGGAGGGCAGGTGTGCTGAGGGCCCACACTGCAATGGCTGTGAACCCCGCTTCCTCCTTGAAGACAGGAAATCTTCCCAGTTGACTTCCCCAACCATTTCTGAGAATCCAGGTCGATGCCTGTGTGTTCCACAAATCTGAATCATTTGCCAGCACAGCCAGCTCATGGATGCCCCTCTGCCCGCGGCCCTCCTTGCTGGGTTGCAAATCACCGCCAGCCCCCCAGCTGCCCCAGGCTGCTGTTGCCCTCTGTTCCAAGCACACAGGACAGGCCCTGCCCTGATTTCACCACTTTACAGCAGAAACCAAACAGCAACTTTTAAAAAGCTTTCACTTTCAGTTTTTGGGATAAGAATACGAAAATACAGTAAAAAGGGTGACAACGTGGTTGCGAAATGTGGCTATTCTCAAAGCTCATGGGGTCAGGCTGGTGTTCTGGGTCCCTGACAGTCAGCCTTCCTGTCTACTCGCAGCCTGTCTCCTTGTGGCAGGACTGGGTTCTCCATGCTCTCCCCCAAACTCCCGTGGTACCCAGAACACGTTTTCATCTGAGTCCAGGCCCAACTGCCGTGAGTTCTCCAGCGAGCCAGGGCCTTCTCCCTCTAGTCGTCTGATGTCTGCCTGTTACATCTGCCCCCTTTGCAGGATGATTGACAGGGAGAATAGCCACACCCTTTAACAGAAACTATCCCTTCTTCCCCAGAGCAATGTGGCCTTGCTCATTGACTCCCAGAAGGCAGCCGTATCAGGAGGTTAGCATCCAAAGCAGTCTGTTCTGGATTCCTCAGCCTTTACATGTTGGGAACATCTGTGGTCCAGTGCTTGAGCTGCACCAATTTCATTCCTGTCTCCTCCTTTGAGAGGAAAGGAGCAGGCTCCTGAGACTGCCCTCTCTCCACCCCCCAGCCTCAGGAAGGAACCTAGCATCACCACAGCAGCAAGCCACGGGGCATCCGTGTAACTTCACATGGGGAAAATAAATAGTTCTTCCCCATGAATTACTACAGCAAAGATGATCATTTGTTTTGTTTTTTTACTAAAGAGACACGGAGCCAAAAGTCAATAAGGTCCTGGTCATAGTCTTTCTATTCCACAACATTACCCACTCTGAAGTCCAGGAATTGCAATAGATCTTGAGGAAAAATTAAGAAAAGGAAAAAAGAGGGCGGGAGAGTGAGAAAAGGGACAGTTTGCATGCTAGTTACAGCCAGGATCATGCAAAAGAATAGCCAGAAACCACTTGGAGGCCTCCGTGGAGACACATGGTGGTTCTTGACTTGAGTAGTTACAGATTGGAGTTAGCTCTTGAAATATTGGTTGGAATTCAGGGTTATTCAGAAATGCCACCATGGACACTCAACCATTATAGTACCTCTTTTATTTGGTTCCATCACCAGAATGTAATTTAAGTTCATGCTGCTTCTCTTTGTTTTAAATAACCATAGTTGCAGGGAGAAGGAGAAAGAGGCCCAAGAAAATATTTTTTAAATGCTTTATTAACTGGAATGCAAAACCAAATTAGTTTTCTTCACTGCAAATAGTTAAACACATACAGGCAAAGAAGCTTATTTCATTAATTTAGTGTAAAAGCAAAAAAAAAAAAAAGTCAACAATATATATTGCCCACAGTATATGTCAACAGAATAAAAGAACAGCTTTTTATTGACTGGTAAAACAGAATTCATTTTCTTTGCTCTAAATTAAACACAGACAGCAAAATAGCTCATCTTTTTAATTAAATAAATATAAATCAAAAGTGAAATGAAGCAAAAATTTTAAAAACCTAACAGTGTTACAGAATAGGAGAGAAATGAGGATTCTGAAGACATAGCCACACTTCAAGCAACAGGAGCCCCAGGAGAGAGTGAAATGAGCAGATCTGTGCACCTGCCAGAAGGACTTAACGAATGCAGTCAACCTACAAACATGCTCATGACCCTTGTCTGTCTTGCAAAGGTCCTCTGTTCTGGATTATGTGCAGCTAACAAAACTTTTTGGTAAAGCTAAAGAGGCTGCAACAAATGGGCAAATTTTTTGCCAAACTGCCAAGTGCTCCCCATCTTTCTAAAGCAGAGCTGAGCTATTGCTCCCGGTGGGCCTGGTCAAGAGAGGCTGCAGTGCAGGAGGGATGCAGCAGATTCAGCCTGGCCACTTCCACAGTAAGAATCAGGCAGACAGAAGATCAAGTGTTGCCAACCCAGTGTTATTCTAATACCCGCTGGCTTCTGGAACCTCTGCCCTGCCACTAAAGGACTCCATTTTTTGTCTCCAGGATCAAGAGTCTGTTCTTGGACTGCTTTCTCCCTGCTCCTCTTTCCCCATTTTCCTTGGATGTGACCGAATGTATTTTGGGAGCATTCTATGCACTTGCATTCTCTCTCCTACTCAACTACAATCTCCTTGAGAGCTCTCATTGGTCTGGCCCACATTAAGGGCTCAAAAATATTGCTAGAAACAGCACCTTCAGGTTCTTCCAGCTGCTCCATCAGGTATCAGCTCCCTTCAGTAGACATACCGAAGGTGGCATGCTGGGCAGTGTTCATTGGTACCTGATCTTGTCACTGACCTTTAATGTCCCATGCCTTGTGTGTCCACAGCCACTTTCAACAACTCTTAGCCCTTATCGGTATCTTGCTTGACAGAAATCACCTCCTTTTGCAAATCGACTGCTGAAACTCTACTTTATACCACCTTATCCACAAGGTGCACTAGTCACTGATGATCAGAAAGAGAGCCCCAAGGCCCTAACCCCACCTAAGTCCAATAGACTACAACTTACATTCTTCTTTTTTTTTTTTTTTTCTGAGACAGAGTTTCACTCTTGTTGCCCAGGCTGGAGTGCAATGGTGTGACCTTGGCTCACTGCAACCTCCACCTCCTGGGTTCAAGTGATTCTCTTGCCTCAGCCTCCTGAGTAGCTGGGATTACAGGCACCTCTCACCATGCCCAGCTAATTTTTTGTATTTTTAGTAGAGATAGAGTTTCACCATGTTGGCCAGGCTGGTCTCAAACTCCTGACCTCAGGTAATCCGCCGCCAGCCTCGGCCTCCCAAAGTGCTGGGATTAAAGGCGTAAACCACCACGCCCAGCCCAATTTATATTATTTCATTTTCTCTTGTTGTAGGCAGATCTTGTCCCAGGCTCTGTACTTCTCTGAATGGTGTTTATTGTTCCTTCCTCTCTCTACCTCTTTGTGCCCTGAGGGCAGAGAGGAAGTGGGAAAGGTCTGAGGGAGCGGCAGAATTCTCAGCTGCCTGAATCATCGAGGGTAGCCTGGCTCTGGCACAGGTGAGCAGATGGTAGCGTTGCCCCTCCTGGAATCTGGGCTTGCACAGTGATCCAGCGGCTCCATCTTCAGCGGCTTGCTCATAGTGAGTCCCTTCTCTGTTGGGAATTGTGCTGATGGCCAGAAGCCCAAACTATTGCTTTTAGGGCTCAGACTCTCCAGGGTGAGGGTCCTATCAGGGATTCTGTGGGTCATTTTGCAAGCTCTGCGTGAGAGCATCCATGGGGTTCTAATGGAATCCTGGCTATGTGGAGGCCTACGGGGTAGAGCCGGCCCAGCTGGGAGTATCATCCCCGTAGTTCCCACCCCACCTCCAAGCCTCCCCATGATCCTTCTCCATCCTGTGCAGTCCCTGGCTTAACAGATGGCTCTGGCTTAAATACCGGTCATTTTCTCCTGGGTCCTGACTCAGGCCACAAATTATGTTTCCTATTTTTAGCTCTTTCCCTTTTCTCCTATCATCCTAGTTGGTTTACAAAGAAGTTATGCTGTATGTAGTTATGACTAATCCAAATAACTTCCTACTTTTTCATTTTGACACAATTCAAACCCAAACCCAGAATTTCCACATCATTCTGGACCACGGGTATTCCAGGGGGCTTCGCTGTGGGTAGTTAAGCAGAGCTCTTGACAAGTAGCGTGCACCCCCAATCCTCCCTTATCAAGGTGACAGTGGACTAAGCTAGGGAGGCTTTTAGACTCACAATGCTCCCGTCAAAGCTTCCTCAGGTCATTCAATGTGCAGCTCAGGTTACAAACCAGTGTTTAGAGAGACTTTTTAGAAAGATTGAGGCCTAGAGGGGATTTGACAAAACCCTATTGGAGGGTTCTATTATACCATGTCAAAAACTCCTTTAACCAAAATGGAGACTCTGTAATAGAAGGATGTCCAGGGGTTCTTCAAGACCACAAGCTTCAGTCACTGTCAGAAGTTCTTAAAACAGTCCTTAAAAATTTAAAAATTCCAGCCAGGCACGGTGGCTCATGCCTGTAATCCCAGCACTTTGGGAGGCCGAGGCAGGCAGGTCACTTGAGGTCAGGAGTTAGAGACCAGCCTGGCCAACTATGGTAAAACCCCGTGTCTACTAAAAATACAAAAATTAGCCAGGTGTGGTGACACACGCCTGTAATCCCAGCTACTTGGGAGGCTGAGGCAGGAGAATCACTTGAATCCAGGAGGCAGAGGTTGCAATGAGCCGAGATCAAGCCACTGTACTCCAGCCAGGGTGACAGAGCGAGACACAGTCTAAAAAAAAAGAATTAAAAATTCCACTTCTGGGTATATACCCAAAATAATTGAACGCAGAGACTGGGTACCACCAGAGTTCTAGAATAGACACAGGATGCGGATCGTATTGCATGGCAGAATGCACGGGACATAATGAAACACAGCAACCTAAACCATTGCATGGCTCTTTGGTAAAAGAAGGCACAGTGCCTGAAGATCTGTGGAGATATGGCTCATAAAGAAGGAGATATGCCAGCTGAGCAAGGATTTGGGGCAGGATATGGATTCAAGAGATTTTATGTGCCCATGAAGGAAGGCTTGAAGGGCTCATGGTCATTTCTGGTAGGCTGATAGGCACTCAATGTGGTTATCGTTGACCCTATCTTCAACTCTCTTAGTAAACCAGTAATTTAAAAAGAAAAAGGAAGGTTTAATTTCCCATTTCAATTTAAAATAAATTTACCCAGTTTCCTTATTTTTATTTACATCTGACATGAAAATCTTTATTGTTATTTCTGATTAGAAAATCAATAGTTTAGCTGGGTGCAGTGGCACGCACCTGTAGTCGCAGCTAGTTGGGAGGCCAGAGGGTCACTTGTGCCCAAGAAGTCGAAGCTGTAGTAAGCCGTGATCATGCCATTGCACTCCAACCTAGGTGACAGCATGAGACCCTGTCTCAAAAAAAAAGAAAATAGAGAAAAAAAAATTAATGCTTCATTCAAAATCATTAAAAATGTATAAGTTAGAAAGTAAAGTTTGCCATAATCTCTCTACCTTCTTCAACATAACTACTGTTAACAATTTGAGTTATATTCCTCCAGACCTTCTTTATGAATATGCCTTTATGAATATTAAAATATCTATTTAATAGATTTACTTAAAATATACTCTCTTTTTTTGAGATGGAGTCTTGCTCTGTCACCCAGGCTGGATGCAGTGGCACGATATCGGCTCACTGCAACCTCTACCTCCTGAGTTCAAGAGATTCTCGTGCCTCAGCCTCCCGAGTAGCTGAGATTACAGGTGTGCACCACCACGCCCAGCTAATTTTTGTATTTTTAGTAGAGACAGGGTTTCACCATGTTGGCCAGGCTGGTCTTGAACTCCTGACCTCAAGTGATCCAACCACCTCGGGCTCCCAAAGTGATGGGATTACAGGCATGAGCCACCGTACCCAGCCCAAAAAATATACTCTTTTTTCATGGTTGCACATATGGACCTAATTAAGTCTTTTTATGAACCTTCATTCTATTTTATGGATATAACATAACTTGTTTAACAAGTGGTCTACTGAAAGACTTGTGTACTGTTTTCATTTCTTCCCCTCCATTTCAATCAATGCTGCCAGGAACATCCTAGTGCTTCTATCTTTGCTCACTTGTATGAGTGCAAGAGGAACAGCTGGGTCCAAGAACATTCTCCCCTGTCATTTAATTCAGCACTAATTATTAGGTGTAGAATTGCGTCTCCTAGAAATCCACATGTAAATAAGAACAAATGGCCTTTCACTGAACCTTATGTCTGCTCATACTTTATAGAAATACCAGCGAAGGCGGAAGTACAGCCTGTCTGCCGTGTTTCATTCAGCCACCATGTTGCAAGATGTTGGTGAGGCCATTCAGTTTGAAGTCAGCATTGGGAACTATGGCAACAAGTTTGACACCACCTGTAAGCCTTTGGCATCAACAACTCAGTACAGCCGTGCTGTATTTGATGGTAAGATTGGCACTAACAGTTCTCTCCACACGTTTACAATGGGTGCACCACGGGACCGGAAGCAAGCACTGTGTCTTCCCTCTGGCACTGTTCTACGCAGCCTATGGTTAGTGGAAAGGAAAAGGTTGAATGAGGAAGAGAGTGTGGTTGGGGTTCAGGCACCTTAAAGACTGGCCAGACCCAAGAAGTTGCAGGTCCCATTGCCAGAGGCTGAACCCCAATGCTACCCTCTCCCCACCCAGCTTTAACAATGGTTTTGCCATGTAAGACCCCAAGGTAGCCACTGTGCTAAGTTCTGAGCTCCGCAAAGCAGCTCCTACCCCTACGAAGCCCCAAATCTTTCTTAGGCTGAGTAGTGGAAAATGAATGGGACTCTGGATCAGCTACTGGGAAATCATGCTTCTGGTCTTCACTCTGTTACTCACCAGCTTGTGACCTTAACCGTGTCACTGAATTCTAACCCTCAGTTTCTTCGTCTTCTCTGGAGTTGACATGAGGATTAAATAGCTGTATTTGAACAAAGATGGGTGAGAAACAGTCCCTGATTTTAAGGAGCTTACATTCTAGTGTATAAAATAAATCATAATAGAAAGCAAAGTATGAGAACTTCCAATAAAACTGTCAACAAATGGTTTGAGAGTACAGAGAAGGGAGAGAGGAATACTGATCAAATTTCCCAACAGTATTGCCAGAGTTTTAACTTAATTTTTGTACAAGCAGTTTTAAAATGTAAGACATCCTAGGAAACATCAGCTAATAATTCTTAATCACAGTAAGGCTCTAGTACCAAACCCTATGTAGCCAGCTAAAGCTTTCCAAGAACAGAAAATTCTTTTCTTTTGCCCCAGTTCCAACAAAAACATTTATTTAGAATAACAGTTTTTAGGGACTAACATGTTCAGTCTAGCTTCCTATGTCATCTGTATTTTCTACTACCACGTTAAGAAACCATCTTTGATGTTCAGATGCATGGCCCTGAATCACTAAACGATCCTGAGATTGCTGTGCTCAGTTTACTAGGGTGTCTCAGAGAAAATTTCAGAACAGCCTGAATGAAAAAGAGCTTCCTAGTCTTCAGTTGCTTAATTGAGTCAAATTAAAGAACCAGACCACCTCAAGCTATTCCCCAAGCCTGTGGATTAATCAGCAGCTCAGTCTGCACATCTCTTTAATAAACATGCTGTCTATTTTAAGTGTTCAGTGTTCATTGACCCCCAATGTTTTATACCAGGCAACTACTATTATTACTTGCCTTGGGCCCACACCAAGCCAGTTGTTACCCTGACTTCATACTGGGAGGATATTAGTCATCGCCTGGATGCGGTGAACACTCTCCTAGCTATGGCAGAACGGCTGGTAAGTTTCTCTTTTTCTGCATTTCCTTTTCACCAAGCAGGGTGAATTAGGTATTAGGATGGAGGCCAGGCCACTATAACACAAGAAAGTGCTTAGTACAGTGATCAATAAGGTAAGAGCAATGTCTCTAGGAACAGTGGAGGTAGATGGTCCTAAGTTAGTATGGAGGTTCAGTGGTATTGGAGACCCAGGCTCTTACCCCCGGTTGCTCTGCCATCACTCAGGAGTTATCATTGTCTGCATGGTAGAGGCAGCTCACTACTACATCTGCCCTCCAGCCTGAGGGGAGGGCTGGTAAACAGTGGGGAGAAGATGACATAGGCCTTTCTCTTGAAGGGAAGGATGCAGAAGTCATACTCTTAATTTCTACTCACTTTCCACTGGCCAGAATCCAGTCATACAGCCACATGTGACTCCAACGAAGGTGGAAAATGTTAGTCTTATGCCTGGGCAGGCATATGCCCAGATAAAAATTTTCTTACTTTGGAAGAGGGGAGGATTAAAAAGGTAGGAGTGGGGTGGAACAGGAACTCATAGTTTCTGCCGTAATTTTTGTGTAGAGAGAATGGTTCATTCCAATAGCAATATGAAACTCTGAGAACTTTGCAGTGGAAATCTCCACTGCAGGAAGAGGTAGCTTTGAGGAACCAGTGTCTGACACATTCCACTCTTGCTGCAGACTAGAGGAACTTCTTTTGTTTGGAGGTTGGGGATTTCCTTGGGTGAAAACTGCATACATATGATATCTGTGATTATCTGTCTAGTTGACATTGGTCAACTAGATTGGTGAGGAGAAGGGGGATATGTCTGTGATATTTCTAATTAAGCAAAAATACTAAGTTACTTGGGCCAGGTGCAGTGGCTCACGCCAGTAATCCCAGCACTTTGGGATACCAAGGTGGGCAGATCATTTGAGATCAGGAGTTAGAGACCAGCCTGGCCAGCATGGTGAAACCCTGTCTCTACTAAAAATACAAAAGAAATTACCTGGGCATGGTGATGTGAGCCTATAATCCCAGCTACTAGGGTGGCTGAGACAGGAGAATCACTTGAACCCGGGAGACGGAGGTTGCAGTGAGCCAAGATGGCGCCATTGCACTCCAGCCTGGACAAATTGAGACTCTGTCTAAAAAGATAAATATATACATATATATATATATATATATATACACACACACACATACACACACACATATACACATATACTAAGTTACTCCTATCAGGTAGTGCTAAAATCCATCTGGCATTGGTGTTTTGATTTCAACATTATGTTAATATTAATTTTTTAAAGATCTAATCTCTACCAGGGCTGGACCAAAACATATGGGGTTTCAGGAGTATACTTGATCTAAAACTCGACGGCAAAATCTGAAATATCATTTTATGTTATAAAGGCAATCTGGGAGGATAACTATAGGTTTAAATTGACTTAATCATAACTGTCCTGAAAATAAAGTTGCAATTGATAGGCAATGTACATCTCAAAGGCATTTGTGGAGAATTAGTTGCACCTGTGTTCTAATTGTGTTTGAGATGCTCTTCAGCAATTTTCATCCTGGTTCTTCTTATCAGCTCTCTCCACTGACCAGGCTGCCTAATCTGGACAGGATGGTGGCTTTCCCTTTTCCCTGATTAGGACTTTTGACAGTCATGGTAGGCTCTTCCTCAACTTCTCTGTTGGCAGGTGCTCAATGGAATAGAACCATATGTTTTGAGCTTATCTTGTACTTTCTCTGCCCCAGTCCGTAAATCGCTATTTCTCCAAGCAGCTTTTTCCTTTGAGTGGGGAATAGCATTTTAGAAACAAAATCTGGGTATACAGTGCTCACTACTACTGAAATATCATTGCTTCTAGGCCTTCTCAGCAAACGAATTTGCACAGACACATGTATGTCTATTTATTTCTATATCTATCAATATATTAAAAGCTATGACTTCATAAAGATACTTCCAATTCCAGTCCAATACCACAAGGTTTATCCTAGTCCTCTGTATTTCTATGTCTCTAACTTTCTTCTCCAACAGTGAGAAATCTGGCCTTTGTTATCCTCAATATATTTACTCCTTGGTTCAATCCTAAAATCTGTAGATAAACCACTGTGAAAAATAAGCCTACTAATTAGAGTTCAATATGTTTATGGGTTTTTTTTTTCTGCCTTTTAACAAAGTGTACATAGTCAAAATACTGTGTTCCAAAAGTTACTTGGGTTAGTTTAGTGTAATTATGTTATTCATCTGAAATGTAATTAGATCTGTTTTATTTCTGGTTATATTCCACTTTAGGGTTCCCTCTCCTATCTTTGCTGGTTTCATTTTATTTGTTTTTTGAATATACAAAAATATTTACATGATTTCACAGGTTAAACTATATGAAAAGGTATAATGGCATAATGAACAATTATCAATTATTTCCTCTCTTTTCAAATTCTTCAGCAAACAAATATAGAAGCTCTAAAATCAGGGATACAAGGTAAAATTCCTGCAAACCAGCTGGCTGAATTGTGGCTGAAGCTGATAGATGAAGTTATAGAAGACACGAGGTACAGTGATCTTACGCCTATCTCAGAATTTTCATCCAGGCGCTCCTCCCTGAAATTCTAAGACTGTAAATCCTGTGGAATTGTTTCTAGTGTTTGTCTAAGAAGTGATTTTGAATTATTCAAACTTCGTAAAAAGTCCTCACTGGGAGGAGTGCCTGAATCACCACCAGGAAAAGCTCCACTTTCTGATTTGGTGCCAGTTCTCAAGTAGCCTAGGGAGGCTGAGGCCCCACTCCCAGAAGCACGTCCCAGGCAGCCTCAGGCAAGGGATGGGGAGCGGAGAAAGAAGCAAGCCTGAGCCTCTGCTTCTCATCAACCCAAGAATGACCCCCACCCTGGAGAAGGGTGACTTCTGGCTCCTACGGAGAATGGGATCTGGGAGTGGAGCATTGATTTTACCATTCAGAACAATATCTCTAATTCATAAACATATTTTTAGAAACAGCCCTTTTACTTGCTCTTTTACTGAATGCCTGATGAACACTGTGGCCAAGCCTCTGTTAGGCAAAACCAGTAGATTTGACTTGAACCAGCGGACCTTTCATAACTGATTCGGGGAAACAGCTCAGATCTTTTAGCATATGGAAATCAAAGGGGGAAGTGATTCGTTCCAAACTCATTTTAAATATTGGTTAATAAAGCAGTGGACAGGGAAGTTCCGAAAGAAAAGCATATTGAATGCTTTCCACAAGCAAAAAGGCCTTTATTCCCCACACTGGGCTAACACCCTAAGTCACCCTGTCTTCTTGTGCCTCCTAGTGGTAAAGCCAGGTAATTGAAACGCAACCAAAATCAAAGTACTGCTGGGGTGCTTGTTTAAGTTCTGAATGTTAGAGCTGGGTCCTAAGGGATCATGTCCTTCAGTCTCCTTATCTTGTAAATGAGAAAACAGAGGCCCAAAGAGGAGAAATGACATATCTGATGCCCAGAGCTGGGTTTGCCAACTCAGCCCCTCTTCCTGCCATGTATTTCACAGTAGACATCTATTTGTTCAAGGCCCCAAGTGTGACTTTTGAACTAACAGCTTCCAGATATCTTTTTGCCTCAAAGTCTCACTCTGGGGAATTAACCCTTCAAATACAATGCCGTAGTTATTTATGAAACCAAACAGAAACATTTGGTAATAACTTTCATGGAGAAATTGTCTGTGAATTTTAAGATTTGCAGAGCAAACCACAGTCATCTATTTATACTTCTGATATGAGCTGTTTTTGAGGAATCAAATTGGAATCTTTCTAAACTTTATGTAACAGGAAATTCAGTGTCTAAGGGAAGTTGTGCTAGGATTTTCTTCATTGAAGAAGCTAGGTGAAATTCAAGTGAGTGGAAATTCTAGGTAAGGACACTGTGAATCAGAGCTTCGTGAACCTGGTGGAAATCCTCACCCTGTGTCCCACCAGATGCCATGGTGGGAGGCAAGGCCTGGCAGCAGAAGGCTAATTCTGGCTCTAGCTCAGCCATTCTCAGGAACCCTTGGGGGTCTCATCACAACACATCCAAGTTCTCATATTGAATGGAGATTTGGCCTACATGGTTGGTTCATAAATCTTTCTGGAGTTCATGGGCCCCTTTGAGAATCTGATGAGATGATGGTGATAATAAAGATGACAACGAGATGATGATGAGGATGGCAACATTGTTTAGACGTTGCTATGCAACTATTCTAAATCCTTTCCATACAGCAACTCATTTCCTTCTCACAACAGCCCTAAAAAGCATGTCCCACATTTGAAAATAGGAGGACAAGGAAGTAAGTGACTGGTCAAGACAATAGAACTAGTAAAGAATGGAGCCACGATTAGTACCCAGGTTGTTGGCTCCAAAGCCTATGTTCATCATTACATCACACTACGTGTTGACACAGATAGACACAGTTTTCTTTATAAGTTCCAGAGTTTCACAGACCTTCGAGACCCACCCATAGATTGCTTAAAGGCCCAGGATTCCCTAAGTTAAGTATGCTTCAGCTAAATGGTCTCTAGCCTCCCTTCTTCTTCCATCATTTTGTGGTTCTGTAAAATGATTCTAGGAAGCAAAAGAAGGGAAAGCCAGTTTCTCTCAGCTGCCACTGTTTCCATCTTCTTTCCAGTGACTCCTTGGGCCGTAGGTTAAACCCTAAGGCCTAAAATGGCTTTGGGATTTTAATCTCCCTGTATTCCTTATGAACATCAAGAGACCGGCAGGTCTGCTCTGGCAATGCCAGATACACTCTACTCCAGCGTAAACCAGGCAGTGCTTGTAGATTCAGTTAGGAGGTTGATGTGGTTTGCAAGATGGAAATCCAACATAAATGTATTTGACAGTTCTGAAGCCTAAAATTAGGTTATTCTTCAAATCCTCTGTTTCTTTTTTTCTTCATTTTTCTAGATACACGTTGCCTCTCACAGAAGGAAAAGCCAACGTCACAGTTCTCGATACTCAGATCCGAAAGCTGCGGTCCAGGTCTCTCTCCCAAATACATGAGGCGGCTGTGAGGATGAGGTCGGAAGCCACAGATGTGAAGTCCACACTGGCAGAAATTGAGGACTGGCTTGATAAATTAATGCAGCTGACTGAAGAGGTAGGACTTTTAAACTACACAAACGTCACCTGATATGGAAGAAGGGCTCTGCGAAATGGCACCAAGAATAGGATGGTGGAAAGAGAATCTACTACATTATCTTGGATATTGAGCAGCTCTGACAGATTGTAAAAATCAGGGAGTAACTGGGCTGAGGATGCTAATGATGAATGTGATTGAAATCAGAGCAGGGGAAGAATTTTGAGTTGGTGATCTTGGAAATGTCTTCAAAAGTGGACAAATCATTATCATTTTCATGGTACTGTCGGAGAATATTTTGAATGGTCTTTGCAGTTCACAGGATTAAAATGTCAGCTTTGGCTGGGGTTGGGAAGACCTGAATTTGAACCTTGGTTCTACCATGTATAACATTGGGCAAGTTATTCAACCTCTCTGAGCCTCAGTTTCCCCATCTGTAAAATGGAGATAAACATAGCACTTACTAGTTAGCTTTGTTGTGTGAAGATTTTAAAAAGATGGTGGGTGTACAAATGTCCATGAATGATAGACTGGATTAAGAAAATGTGGCACATATACACCATGGACTACTATGCAGCCATAAAAAAGGATGAGTACATGTCCTTTGCAGGGACATGGATGAAGGTGGAAACCATCATTCTCAGCAAACTATCACAAGGACAGAAAACCAAACACCGCATGTTCTCACTCATAGGTGGGAACTGAACAATGAGAACATTTGGACACAGGGTGGGGAACATCACACACCGGGGCCTGTCAGCGGGATAGGGGGCTGGGGGAGGGATAGCATTAAGAGAAATACCTAACGTAAATGATGAGTTGATGGGTGCAGCAAACCAACATGGCACATGTATACCTATGTAACAAACCTGCACATTGTGCACATGTACCCTAGAACTTAAAGTATAAAAAAAAATGGTAGGTGTAAAGGGCTTAGCACAGTTGAGGGCATACAGTAAGTGCTGGATAAATGCTGGCCTCCACTAACTTCGGTGGACTAGAAGAATGAGGAAGTAAGGAGACGACTCCTCCTGTCTCTCAGAAATCAGAGGGTTGGGTAGGTAGTCATATATTTGTGGGTAGAAATACGCTTGAAAAAGCACACAGGATTATAGGTAATTTCATTTTCTACTTTGTATGCTTTGGTACTTTCACAGTGTTCTATAGTGGACTTAGGCAGTTTTTTTATACCACTGTGTGCCAATAGGGACATTTGCATATCCAGCTCTGGAAGCTGGATTATCTTCTTTATAATAAAAAAAGAGGTTTTTGAAAACAAAATTAATATTTCAGATTTGACAAATATTGGATGGTGAGCCAGAGACTCTTTATCCTGTAAAATATATGCAATCTGTAACCTTTTGACTGCTGCTGGTGGCTTTCTTCAAATGATGCTTGAGATAAGATGGAATATTTTCTAAGATACCTCCCAGAGAAGAGTAGGAGGGACTTTTGCTAGGTGAAGCTGCGCCTCTGCTTCTCGCCCTTCCCTTTGGCCAGCCACAGTCTGCCTCCCAGCCCTGCAAACTCACAGTGCGGTCCTAGAAGATGGGAGCTCAGGAATTTGAGACAGAGCCCTAACCACAGCGTTTCTTTGCTAAATGAATCCCTGAGGGTCCAGCCTGCAGGGTCTTCGGTCCCTCTCCATTTAGACTAACCATGGCTGTGCTTCCTCTTCCATCCAATCCTCATGACCAGCCACAGAACAGCATGCCTGACATCATCATCTGGATGATCCGGGGAGAGAAGAGACTGGCCTATGCACGAATTCCCGCACATCAGGTCTTGTACTCCACCAGTGGTGAGAATGCATCTGGAAAATACTGTGGGAAAACCCAAACCATCTTTCTGAAGGTACATATCTTCACTGTGTCATGTGAAACACACTAAATGCAAAAGCTGTATTCCTGAGAAGGGTCTGCTTTATATCATTTGCAAATCATTGAATGGTAAGGGTGATTGGGATCAATTCTAGCCCATCCTGGTCCCTCTCTCTGGGGCAATAATTCTGAGAGAGAGTGATCTGAGGTTGGCCAGCTTTCAATCAAGGACACCTCCTTAGATGTCTTTGTGACATTAATATAAACATGGCATTGTGAATGCTTTGCTTTCTGGCATGAATATTTCACTTCTAATATTTCACACAAGGCAATGCCTTTCTTCCTTTCATTCTAGTGAATGTTGGGGAAAGAAAGAGAAAGCAGTAGGGATGGTTCATGGAATCTGTTGCTCTAACCTAATGAGCAATAGATTGAATCAATTTCAATTTGATGAACCAATCAAATTGAACATTTTTGACAATCGTAACTTTAGGGAAGAGATTCTGAATACTTTTAGAGTCATAGACTCTCTTAAGTGCCTGACGAGAGCCACAGGCCTTCTCCTCCAGGGAAATGCACACTGCATGTTCAGCTAATATTTTGCATAGAATTTAGGAGCTTCATACAACCCATAAGCCTGTTCCAGGGCCCCGTATTAAGAACTCTGTGTGTGTATATGGGGAATCAAAGGTGAGCCTAGGGCCGAAACAAAGAAATCAGAATAGTTCCCATCTATATGTTTTGACGTCATCTCTCTGGCCAACCCCAACTGGAGTTCTTTGCATTTGGGACAGAGAAATAACAATTAAGAAGAGAAAAAGCAGAGTTGGAGAGAGTGTTCTCTTCAAACAAGGAGATTCTGCTAACTTTTAATAAATTTACTCATTGCTCTTTAATCAGGAGGGTGTAAATAGAATCAGAGTGATTATCTTCTTTCAAGTGTCTCTTGGTAGAATAAATTTTACTTAAGATAGAACCACAATTATAATTGACCTCAGCAGTGGGTGGAAGCAAACTGATTAATAAATAAAGCTTCACAGGGGGTGGGAGAGGAGACAAAGGCACCTTCTCTGTGTTAGGTTTTAGAAGTTAGTGGATAAACAGCAAAATGCTTTTAAGAGAATGTTTTGTATATTTATTGATTTTGTTAATACTCATTACACAGTTTAGGGAGCTGTTTAACTCATGAGTTTTTTTGGTCTTGAGATCCCTTTATACTTTAAAAAAAAAGGTTGAAGGCCCCAGAGAGCTTTGGTTTATGTGGGTTATACCTATGAATATTTACTATAATAGAGATCGAAGCTGATAAATTTTTAAAATATTTATTGATTTAACTGTAACAATAACCCGTTACTAACATAAATTACATCAATTACATATTTAATTTAAAATGTTAATAAACTACATATTTTTACAAAATACATTTTGTGTAAAAAATCAGAAAGCAGAGTGAGACTGTTTTGCATTTTTGCAAACTTCTTTAATGTCTTGCTGAACAGAAACATAACTGGATTCTCTCATCTTCTTGTGCATTTAAGCTGATGGAATTAGTTATTTGGTTGAAGTATATGATAAGGATCTGGCGTCACATAGATATGTAGTTGGAAAAGGGAGGAGTATTATAATAACCTTTTCAGATAATTATGAATATTCATCTTTGATATAACACTAAACTCAAGTGGTAGCTTTTAAAAGGTTAATTGCAGTGTGACATCTGAAACCATATCAATGAATTTTTCATACTCAGCTACGTTAAAATCCTTGGTCTTTCTTGGACTTTGAATGACTCTTTTATTCATGCATGATTTTGTAACATAATGTACAATCATTTGGAAAATTCACTGAGTTATGTAGATCACTGAGTTATGACACATTTCATCATACAATATTGAAAAAAACACACTTTGAAATCACATTTGTTAATATCACTTATCAGAAAGTCTATGTGTTGGGAAGCTATCAAACTTATTGTTACAGATTCATGTTTTCCAACACTCTATTATTTTACGTGAAAGCTGGAATTTTGTCATCACCAACAAATAAAGAGTTATTTTCCTTGGAGTGAGAGGTTCACTTTGTTTATGTTTAAAAAAAAAATCCTTGCCCCATACTCAAATTGGAATAACCATGTTTACCTGTCAATCGCAGTTTTAAGTAAAAGTGATATTTCATTTTTCAAAAATCTAGTTCAACTTACAACTCAAAAAATTGCACAAGAGCTTTTTCTCAAGACAACCATCATATGCCAATATGCAGCAGAAGTGCTTCGCATGTACTTCCCATCTCATCACACAAAATATTAACAAGACATGTATTCAAGGGTCGAGATTTAATAAGATTGGTAATCTTGGCTGGGCACAGTGGTGTACGCCTGTCATCCCAGCACTCTGGGAGGCTGAGGTGGGTGGGTCGTTTGAGTTCAGGAGTTTAAGACCCACCAGGGCAACATGGCAAGACCCCCGTCTCTACAAAAAAAATACAAAAATTAGCCAGGCATGGTGGCATGCATCTGTGATCCCAGCTACTCTGGCAGCTGGGGAGGGAGGATCGCTTGAGCCCTGGAGGTCAAGGGTGCAGTGAGCCGAGATTGAGCCACTGCACTCCAGCAACAGAGTGAGACTCTGTCTCAAAAAAAAAAAAAAAAAAAAATTAGTAATCATTACTGCTTGATCAACAGAATCCTTTTATTTTTATGTTTTTGCACATAAAAAGGGAAAGATAATTCTTTAGTGAAACTGGAATTTTGTTTCTTTACTGAGATTGCTGTTATTATTACTATTACTTTTACTGTTACTACTAGGTCCAGTTTGGCAATCCGGCCTTGATTCCTGCTACAGTGCAGGAGTTTTTTCCACTGTTGCTTTTGCACCACCAGTGCAAGTGTCAATACAGTAAAGAAGATAAATACCATGTTAGTGTTATTAGAAAAATTGTTTTGACCTTGTGGACCTCCTGAAAAGGTCTCAGGGACAGGCAGGAATCTATGGATCACACTGTGAGATCTGCTGCTTTAATTGTGATTTTAATCTTTGCTGTAGGGTCATCTGGAAATGTTTTAACTGAAGCAAACATAAAATTAGACTGGTGAAAGCAATGATTAGATGTTCCCTCTGTTTTTGGCTTTAACTTAATGTCACAGTCTTTGCTGTGCCTAATGTAACATCACATGCTATTGTTCATCTCACAGTATCCACAGGAGAAAAACAACGGGCCAAAGGTGCCTGTGGAGTTGCGAGTGAACATCTGGCTAGGCTTAAGTGCTGTGGAGAAGAAGTTTAACAGCTTCGCAGAAGGAACTTTCACCGTCTTTGCTGAAATGGTACCTTTAATGATTTCACTATCTTTTCTTCTTTGGTCGGGGGAGGGGCACTTTTACTTTTCACCTTTATGGAAAACATTTACATACCAAAAACAACCACAGCCCTCCTTACCATCCCCTAAAATCCCATCGAAGGGATCTTAACCTAAGGGATAAGAGAAGATGCTCCTGAGATTTTATAGTCAACATTGGAACACACCATGGTGATTAACACTTTTGTGTGATAATTCCAAGAGATGACTTAGATGCCTTCCACTTCTACCACAATCTTACTAGCAATACTGAAAATGGGTGTCTTTCTAGCTCTCAAAACTAGAACTCTGTAATAATCTTATTGGTTCCTGATGCTGGGACACTAAGTAGAGTATACACACACACACACACACCAACCCAGGAGAGGGGACACTTGAGATGTTCAGATCTTGATAAGCTTACTTGGGGTAGAGTGTCTTAAAACCCCTGAAGACCCATTTCACACTTAAGGGAAGCCTCAGATAGGCTTGTCCAGGGGCAAAAAAAAAAAAAAAAAAAAAAGCTGTCTGAATACTTCTAAAACAATAGAGATAATTTGTAAAACCTTCACTGAGCTTAAAATCCATGTAGTTAATGAAAAGTCTCATTACAATTAAACCAATGAAAATAATGTTCACAAATGTTTACAGCTAAAAGTAGAATTGTTTTGATTTTTTATGCTATTTTTAACTCAAGTGCTTATTGACTTAAATTTACCAGATGTATTCGGTGGGTCTCTTCTGATAACTTTCAGATGAACACCACTCTACAGATAGGCCTTCATGCTCCAAGAAATGAGGTGAAGACTGTCATCATTTTAGCTAGTCTAGAAATCTATTCCTGCTACTCACTGCTATACCTGACAACTGGTTCAGGATTGTGGCTCTGATCTGCTTGCTAGGCAAGACAACCCTTGACCCTCTTTTATTTTTACTTTTTATTCATTCAGCAGTTCCTGGCACATAACAGGTCCCAATACCTGTTTATTGAATGAATAAATAAATGATGACAATTTATCTGTCCTACTGTCCACCCAACCATTCATTCCTCCATCCCTCCATCTGTCCATCGGAGCTTTTAGGGAGTGGTGGCTTCATGCTAGGCACTGAGCCAGGTAACCAGCTGCTGAAGATGATGAAGAAGCCAAGCCTGGTCCTCAAGGATCTCACAATCTATTGCAATGATTGCAAAACTAGGTCTCTTGTTAAGCATGCAGACTCCCAGGGGCACCCTGGGGATTCTGATTGTGTAGCTTGGGTTAGGGATTAGCAGCAGTGGTGATTCCAACATGGGGCGAGAGTGGGGACCACTTTAAGAAACAGTAGAATGTGTGGGAAACATACAAGCCCTTGCAGCTCAGGCTTAGAGGTGCTAGTGAAGATAGAGGGTGTGCTGGAGGCCACTAGGGAGGCCCTGAATGGAGGATGTTGATGTCCAGCCAGCTGGATTGTGTGGAGTAGGGGCTTCATGGCATAGGTAAGGAGAGGCTCATTCCTGCCTTCCTGTAGGATTTCTTGGCATCTACCTGCCCTCCAGCTCTGTGGCTGGGTCTAAACTGGAGAAAGCAGCCCTGAGCAATGATCGACCAGCCCAGGGCTTCCTTCCACTCTTTCCCATTTTTGGATCCTTCCCTGCATAGAGTGAAGCCTGAGCTTCAACTTATGTAGAGAGATGATCCACTCATTTCTGTTGTTCTGTGTGACTCACCTGTTGAGTACCAGCAGAGGCACATTAATAATAATGGAAATTTTACTGGCTCTTGCCTTCATGTGCTAATAATACTAGCACGTAATTTTCTACAAAATTCCCCCCCACCCCCGAGATTTCTGGGAGTCTATGAGGTGCTTCACATGTGCTTGCTCATGAATACTTTTTTCTTACTGTCCTGCCCCAGTCCTGCTGACTAAAGCCACAGCCCTCAAAGCCACTTGAGGCTCCCATCTCCACTGCTGCTGATACCCTCTTGTCCATGCCAAGTCTTTGCCTGGATTTTACTAAGGCTATGCTGGCTTCCAAGCAGAACAGGAGGAATGTCTTGCTCTCCATTCTGTGTCCATGTCATGTGACCCCAAGCCTTAAGGTCCCTTAGGATAACAGTTCCTTTAGTTTCTGCCTGAAGCTCATCTCCCCTCCAGGCTGACAGCCAGTATCTGAGATAAGCACCATTGTGTCCTCTTGATTCCAATTTCCTAATCAGGCCCCCACTCAAATCTCCTCCTTTCTCCTTCAGCCAAAAGCTTTCCTATGGCTTATGCAAATCATCTTCTCAGTGGATTCATCAGCAGACAATTGGAAATTCTAGTTTGGATCCAAACATGGACACCCACCACACTGGCAAATCTCTACCCTTTCCATGGTTGCCATGATGAAGAGCAGACCGTCATAGATTTATAGATTCTAACTTGGAAAGGAATGCCCTAAAAGCCAGAGTCTGCCATTGCCATTCAGCCTGCTTCCCAGAGAGGCCTTGGTCTCCTTGCCACATTCCAGATGGAATTAAGGCTCATAACTTTTAGGTCTAATAAGGGCTGGGTATTAAAGGACCTTCATGTTTCAGATGGGTTTTTTGGTGGACTGCCTGGGAAATGGCAACATTAATTGTATATTGTTTCTACAGGGAAATGTGCCCCAAGTTCTCAGCAGTAGACTTACAAATAAATTTTATAAAATCTGCTCATTCATAAGCTGAGGACTTTCATAGGTATTTAAAAGATAAGGTTCGCGAACTATCTTGAGCCATTCAAAATTATAATAGAAGCAACTAGGATGCTATATCGCTATTTACAAAGCACGTTCGCAATCATTTGCACATTTAAACTCCAGAATGACTCTATAGGAGAGGTAGCATTATCCTCAGATTTCAGATGAGAACACTGAGTCCTAGAAAGTTGAATGATTTATCCGAAGTTGCATAATCAGTAATAGCTCAAGTTAGGTCCATACCTTCTGAGCATAAAGCTTTTTTCTGCTTTCTGTAGTTGTCTAGCCTAAGTCCTCGATGAACTTGAAAATGTATGTGCTAGCTTTATTTTTTGCTCTCTGATGGTGTTTCTCCAATTTTATCTCTTTTTTAATAGTATGAAAATCAAGCTCTCATGTTTGGAAAATGGGGTACTTCTGGATTAGTAGGACGTCATAAGTTTTCTGATGTCACAGGAAAAATAAAACTCAAGAGGGAATTTTTTCTGCCTCCAAAAGGCTGGGAATGGGAAGGAGAGTGGATAGTTGATCCTGAAAGAAGGTAAGTTGTCCATTTTCTGAGTAAAAAGGATAGCAATGAAATCTTTCTCTAGAAATTGCTAAATATATTATATCTCCGTCATCATCTTGATAATAGTTATGTAACACCCACTGAGCAGAACTAAGTCCATTGAAATTTGTAGAAAGTTGAAAGATGTTCCACCATAAGACAGGCTAATATAAAAAGCACCTGGTAACTAACATTTTGAGAAATTATTATGCTTGACTGTGTCAGGCAGTGTGCTGGGCACTGGCGTCATCTTACTTAATCTTTACTACAGCCCTACAAGGGAGGCAGTGGCAAGAAGGATCTGAGATTTGACCCTACTTGCAAGCGAACAAGGTCCCCCGTCAGTTTCACAGATGCCGACACATGACTCCTGGGTTAGAATAAAAGAACTTTATTGCCCACAGCAATAGCAATGCCAGAGTATTGATATTTGCTCGACTTTTTCATGCCCGAATTCCCACAGAGTAACATGAAGAGGGCCAGATGACACTTGTACACACAGTGGATTGAGTTATATGAGAGAACTCTAGGCTTAGGGGACTTGAAGTTTTTATAATGGGCAGTAAGCAGGCTGGCCCTTTGCTGTGCAGAGAGAGACTATCTTAGTGTTCCCCATATAAACATCTTTGAGAAGATAGCCCATAACAAAGGTAGTCAGTGCCTGAGCTCACAAGATGCGCAGAAACACAAGAGACTCGCAGAGAATTATCTCCCAACAAGTAGTAGTATTATCTCCACTTTGCAAATGAGGAAACTGAGATCTAGAAAGATTAAATAACTTGTCCAAAGGCACATTGCTTGTCAATGGTATAGTAGGGGCTAGAATCCAAGTCTAGCGTGGGCACCCAAACCAGTACTCAACTATTATGCTAGAATGTCTGCAAGAAATGGTAGGAGGTATACTGTAAGTGGATGAATTTCATATATGTGAACTATATCTCAAAAGCTGTTATTAAAAAGAAAGAAAAAAATAAACAGTAGAAGGTGGTAAAGATGGTTCCCCTGGAGTCTGGGGGACACTGTAGCCTGTTTGCTAAATGTTGCCAGTAACATTAGAACCAGCATTCCCTCTTCTTGCCATCTTATGACAGCAGCCTTGAGTTGGGAGGGAAAAACCTTGTGAAGTTGAATTTTAAGGCCTCCAACTAGAGTTTGGTCTCTCTGTTGTTCATTTCCTGTAATTGCATAGGCATTAGGGAGGGAGGAGGGAAGAGAAAATACTGCTCTCTTAAGACCCAAACGTGCTTGCTTGCATGTGATTGCTTTCAATTCAGGCAGCTTGCTCTGGGTGGAGTTGGGGGAAATTGGTGAGGGAAAGGAAAATGGGGTTTGAATTGGCTGGAAGGAAGGAAGGTTAGTGAGGACAGGGAAAGGGTAGGGAAATTGTGATAGAAAAAGCAGAAGGTCAAAGCATGTCAGGGCTGGATGGAATCCTACAGGCAGCAGCCAGGGCTTTTATTCTCCTTCTTTGAGGCCCAGAGACGTGATGCCCAATTCATATAAGTGATTGGGACTGTTTGTTTTTTTGATTCCTTTCCTGTGCTGGATTCTAGGGGAGAATACAGCAGAGAAAAGATGCAGAAACAATAAAGGGAAAAAAAACCCTCATTTGAGTAGGTACCTGGCAGAAGACTTGAGTCAAAGTTGGAGCCTCTGTAACTTTCCTCTGCGGGTTGTCCAAAGAATTCCAAATCCAAGAGGAAAATTAACATGGCAGAGAGTCAGTATGGATTTCCCAAATGCCCAAATGGAGTTTGGAGTCTGAAATGACCTGGTTTGGCTGTCTACCTAGGAACTCTCCAGAAAACTTAAACTCCTCCCTTCAGTTTGTGTTATGTAGACCAAGCAAGCCACATGTGGCTTCATGAGACCGTCTACACTCTGTTTTAAAAAATAGTGGGGACAGCTCCCTTTTCTTTTGAACTGTTAGCCAAGAGTTTCATTGAGATAAAGCTGAGCAGCCCGGAACTGAAACAGAAACATGGAAGGCGTTGTCTGTGGTCTCTGTAAGAAGCTGCCCACAATACTGTTTTCCCAGACCCCATCCTCATTACTGAGAAGGAGCAACCTTGTTAATTTGAGGAGTTCTTTATGATTTAGGTCACATTGTTCCAGCAGGCTCTTTCTTCAAAGGAATGTCAAAAGCGATTAGTACAAAGAGGAATTTGGAGTCAGAACCAACAGGGGTAAAGCGAGGAGGGAAGTGGTGCCACTCCCAGGGTGTAGATGCTTCCTGAGTGTTGGCAATCGCCGAGGCTGCCGGTTACCCGGTCTCCTTGGGTAACTTGAGCCCTCCCCGCCCCACAGCTTGCTGACTGAGGCAGATGCAGGTCACACGGAGTTCACTGATGAAGTCTATCAGAACGAGAGCCGCTACCCCGGGGGCGACTGGAAGCCGGCCGAGGACACCTACACGGATGCGGTGAGTGGCCTGCTCCGGAGAGAAACTCTCACCTGTCACCTCTGATCGTGATCTGCGGGGAACCCAGCAGCCACCTGGCTTGGGCTTTAACCTCTCCTCCGCTCCATCTTATGTTCTGAAGAGTCTTCCACTTATAGCTTAAGCCACACAAGTGCCACAATAAGTATTTTCTTTAGAATAGAAATGAGGCCTATTTAACTCGATGTTGGAACATGGTATAGTTTGGATTGTGCAAATTTTTTAGGTAAATTTTTATTATTATCTAATTAGGGTTCTGTTGTTGTTTGAGGGTTTTTTGAGATAGGCTCTTTCTGTTTCCCAGGCTGGAACGCAGTGGTGCGATCATAGCTCACTCTAACCTCAAATTCCTGGGCTCAAGCAGTCCTCCTGCCTCAGCCTCCCCAGTAGCTGGGACTACAGGCACATGCCACCATGCTGGACTAATTTTTTATTTTTTTGTAGAGATGGGTTCTTATTATGTTGCCCATGCGGGTCTTGAACTCCTGGCTTCAAGCAATCCTCCAGCCTCAGCTTCCCAAAGTGCTGGGATTATAGGCATGAGACACCAAGCTCAGCCTAGTTTTTAATAGTATAACAAATGAAATGTTTCTGTCTTTAAAAAATCCAAGCAGCATTAAAGGAAATCAAAAGTAATTATTCTCCCCAATCCATATTCCACTCCCCAAAGATAACCATTGATGTCTGTTTTCTGTTCATAAACAAGGATATAACTTCCTTTTTCCCTGCCTAAATAGAATTGTGTTGCACACACAGTTTCATAGCTTGTATTTTTCACTTAACAATATATCTTGGACATTTTTTATGTCAATGCATATAGATCTATGAGCTTTTAAAAAATGGTTGCAGAATGTTTTATTATATGTACCTACTATAATTCATTTAATCCCCTCTTTCTGGGCATTTAGGTGCTTTTGGTTTTGAGTCGTTGGTTTTTATAAGCAATGTAACAGTGAACATCCTTAAACATACATTTTTGTATGTTTATGAACGTTTATCTGTAGGGAAGATCCTTGCATTTGGTTGGTCTAGGTTTAAATGCATATAAAATTTTGATAAAATTTTATAACCTTCAAAAAGGTTTTATAAATTCATATTTTCAACAAAATTACAAGAAGCCCATTTGCCTAAATATTCATCATCCCGCTTTATAATCTTTGCCACATGAATAAGTGGTATCCTGTTATTTCAATTTTCACTCTCTTAATTTAAAGTAAAGCTGAGTATTTTTTCATGTTTATGGGCCGCCTTTATTTCCTTTACTTAGGAACTTTCTTTTCATAACTCTCTTCATTTTTATGCAAACTTAAGTCAATATTTTAGATAAATTTTGCTAATTGTATATAATTAACATTATGAACCTCCAGTAGCATTTCCCCATACTCAAAAACATGTGTCTGCCGGGTGTGGTGGGTCACACCTGTAATCCCAGCACTTCGGGAGGCTGAGGTGGGTGGATCGCTGAAGGTCAGGAGTTTGAGATCAGCCTGGCCAACATGATGAAACCCCATCTGTACTAAAAATACAAAAATTAGCCAAGTGTGGTGGCAGGTGCCTGTAATCCCAGCTACTTGGGAGGCTGAGGCAGGAGAATCGCTTGAACCTGGGAGGGGAGGTTGCAGTGACTCGAGATTGCACCACTGCACTCCAGCCTGGGCGACAGAGCAAAACTCTGTCTCAAAAAAAACAAAAACAGGCCAGGTGTGGTTGCTCACGCCTGTAATCCCAGCACTTTGGGAGGCCGAGGTGGGCAGATCATGAGGTCAGGAGTTTGAGACCAGCCTGGCTAACATGGTGAAACCCTGTCTCTACTAAAAATACAAAAATTAGCTGGGCATGGTGGCGCACACCTGTAAATCCCAGCTACTCAAGAGGTTAAGGCAGGAGAATTGCTTGAACCCAGGAGGCAGAGGTTGCAGTGAGCCGAGATTACGCCACTGCACTCCAGCCTGGGCAACAGAGCGAGGCTCTGTCTCAAAACAAAGAAACAAACAACCATGTGTCTTGAATGTTTTACCCATTCTCTGATGGGTTCTATCCCATGTAACCCCTCATAAAGAGAGTTGCACCATTTCATAATATTAAGTTGAACCATAAGAAATTGCTGAGATTCAACCACTTTGACCTATAACAACAGCAATTTCACATGATTGAACCTAGTACTATTCCCTAATAGTAAAAACAAAAGGTAGTTTAAACTAATTTTTATTTAGCAGTTGTGAATAAATAAAGATTAGAGATTTTTCTGAGTGAAATGGATCTCTAAGATGGTATCTAAGTAAAGGTGTGAATGCCATAGTTAAATGAGGAACTATATTGGACCCTTTGCCTCTTACTGACACTATGGCTTACCTCTCTTCTTTGTTTTTATTTTTGTTTTGTAAGAACGGCGATAAAGCAGCATCACCCAGCGAGTTGACTTGTCCTCCAGGTTGGGAATGGGAAGATGATGCATGGTCTTATGACATAAATCGAGCGGTGGATGAGAAAGGTAACATTGTACATCTGTGACCTGATTGGGGCTCTGCAGCAGGGCCTTGGTTAACCAGGATAAAGTTTCCTTGGGAGGGAGGGGCCTCACTTCTGTTGGTCTATGGCAGGAGTCCCCAGCCCCCAGGCCAGACTGGTACCAGTTCATGGCCTTTTAGGAACAAGGCCGCACAGCAGGAGGTGAGCGGCGGGCAAGTGAGCATTACCACCTGAGCTCTGCCTCCTGTCAGATCCGTGGCAGCATTAGATTCTCCTAAGAGTGCGAACCCTATTGTGAACTGCACGTGAGAGGGGTCTAGGTTGTGTGCTCCTCATGGGAATCTAGCCATCCTCCCTCTACCCCACAACCCTGTCCATAGAAAAATTGTCTCCCATGGAACCGGTCCTTGGTGACAGAAAGGTTGGGGACCGCTGGTCTGTGGCATCTGGGTCATGTGGTACCGTCTGTGACTAACCAAATGTAGAATCCAAGGGAAAGGCAAGTGTATGGACAAGTGCTAAGTGAGCAGGGGGTGTTAAGAGTGAAAAACATCAGGTGATGGGGCCAACTGGTCAGGTTTTGAGATGCTTGGGGATCCAGGATGAGAATTTGGGAGGGAGCTGGAGTCAAGATTTTCTCTATTCTAACCACACCCCATAACCTCCCTGGGAACATCACATTCAGGGCCCCCCTGACGCAGAAAAGAGAACTGTAAACTACCCTTAAAGTCTTCCTATGCAGCAATGATGCAGACTACTGATATAGCTTCTGATATTTGTCTTTTTCTGAACCATAATTAAAGTTAAGTGAACAATAGCATTTGGAATTCTCAAAAGAGAAAATCTGATTCATTACTTTCCTTATGCATGGTGCATAGAACTGGCATTGACCCAGAAGATTTCAAATCAATTATAAGCTCCTCACTGATCTCGATGCACACACCAGATCTCAGAATAATCGTTAGCATTGACTGAGCAATAGCTGTGTGCTAAGTATGGCCCTAATGCTTTGCATATGTCATTTTGATAGTGTTAAAATACTGTAACCCTATAATCCCACTTTACAGTGGGGAAATTGGGCCATAGGCAGGTTTACCAACTTGCTGGAAACTTATTTAGTTAACAGCCAACATGTGGCGATGCTAGGATTTGAACCCAGGCTGTGCAACCGCACAGTCCACACGCTTACCTGCTGTTTCTTCCTGCCTCTTGAACTGTGCTTTATTCCTAAGTGCACTCAGTTACCATGAATGACTGGAAGCATAAAAGTAGGGGAGAACATGGCCACCAAGGAGGCATTTTGAGGAGCTGAATGGGAATGAGGCTGTATTCAGTTTGGCTGAATAACCCAGCAAAGTGAAAACAGCCACATATTCGGTCATGATAGTACAGAACATCTGAGGGCAGGGAGAGTGAACAAATGTTTCCTCGAGGTTTATTTGGTGATCTGGCAAATGCATCTCTTCTGGGTAACCATTCACAAACTCTGTTCCAGGCTGGGAATATGGAATCACCATTCCTCCTGATCATAAGCCCAAATCCTGGGTTGCAGCAGAGAAAATGTACCACACTCATAGACGGCGAAGGCTGGTCCGAAAACGCAAGAAAGATTTAACACAGACTGCTTCAAGCACCGCAAGGGTAAGAGAAGCAAGGGAAGGGAGCTGGACTGGGGAGCTCTGCCCTCCTGACTACAAAGTCCCAGCTAACTAGCCATTTCTGCAGAAATTATTTGCAAATCCAGAGCCTAACACTCCACTCAAGGGTTCTCAAAGTGAGCCCACCCCAGCCAGCAATATCATCATCACCTGGGAATTTGTTAGAACTGTCCCACCCCAAACCTCCTGATTTAGAAATCCTGGGGGCAGGCCCAGCCATCTGTAGTTCAGCAAACCATCCAGGTGATTCCCAGGCAGGCTAAATGTTGAGAACTGCTACAGAGGTGTTAAATGGAAATGATTTTGGCAGCATAATCTAGTAGTAGTAATAGGTCAGGACTTGGAACAAGATGTGTAAAGATTCAAACCCTGACTTCCCTTTCTTTCTCATCTGCAAAATGGGAATAATATCTATGCCTTTTAATTAGGGTATTGTAAGCTTTAAATGGAATAATAATAAATTAAATAGAACAGTAACACTCAATAATAAGTGGCATGTATAGAAGTGGCTTTCTATAATGCTAGGTACTGAGTATGCATCATCTATGTTCTGTAAGGTTTGGATTTTATGCTCATTTTATAGATAATGCTCACAGAGTTTAAATAGACTTGCTCTGGGCCAAGTGTTTAGTAAGTGACAAAGCTGGTGCTGGAACCCGGGCTAAGTCCAAACAGGAACTCTCTCTATTCCACAGAATGGGTAACTCCGGTAGGCACTATGACATTATTTTTATTAGATGGTGAGCTTCTGGAAGCAAAGATGGAGCCACAGTCATCTTTGTATCCTCCTTGCTAACTCAGAAATATGCTCCCAGTAAATAATCTAGTCAAATAAATGAGCTAATGAATGAATGAGTCTTTTTTTTTTTAATTTAAGTTCCGAGATACATGTGCAGTACATGCAGGTTTGTTACACAGGTAAATGTGTGCCATGGTGGTTTGCTGCACCTATCAACCCGTCGCCTACATATTAAACCCAGCATGCATTAGCTATTTATCCTGATGCGCTCCCTCCACCCGCCGGCCCCAGTGTGTGTTGTTCCCCTCCCTGTGTCCAAGTGTTCTCATTGTTCAGCTCCCACCTGTAAGTGAGAACATGCGGTGTTTGGTTTTCTGTTCCTCTGTTAGGTTGCTGAGGATAATGGCTTCCAGCTCCATCCATGTCCCTGCAAAGGACATGATCTCGTTCCTTTTTATGGCTGCATAGTATTCCATGGTGTAGATATACCACATTTTCTTCATCCAGTCTATCATTGATGGACATTTGGGCTGATTCCATGTCTTTGCTATTGTGAAGAGTGCTGCAATGAAAATATGCATGCATGTATCTTTATAATAGAATGGTTTATATTCCTCTGGGTATATACCCAGTAATGGGATTGCTGGGTCAAATGGCATTTCTGGTTCTAGGTCTTTGAAGAATCGCCACACTGTCTTCCACAATGGTGGAACTAATTTACACTCCCACCAACAGTGTAAAAGCTTTCCTATTTCTCCACAGCCTCACCATCATCTGTTGTTTCTTGACCTTTTAATAATCTCTATTCTGACTAGTGTGAGATGGTATCTCATTGTGGTTTTGATTTGCATTTCTCTAGTGATCCGTGATGTTGAGCTTTTTTTCATGTTTTTTGGCCACATAAATGTCTTCTTTTGAAGATTTATCTGTTCATGTCCTTTGCCCACTTTTTAATGTGGTTGTTTTTTCCTTGTAAATTTGCTTAAATTGCTTGTAGATTCTGGATATTAGACCTTTGTCAGATGGATAGATTGCAAAAATTTTCTTCCATTCTGTAGGTTATCTGTTCACTCTGATGATAGTTTCTTTTGCTGTGTAGAAGCTCTTTAGTTTAATGAATGTCTCTCTATTGTTTAATTATCCCCGTCTGACAGGGTGAGAAGTTTCTGAAGGTGCTTGAACGCTCTTCTTCCACACGAGGGCACCAAGTTGAAGCGGGAAGAACACTGAGCCATCAGTTAGAAGGCTCAGGATATGGTCCAGTTCTAACGAGTATTTCTGAGGCTTTGATCATGTTTCCTAACCTGCCTTACTCTTGGCTATGTGAAATTTTTCACTGCTACTATTTATGTTACTAGAGGGTCAGGTACAAGATTATGCTTAACCTGCATTTTACATTTATTTAAAGTGAAAAAATAGACCCAACAATAATTACCCACATGGAGCTCTCACTTCTCAGGTCTTGAATATTATTCCACATTGTTTTACGTTTATTAAATCCAGTCATATTTTTAAGATTTTAAATCAAACTTCTGCCATGAAAATGTCAGCTGCATGAAAGCAAAGACCCTATCTCTTCTTCACTGTGTCCTCAGCCCCTAACACGATCCCTGTCACACAGTGGGCACTCATATTTGTCGAATGAAGAGAATATAACATTGAAAACTGATACCACTGGTAAATCAATAGTTCTTAAGCTAAAAAGTACCACACGAATTTGTTATTAGTTATTACAGAAATAACATATTCTGATCACTTAATTATCAGTTATGGCAGCTATTAGCTCAGGCAAGACATTTAAACCTGGGAGGGGGCATTTAATTTTTTTCCTACATATGTAAAATGGAGATACTAATGTTTTACAAACTATATCACAATAGCAACATTTTTATGAAATAATGAAGTGAGGAAACAGAAAGCAATTTGAGAAAGAATCCACTTGCTTCACCCACCCCCAAATCTGAATGAGGTGCACCTCCTGAGGGTATGTCCACGACTGTGCTGTCATTGCCTGGTTATCTCTCTGCACTCCTGCAGTCCATCAGCTCTGCAAGGCAGAGGTCCTGTCTGTTTTTTTCTTTTCTGTATTCCTGACTCTAGCTCAGTACTTGGCACAGAGTAGATTTTGAATACTGTGTATCTGTTGATTGATCATATAACCTGTTTTATCAAAATAAGGAATATCATCATCATCATCGTCATCATTAACATGTTTACTTCTGTTTTAGGCCATGGAGGAATTGCAAGACCAAGAGGGCTGGGAATATGCTTCTCTAATTGGCTGGAAATTTCACTGGAAACAACGTAGTTCAGATACCTTCCGCCGCAGACGCTGGAGGAGAAAAATGGCTCCTTCAGAAACACATGGTGCAGCTGCCATCTTTAAACTTGAAGGTGCCCTTGTAAGTACTAGGTTGCCAGAGCGCAGATCATATTGGTGTAGAGAAAATATATGAGTGTTGGATACAGCACTGCCAACTCCATAGAGGTCCCTGTAACCCTGGTACTATAAGATGGCAAATATTAACAGGTTGAGGGAAAGCCACACATCCTGGGTGCTCAATACCTCGTGTAGAACGAATAGACCATTAACACAGGAGTGTTCTAAGAAATACTGCTGTCTACACACCTGCTTTACCTAGTGTTTTCCAAATATATCTGTTCCAGGACCCTTGTTTCAGGTGACACCTATTCACATCCCAGGCACAAGTTCTTTGAATCACATCTTGGAAACTGCAACTGTTCAACAAAATATTCATATGTATATTCATAAATATACAGATGTCGGGGGAGGAAATCAGAAGTCTAGCTCACAAAATTAGAGAGCAATACGGAAGAACATACTGAAGCACAGTAAAGAAGTCGGGGGAAAAAGCAGGCAGGTGGAAGGAAGGAATAGGAGAATGGCAGTGGGTGATCTAAAACAATAGGGTGGTCAGGAGCCATTTCCCAACAGCCTATGTTTGTATTTCTGCACTCTGACCCCACAGTATTCTGCTGCTGCTGCTCTTTCTCTTCCTTATCCCATCCTTTTACTCCCTGTTTATCCTCTACATTTTTCCTTTTTTTCCCTTTCTTTCAGTAGCAGGGTTTGGCAAACCTGGACTGGAGGTAGGAGGGCTGGCTCCCACTTCCTGCTCGGCTGCTTTCCAGCTAAGCGACTTCAGGGAAGTCACTTGCTATCCTGGGACTTATTCATCTTTAAAAATGGGGTGTTTGCACGATAACATCTTTAAAAAGCTAGAATTCCATTTGTTATTCTTGCCTCTTGGTTGGTTGATTTGCTTTTAGGCAGTGTTTATTGACTTCTCTGCTAATTGACTCTGTTAATTGACTTCAGGGGGCAGACACTACCGAAGATGGGGATGAGAAGAGCCTGGAGAAACAGAAGCACAGTGCCACCACTGTGTTCGGAGCAAACACCCCCATTGTTTCCTGCAATTTTGACAGTGAGTTTTGTTTTATTTTTGATTTATTTTATTTTATTTTATTTTTTCAAGACTGAGTCTGGCCCTATCACCCAGGCTGGAGTGCAGTGGTACGATCTTGGCTCGCTGCAACCTCCCAGGTTCAAGCAATTCTCCTGCCTCAGCCTCCTGAGTAGCTGGGACTACAGGCGCACGTCACCATGCCTGGCTAATTTTTTGTATTTTTGCATTTCCTCCATGTTAGCCAGGCTGGTCTCGACCTCCTGACCTCAGGTGATCCACCCGCCTTGGCCTACCAAAGTGCTGGGATTATAGGCGTGAGCCACCACACCCAGCCAGCAGTGAATTTTAAACATGACTTTGTGAATTCCACTTCTGTAACTCTTATCTTAAGGAAACTCTTCAAATCACTGAATATGATTTTTAAAATCTCTTCATGCAAACGTGACTTTCATTTTCATCCTTGATGAAAGGAGTTTTTAAAACTACAGTTGAAAACCATATCACATATAAGGTGAAGGGTGGTCAGATCACTGATATTAACAGTCTATCTCATATGTGCTCATTCTGTCTAGTAAGCCCCCAAAATTAAAATTTTAACTATAGGAAAAAAGGCACCAAAATTTAAATAATGGTTGATTTCAATAATAATTTTCAGGATTTTTGGAATGAGACAGACCTGCTCTACAATAATATTAGCAAATGCTTATATAGGTCTTAGCATGGGCTAGGACCTGTACATATTATAACTTGTTTAATCCTCTTAACAACCCTGTAAGGTAGGTGCTATTATTGTTCCCGTTATACAGAAGAAGGAACCAAGGTACAGGAAGATTAAATAACTTGCCCAAAGTCTTATGGCTTGTAAGCACTAGAGAGATTTGAACTCAGGTAGTAGAGCTCCCAGAATCTGTGCACGGAATCATAATGCTCTGCTATCTCACAAAGAGAGAGAGAGAGAGAGAGAGAGAGAGAGAGAGAGTGAATGTGTGAGTGATAGAGACAGAGAGAATATAATAATAAAAGGAGTATGAATATTTTGAAATGTCAAAGAATCTTTTAGATGTTAACTGTTTCCCAGATCTG
The DNA here is from genome assembly GCF_000001405.40 of Homo sapiens. Lineage (NCBI taxonomy): Eukaryota > Metazoa > Chordata > Mammalia > Primates > Hominidae > Homo > Homo sapiens. The sequence continues at coordinate 93,354,562 of NC_000010.11, read as the reverse complement.
ATGCTGAAGTAGTATAGAAAGCCCCGTTTCTATAGCTGCTGGAGACCCAGTTTCATTTTAAAGGTCTGTGATGATAAGCAGTACCCTAAATTCAGTTAGTTTATAACAAAGGTAATGTTTTCCTGATTGATACACTTTGCATTGAGCTTACTGTAGTATTTTTTAAAAATAGGATTTTTGTTTTTAAGACCGAGTCTCACTCTGTCACCCAGGCTGGAGTGCAGTGGTGTGATTTCAGCTCACTGAAACCTCTGTCTCCAGGGTTCAAGTGATTCTCGTGCCTCAGCCTCCTGAGTAGCTAGGATTACAGACGTGCACCACCATGCCCAGCTAATTTTTGAATTTTTAGTAGAGACACAAGTTTTCACCATGTTGACCAGGCTGGTCTCCTAACTCCTGGCCTCAAACAGTCTGCCTGCCTAGGACTCCCAAAGTTCTGGGATTACAGGCATGAGCCACTGCACCCAGCCTAAAAAATAAGTTTTATTTTACAGGAAATAGAACTACTTTGGGAGGCCACATCATCACTATTCTATGTGCTCTTTACTGTGGGGAACTATAATAGATTCAAGTGACCCATTTATCAGAAACATGTATTTTTTCCAAATATTCCAGTAAAATAGCAGTTTACAGTGTTACGCTTCTTGTAAGTAATCTTTATCCTGTTTTTTTAGGAGTCTACATCTACCATCTGCGCTGCTATGTCTATCAAGCCAGAAACCTCTTGGCTTTAGATAAGGATAGCTTTTCAGGTAAAGGAAAAAAAATCTACATGCTACACATGATTACATAGCATGCTATTTTGCTTCTGTGTTTCGAGTGAATGCTTTTTGTCATTTCTAACAACAAAAACCCTTTACATGTTGAGGTTATTTTTGCATGCTTGAAGCAAACTGCTCAGTCATTAGATAAATCATCACTGAATGCTTTAGGCACCATTGCTGGGTCCTAGTAATACATAGAAGATACTTTTGGTACTAATAGATATTAATTGATTAAGTAATAAGAAGCACCGAGAAAGTGATTTCTCATCTCTGTTTATATACATGGCTGTGTTTTCATCCCTGGACCCTCAGGTTGATTGGTAAGTTAAGATCCTTTAAGTTTTTTTGCAGGCTCTTTCAAGGTATCAAAAAGATGATAAGTTTGCCCATTTGCCTACAGCACCAGGCTTTGAGCAGTTTGGAGTTCATTTTAACCTCCTCCTCTGCCTGCTCCCCACATTCCCAATACCATAAAACCATGAGGCTTTTTCTTCTCTTGCACTGACACCCAGCTGCTTTTGTTGCTTCGGACTGGTTCTGAGAGGAAGGCTATTGGCAAGGGACAGGGGAGGAGGGGAGAACATGCCTGTCTGGGGATTTGAGTCCTTGCCGCTGAACCATGGATAGTTCAGGCTATCTGGGGAGAATTCCAGTTTGGGACTCAAAGCCCAGCAGAGTTTCCCTGGGCCTTCTATGAAAACACCTCTTAACCCATTTCCCATTTGCCCCGAGAAATGAGTGCTGGCAGCGAGCTGCACTTTTTTATTCCAAACGGAAAGTTTGTTAAAGCATTTGACTGACACTCTCATGTGCTCACATCAATTTTGAAGCGTGTTCCAAGCACTAATATTTACCAATATTTGTGAATGGTTTCCTTTTCTTAGAAATTTGAGCAGATTCAAGGTTATCTCTGCAATATACATCTCCAACAGGGTCTTTGAAGACATTTTCAAATATTTTCCACCAGGGGGCACTCTATCACTGAAAGTTAAAAAAACATCTTTCCAAAGTTCTTGACTAAAGCTTCATAAAACTCTAAGCACATTCCTTGCAGTTTGAGATAGAAGAATTATCATCAGGGCAAAAGCAAAGGGTTCATATGATGGCTCCACTGCTAGAAACCAAGCACTTTTGGCTTATACAAGAGTTTCAGGCTAGATATTGTGTTATTTTTCAGATAAGTCAGCCCCCAGGCAACTGCAAAAAGTTTGATGAAATTATTTAGCAAGGAGGAGAACATGGATTATTTCTCCATACATAATATTGCTTTCTCTCCATTCTTAAGTATAGTGAGACAAAGTTTTCTGCTGTCACAGATTGTAAACTCTATGAGCATCTGAGCTTTTCCGGCTGCTGTTATACTCTTGAGACCTGGAACTCAATAAATATTTGCTGAATAAATCGATTACCATCAACATTAGAAACAACTATAATAAAAACTAGCATTTATCAGATACTTCCTATAGGACAGGCTCTGTCCCAAATAGCTAACATTCCTTATATCATTTCATCCTCTCAACACCGTGAAGCAGATATTACTTTCATTGCATGGAGGAGGGGATCAACGTTTAGGAAGATTATTTTTTCCCTCAAAGTTATGCAGCAGGGGTGAAGTGTGGGTGTTGACCCCAGGTGTATCTGACTGCAGAGCCTCACTCAACCATGAGTGCAGTACTTTTGCAGAGAAAAACTATGGGCCCCATTAACCTTGGTGGGGACATACTCTAAAGAGTGACCTCTCAGTACACATCAGGGTCTCGCTTCAGGTGCCTCTGCTGCAGTGCCAGAACCTTCCATGGGGAACTCCCTGCTCCCTAGAAACCCTATCTCCAGGCAGGTGGTCAGAGCCCACTGTCATTATATCCAGAGGAAAAGAATATGGTTGCACTGAGTGGTTCTGGGGAGTTAGATTTTAGCCGTGGCCCCGTTGTTATTCTCTTTTTCTGTTTTAGATCCATATGCTCATATCTGTTTCCTCCATCGGAGCAAAACCACTGAGATCATCCATTCAACCCTGAATCCCACGTGGGACCAAACAATTATATTCGATGAAGTTGAAATCTATGGGGAACCCCAAACAGTTCTACAGAATCCACCCAAAGTTATCATGGAACTTTTTGACAATGACCAAGTGGTAGGTCGTTTAGAATTTCTAAGATAACTTGGGGATGATGGAGATTTGAAGGGATGATTGTCGGGGAATTTAAGGATCACTTTGTTTCTCTAGGGCAAAGATGAATTTTTAGGACGAAGCATTTTCTCTCCTGTGGTGAAACTGAACTCAGAAATGGACATCACACCCAAACTTCTCTGGCACCCAGTAATGAATGGAGACAAAGCCTGCGGGGATGTTCTTGTAACTGCAGAGCTGATTCTGAGGGGCAAGGTACATTGCTGTGTTCTTCCTCATGTATTCTGTCAGCTGCTTAAAATGCATGTTAATTCTAGGCACTGTTTGCTTGAACTAAAGTGAGGCATTGACATATCCATGTTTGTTTCACAGGATGGCTCCAACCTTCCCATTCTTCCCCCTCAAAGGGCGCCAAATCTATACATGGTCCCCCAGGGGATCAGGCCTGTGGTCCAGCTCACTGCCATTGAGGTATGCTGCTCCCCACGTGTTACTCATCAAATCAAACGGATGTGACTGCAGGACAGGAATCTTTTGTATAGAACATAGAATCCTGCTGCATATTTTCTTGCTATCTCCAACTTCCTTTACAACTTGTCCAAAAACTGGAGGTATTCATGGGAGTAGAAGGCTTGTTGAAGCAACAAGGACAGGTCAATTCTAACATTCCTGAGGGCATCTAAACTCCTCATTTACTGGGAGCCAGCAGGTTTCTGAGTTTTTCAGGTCAACTGGAGACCTGGGAGAGGGAAGATGGACGAGAAGAGAATGACGGTGTATATGCTGAGAGATGGGGGCATGGCAGGGAGGCAGAGATGGAAGTTGGATGGGAGCAGTGAGCAATGTTGACATGTCAGATACAAGCTGATGACCCCAACAAGGTGGCTTGATAGACAGTGTCTGGCCCACTCTCAAGACTTTCCCCGTCCAGTCAAGCAGCTGTTAACACCCCAAGATTTCCCTTCTCTGGCTGTCCTGCTAAGAGTTCTCAAAGGCTGAGGCTATCACTTCGAAATGCTTCCATGTCAGACACCGTGTTAAGAAGTTTACAGGTGGGCTGGATGCAGTAGCTCACGCCTGTAATTCCAGCACTTTGGGAGGCCAAGGCAGGTGGATCACTTGAAGTCAGGAGTTCGAGGCCAACCCGGTCAACATGGTGGAACCCTGCCTCTACTAAAAATACAAAAATTAGCTAGGCATGGTGGCACACACCTGTAATCCCAGCTACTTGGGAAGCTGAGACATGAAAATCACTTGAACTCAGGGGGTGGAGGTTGCAGTGAGCCTAGTTCGTGCCACTGTACCCCAGCCTGGGTGACAGAGTGAGACTCTGTCTCAAAAAAGAAAAAAAAAAAGTTTACAGGTGGTCATCAATATAACCCTATGACAGATAATACGATCAGTCTTGTTTGTAGATGAGACATAGGGAGGTGAGTTACCTTGTCAGCATTGACACAGCTATTAGATGGCACAGCCAGGATTTGATTCCTATACTCTTAACTGCATTGCTTTTTTAGGGGCTCAGGCAGGAGAAAGAAAGGGGCAAAACCACTTTCTTTGGATGACCTACAAGCTTACTAGGATAATGTTCAAATTAATCTTAAAGACTTTGCCAGTAATTAAGACAGAATTTTTCCTTTTGAATATTATTTTTAAAGTGCTGAGTTACCTTCCCCTCTCTTTAAATCGTTTTCATAGATTCTAGCTTGGGGCTTAAGAAATATGAAAAACTTCCAGATGGCTTCTATCACATCCCCCAGTCTTGTTGTGGAGTGTGGAGGAGAAAGGGTGGAATCGGTGGTGATCAAAAACCTTAAGAAGACACCCAACTTTCCAAGTTCTGTTCTCTTCATGAAAGTGGTACAGTATCGATTCTCTGTGATCACCCATGCGCGTTGAAATATGAAAGTATGTGCCTCACACACACACACACAAACACAGAGTTTATTTCCAAAACCTGACAAATAGAAAAACCCTGCCTTATATTCAGCTTGTCAGTGACTTTTTCCCCTTAAATTCTCCCACTGTAGTGATGATTTCTTAAAGCTTCAAAATAACTCCAGTGGCACAGAAATATCTGTGAGCAATACTTACTTATTTCTCCAGTAAACTTTCCATCTATTCAGCTATCTATTACAAGCTGTTGGTCAACCCCATGAAGGCAGAATATTAACCCCCAGTCATGCATGGACCAGATATACCCCCTACAACTGTGCATGGACCAGAACCTTCTGGATAAGGACTGGCTGTCTGGGGAAGGGGCAGCTGTGGGGGAAGGTATATGGGGTGATAGGGCCATGACCTTGGCAGCCCATAACTGTGCCCCACCTCCAGGTGCCCCTGGGATGGCACCTTCTTTGGTCCATTGAGGCTACCCTCTGGTTGTTAAAGATGTGAGAGCATCAGATCCAGTTCACAGCTCTCCATCACAGACCCCATAATACCTGGGGTGAGAAGAGGCCACCCAGTCTTTCCATTTTTAAAGCAGTTAATTTCTTAACTTTAAAAAAAAAATCTTTCTTTTTTACTCTATTATATAAATAGGTGACATAAAGACAGTTTCTTACCTTGAAGTGTTGGAAGACCTAGAACCTTCCTTTCCCCACCCCAGTCATTTTCCTGACCTTGATGTCTCCAATACAGTGCTCTTGAACTCTAGGGTCACGTGCTTTAACCTCTTATTTTACATTACAGAGGAGGAAACTGAGGCCTAAAGAGGGGAAATGATTTATCCAGTGTCATAGTGTTAGGCCACACCTTCTATACCACAGTGACTATGTCCTAACTAGTGACAGCTGCAGTGTAGGGCTTGGTGCATTCTTACTTGGTACACCTCGTCTTTAATCCTGCGGGGTGAACATTTTCACCTCTCTTATGCCCACCTTGGGGAAAAGCAAGAGGTAACAGATTTACACAAGGGGATGTCGCTAGCAAGTGAGTGGCCAGAGTTTGCACATAGGTCCTTACAACCCCAATGCCCATGCTCCCCTCCCTATCATGCGACAGACGGCGAGCCACCGGGATGCTGCCAGCCAGGGTCCCAAAGTGGTTGTCCCTGGGCCACTCCACCTATCCTTGTCTACTCCCCACACCTCCCTCACCTTCCAAGTTCTAGTCTGGAATCTAGCCTTGGTCAGCAGAGATGAGAAAAACCACTCAGGTGACCCCAGTTTCTATTCCTGTGTCAAGCCAGAGATAGAAATTCACCTGAACCACATACCAAATGGGCCCCTAGGTCAGCTCATGATTCCCCAATCAGGCATTGTCACCAAAGCCACCAAATTCCATGAGAGGGAGCCAGGGGGAGTTGAGGAGAAAGTAGCAATCCATTTTTACACTGAATTTCCAGGGCAAAGAGACTCTCAGCCACAGTTATTTCCCTTAGAAGTTCAGTTTTGTCTTGACCATTTCTAAAGTCTGCTCAGAACTTGGCTAGTAGATGACCAAAGCCCTGGGCTAGTTAGCCTTGTGCATGTCCCCTCCCAGGAAGCAGAGCACAGGGAAGAGTATAGGGCAGTGACTGAGAGTAAAGAGCATGGGTCAGTGATTCCACACTTACAGGACACAGCATGGGTCAGGTACTATTCTAAGTACTCTTCACATAGAGTAATTCAACAATGTTACTATTACTCATGAAATAATGGGGGCATGGAAGGGTTAGCCAGGTAGTTCATGGTGGCAGTGCCAGGATTTGACCCAGGCAGTCTGGCTGACAGCTCACGCTCTTAAGCACGGAGCTCCTTGCCTGGCACATGAGTAACTGAACTATTGCGAGTCCTCTGGGCTGTGTGGCAGAGAGAATCTGGACTGGTCCATCTGGGGAATTTTTCTCAAAGCTGCCCTCGTCTGGTCTTGAGAAATGAAACCTACCTTTGTGACCCCCAGTTCTTGCCCAAGGAGGAATTGTACATGCCCCCACTGGTGATCAAGGTCATCGACCACAGGCAGTTTGGGCGGAAGCCTGTCGTCGGCCAGTGCACCATCGAGCGCCTGGACCGCTTTCGCTGTGACCCTTATGCAGGGAAAGAGGACATCGTCCCACAGCTCAAAGGTAACATGCAAGGCTGTGCATAAGTCTGGGGGCTTTTCTTTTTTTTTTTTTTTTTTTTGAGACGGAGTCTCGCTCTGTCGCCCAGGCCGGACTGCGGACTGCAGTGGCGCAATCTCGGCTCACTGCAAGCTCCGCTTCCCGGGTTCACGCCATTCTCCTGCCTCAGCCTCCCGAGTAGCTGGGACTACAGGCGCCCGCCACCGCGCCCGGCTAATTTTTTGTATTTTTAGTAGAGACGGGGTTTCACCTTGTTAGCCAGGATGGTCTCGATCTCCTGACCTCATGATCCACCCGCCTCGGCCTCCCAAAGTGCTGGGATTACAGGCGTGAGCCACCGCGCCCGGCCGTCTGGGGACTTTTCATGCATGGCTCTGATTTACTCTTTACAAACCTACTCAAGGTAAGTCCTGGATTCATTGTCTACATTTTACGGATGAGCAAACTGCGTGAGTTGCGGTGGGTTATGGCACTTTCCTAAGGTTCTATCATTCGTAAGTGGCAGAGCTGGGCTGGAATCTCGGCCTTGTTTTAGGGGTGGGTGGCATGCTCGAGGGATTCCTCTCTGAAGCGTCCTGCTCCTGGGTGAATGTAAGACTTCTTTTGAGGAAGTGTTAAGTGCTCATGAATGTTCCCTATTCACCTTTCAACAAGCAGCTTGCAAAGCAGGGAGAGCTGTTCCCACATCAGTGATGGGGATGAAGTCATTTCCTCTGCCTTTCACTGAATGGTTAGGAAGCACTCACTGACTGCCACGTGCTGTTCTAGATATCTGGGGACAGTGGGGACCAAGAAAGGCATGTTCCCCTCTCACAAAGCAAAAGTCCAGCAGGGAAGGCAAACGAGGAAGTGTGCAGTTGCAGTCCAGTGTGATAAATATCTTGATGGGGAAAACAGGAAGCTCCCTGACCCCATGAACACTGAGAGAGGAGGAGATTTTATTTCAGATTGCTTTCCACCTGTTGGCCTACCTCATTATCACATATAATTAATATGTAAATGATAGAGCAGGGCATAATACTTACTTTAGATTTCCATAATAAATAATAGCTAGTGATACAGCATTTTGCAATTACCCATTCAATAGTTACTTGCTTTTAGCTTACCATGTGCTAGGGACTGTGTTAGGGGCTGGGGGCTACATTGCATCAGTGCAAGAGATCCCAGGGCCCCTGGCCTCATAAATTAGACACCGTGGGAGGGCTGGAACAGCCTCATTCGGCTGATCCTTGGTGGCTTCAAGACTGAAGCAGATGTCTTCTATTTAAGCAGCTGTGTCACTAACTAGTTCCATTAAAACTTTCATAAGTGTGAGTACTGATTTTACAGAGCCTCTGAAATTCATCTGCTGTGTAGGTCTGACTAAGCATCCTGGATCCCTGATTCAGAGAAGAGGAAAAAAATCCACAGTCACATTTAAGCAAAACTCTACATGTGCTTATTAAGAAATGTCCCATATAAAACATTTTATGCTGAATTGACGGTGCCTAAAATAGCATTTTTGATAACAACAAGGATTGTTGTAATTGCAGGAATTGTTTCATTTGAGGTTACTAAATGGAGAGAAACCACTTTCCTGGCTTTTTTTTTCTTACTGTTTTCATGAGAGAAGGTTTTTTGGTCCAAATATGTGAAATCACCCAGAGGGTACAAATGCTACACGCTTTCTCTGGCCCCAGAATCACTTACGTGGACCTGTTTGTGTCTATTGCTCAGGGGTGGGCTGGGTCTAAGGCAGACTGCCCTGGCTAGCAATTCTATGTAATCAATGTAGAGTGTGGTCAAGGCTTCAGAGAGCCCCAGAAAAGGAAAATCTGGTCCTTTCATAAAACCAGTGATAGGTTAAGAGTTGAGGGCACTTGGATGGCCTCATGTTGGAAGCACACAGAATAACTTTCTCCTCCTGTCCCTTGGGCTTTGTTTCCATGAGGAGGGTGAAGTGGAGAACTGATCCTCTAGGAAAGAACTTATGTTCAGTTGTGTTCCTGTGACCCTGCCCTCTGGTTGTCTTGTTCTGTACTGTTGGACTTGTCAGGATCTGCAGGGGAGCTTATCTTGGAAGTGTAGAGACTGCTTACAGGTCTAGGGGTGCCACGTGGATCTAAAACTACCTCACACAGTAACTGATATATCACAGATGCTCAGGAAATGTCAGTCTCCCCTCCTCCCCGCTATCCCCCTGATGGTTCCTCCAGGCTCTGGTGTGGTGGTTAAAACACAAGCTTTGGAGTCAGCCAAACCTAGGTTACTTACTCCCCAACTTACCACTAATTGTTTCACCTGAAGCAAGTGACTTGCTTGCTGTTAGCTTCTGTTTGTTTTAAAATTTTTAAAACAGGGATAATGGCACATATTCTACAGGACTATTGAGGTACTAAGTGAGGTCATGTAAGTAAAGTGTTTAGCTCAGTGCCCAGCACATGGTGGGTACCGAAAAAGGTTTGTTGTTTCTCCTCCTTTATGTCCTGTATGTCAATTGCCAGGGTGGTTAAGCAGAAAGTTCTGTTGGCTTGGCAGAGTTTGTTCTGTCTAGGTTCTGGCCTTCTGTTAAATGTCTTCCTGTTTGGTGCTTCCTCAATAAATGGGAGATGTACCTCTCATCCTACCCCCGCCCCAGGGTGAGGCTTTGGTATCCCCCACCCCTTTAGCTGAATCAAATGTAGTAAGCCCAGGGACTACTCCTGAGTCCATGCTCTAACCCCCAAATCCTGAGTCACAGATATTCTGGGAATTGTACATAAAGTCAGGGCATGTGTCTTCTCCCTCTGCATACGCTGTTGAGAATAAGGGCTGAATAAGCCACTGCAACCTCAGGCCTGAAATATACAACAATCCACCCTGCTTTTCTTTTCCTTTCCTTTCCCTTCTTTTTTTTTTTTTTTTTTTTTTTTTTAATTTAAGTTCTGGGATACATGTGCAGAACGTGCAGGTTTGTTACATAGGTATACACGTGCCATGTTGGTTTGCTGCACCCATTAACCTGTTATCTACATTAGATATTTCTCCTTCCCCTGGCCTCTCACCCCTCCTTTCCCTTCTTTTTCTTATTTTTCTCTTCTTTATTTTCTGTTTCTTAGGAACAAACTTCAAGAAAAGAAGACTCCTTTAGATGTAGGCTCTCTGTATGTTCTCACTTATAAGTAGGAGCTAAGCTATGGGAATACAAAGGCATGCAGAGTGGTACAATGGACATTGGAGACTCAGAAGGGGGAGGGGGATAAAAGACTGCATACTGGGCACAATGTACACTACTCAGGTGACAGGTGCACTACAATCTCAGAATTCACAACCATATAATTCATCCATGTAACCAAAAACCTCTTGTACCCCAAAAGCTATTGAAATTAAAAAATGTCGGTTCCCCACTTACTCCTGCACCCTCTAAAGACATGTATTGACACAATTGTTTTTTGAGCACTTTCTGTATAGGCACTGGACTAATTGTCTAAAAACAGTAATGAACATATAATCCCCTAGAAAATGTCTAAAACCATATTATGTTTGGGGAAACGTGATGGATTGTTGGTTTATTTTCTACATTCAGGAGTTGTCCTCTCTATTCTGTAAGTCCCATCCAAGAATAAACTCTACCATCCACCCTATGGCTGTTAAACTTGAACTTGGAGTAGAATGTTCACCACTGTATTTCTCTAAGTATCTTAGATTAAGAAAGTATTTGTCTTGCAGCCTCCCTTCTGTCTGCCCCACCATGCCGGGACATCGTTATCGAAATGGAAGACACCAAACCATTACTGGCTTCTAAGGTAGGCTTCAGAGCTGATCAGTGGATGCTGTCAGTTTTATCTTCTATGCTTAGATGTCTAAGCATTTGGTGAATTCAGTCAAACAACAGTTTGTTGCAATTATAATCATCAGCCAATCCATTTATTGAGGACTGAGTACAGACAAGAGTCTAAATCTTGCACTCATCAACAGTTATGATGACATTGTGTAGACTAGTAGTCTTCAACCCTCACTAATAAGTCACCCAGAATACTTAAAATAAAACCCATGCCCAGGCCCCACCTCCCAAGAGGGAGAGGGACCTAGATATCAGTATGTTTTTAAATCTCCTCAAATGATTTTAATATGCTGGCAGGTCTGAGAACCACAGGTGTGGACAGTCTGAGAAAGATCATTTGCTAGAAAGCGAAGTCTGAGAAGCAAATTTATAGCATTGCAACATTCAGATCAGAGATAACATGCAACACGCCAGATTCTTCCCCCTACATAAAGCAGAATTGTTTGATAAATTTCTAATGACCATATTTATCAGTGTATGGGACACCCAGGTTTTTTTATTTTCACTGTGGTTTTGAAGTGAAGAAATTGGTTGAAATAATCACTCAAGGCCCTATTTTAGAACTAGCTATTCCAGCCACTTCTACACGAAGGAAAGGGGGCAAAAAGCCTCAGCCCAGAAAAAAGGAAACACCAAATATCTCCCTGTTTCTCTTGGCAGTTATGATGAACATTCACAGCGTGTTTTAATGTGCAAACTAGCCCAAAAATGCACATGATTGCACTTTAATATGTTATGTCCATAAACAGTGCCTTAAAAAAAAAATCTACTTCCATCCCACTGCATTAAACTCACTAACAACTGGACCATATAAAATATAGTCTCCACAGCCAGCACTGTGCAGCAGTGTGTTTGATTCTACTCTCTGTGAATCCTACACAGTCACAAACGACAATATCAAATTTCCAATCTCATGGGCCAAAACTACTGTGATCACTTTGTAAACCACCCCAAATATCCCTAATAAGATAGTAGTAGCCTTGGCAGAAGTTAATATACTTAAGATCTTTTCTGTAGATTTTTACAACTGCTCTAGAAAAAGACAGTTTAAGATCTCGCTGTATAATCTGCCTCCAGGTTTGCCATCTCTCATCGTCAGTCAATTCTTATTACATGCCTTCAGTGTACTCAGTAGCCCTAAGAACAACTGAGGAACAGGAGAAGAATAAAGTCAACAAGCTATGCCAGTATTTTCGTTCACTTCTTAACCATAGTTAAGAAATGTGACTATGTTACTGTAGCAACACTTTATGAAAGTTCAGTTTACATCATAGAGTTAAACATTGCAACATAGCAGGATTGGTGATGGTAGTATCAGTCATTCCCACTGTATTGTAAATTGCTTTAATCAGCTCGCTCTCCTAACATCTAATTGAGGTACACTGTGTTGATAAGAAAGGCTGGTTGAAATCTCTAAAAATCTGAGTCCACTTGTTCATCACAGTAGACATCGCACATCTGTACAAAGTCAAATGAACAAAGTTGCACTTTGAAAGAGCCAATAACAAGCTTGCTGATGTCCTGTATTACATGTATATGTAATGTACATGTAATGTGCATGTATTACCACTTCCTCAATTCAGGCCTTGTATCTGGGTAAATGGAGGGAATGCCTCAAAAATAACTATGCTGTTGCTGGGGGCTGGAGGCTGTGTCTCTGAGTGACAGTGTCACACTCCGGAAACTCATGGCATTACTCTGTGATGTCCATGGAAATTCTTAACAAATGGGCTGAGCACTATCACAAGAAAAGTGAGAAATAAGTCTTCGGGGAAAATTGGTCAAGTGCTAGCCAGATAACATGGACATGTGTACATGGCCATCTCAACAATTACCTTCCAATTCCAGTGCTTAAGCAGTATGTCAACAGCACTCAGCAAAATGGCTTCTCCAGCGACAGTGCATGTATGTATGATAAGCAAATGCATGAGGCTGCCTGGGACTGTGGGACCTTGGCCTAAAGACTTGAATTATTCTTACAACTCTTTCCATTAGTAGATTTTGGAGTGAAAAGTGATCTTTAAACAAACGTGATTGTTTTAAGCCTAAAAGAAGAATCTTCTGTGCCATTTAATGATTTGATTCCCATTGCAAGTTTATTATTAGATATAATAAAGCAAGTCACATCAGTTGCTTCCATAACCTTTCCACATGAACTAATGATCATGTAGGCATGAATAAATTCTCCCATACTAATTCTAAAGTTTAAAATCAGCAACTTGTCTTAAATAATGCCTTTTAGGCCGGGCACAGTGGCTTACGCCTGTAATCCCAGCACTTTGGGAGGCTGAGGCAGGTGGATCACCTGAGGTCAGGAGTTTGCGACCAGCCTGGCCAACATGGTGAAACCCCGTCTCTACTAAAAATACAAAAAATTAGCCAGGTGTGGTGGCAGGCGCCTGTAATCCCAGCTACTCGGGAGGCTGAGGCAGGAGAATCGCTTGAACCTGGGAGGCGGAGGTTGCAGGGAGCCGAGATCATGCCATTGCACTCTAGCCTGAGCAACAAGAGCAAAACTTAGTCTGAAAAAAAAAAAAGCCTTTTAAATCATGAACTATTATTTTCCTTGAAATGGTTTGAATTGTGAACAAACAGATTCTAAAAATCTGATCTCAGGAACCATTGAGAATGTAAGAGTACTTTGGAAATAAAATCACTCTCTCCAAAATCTCAATTCAGCTGTGATGATTTAACCCTTAATCTTGCTTTGGTATGAATCTAATAGAAAGAATTGATATATCTATCTGTCCCTCTGCCTCTCTTGGCAATTGCATTGTGCTGAACAAAAATCAATCTGGAAAATACCAAGGGGCACCTACGGAAGCAGCTCCATGGCCTCTCACATGGCAACCGGAGGAAGAGCCCTTCAGGATGAACATAAAGTTAGGATCTCAGAAAGGGGTCTAGGCAGCATGTCTTCAAACTGCTGCTGAGGACGAGCTTGGCTAATGCTCTAACAGATACCAGAACCACATTCAAGCCCCCCTTCCCAGTTCTTCATTCTCTCATCTCCTGGATGGGCCCTCAGATTGGGGTGGGTTCTCCATTAAAAAAAAATCACATGAAAGGATTTGGCCAATGGAAACTTGACATCCTCATAATAAAGCAGTTTTGATGGATGAGTATTTATTTGGTGCTGTAACATAGGCATGGCTGGGGGGTACCTGTATGATAACATTGCAGTCAAACATATCTTGTGACAGGACAGTTTTTTGTGGGGAGGAGAATTAGACCAAGTTCGGAGATATATTTAAGGAACTAAAACGAACGTAAGATCTGGGGTAGGGGGATGAGCAGCTCCACACCCTGCTCCTGTGTGAGCTGTGTGCTCCCGACTGGGAAATGTCTAACTCCATCGAAAACATGAGATGAGGGGCAGGGAAGGGGCTACTTCCAAGCCTTTCATTATAATACTGTGTGTAACCTTTTGCATATTTTCAGAAAAGAAACCAGTAAGGTGGGTTCAGTTGTGGGCTCATCCTGACTTAGAAAATTTTAAATAATTTAGCCCATTGAAATGTTGATAATATAAGGCATGCATGAATAATAATTTTTGCTTCTTTCTCTTTAAACTTCATGTTCCTGGGGTCTCCATATCTATGTGACCTGTTATATGGTTTGCCCTCTTCCTCACGGGACATGTGCACGAGCAGCTGACAGAAAAGGTAACTATGGTATACATTTTGCTACATTTAAGATTCATGTATTTTCTGCCCAGAATTTTTCTTTTCTTTTTTTGAGAAGGAGTCTCGCTCTTTCACCCAGGCTGGAGTGCAGTGGCGCGATCTTGGCTCACTGCAGGCTCCGCCCCCCGGGGTTCACGCCATTCTCCTGCCTCAGCCTCCCGCGTAGCTGGAACTACAGGCGCCCACCACCTCGCCCGGCTAATTTTTTGTATTTTTAGTAGAGACGGGGTTTCACCATGTTAGCCAGGATGGTCTCGATCTCCTGACCTCGTGATCCACCCGCCTCAGCCTCCCAAAGTGCTGTGATTACAGGCGTGAGCCACTGCGCCCAGCCTGGGAATAATTTTTTTCTAAATCTAGGGGGGCCGGGCACAGTGGCTCACGCCTATAATCCCAGCACTTTGGGAGGCTGAAGCAGGCAGATCACTTGAGGCCAGGAGTTCGAGATCAGCCTGGCCAACATGCAAAACCCTGTCTCTACTAAAAATACAAACATTCACCAGGCGTGGTGGTGAGTGCTTGTAATCCCAGATTTTCGGGAGGCTGAGGCACGAGAATCACTTGAACCTGGGAGGTGGAGGTTGCAATGCAGTGAGCTGAGATTGCACCACTGTACTCCAGCCTGGGCAACAGAGCGAGACTCTG
Source organism: Homo sapiens (assembly GCF_000001405.40). NCBI lineage: Eukaryota > Metazoa > Chordata > Mammalia > Primates > Hominidae > Homo > Homo sapiens. The sequence continues at coordinate 93,339,486 of NC_000010.11, read as the reverse complement.
TCAAAATTTAAAAAAAGAACTAAATCCATGTGTAGGTTGCTGACCCATAAAGGGGAAGTAATTCTGTGTAAGTATGTGTAACACACACGCATTCACACACACACACACACACACACACAAATAAGAAGCATATAATGTAACATATAATATAACATGAATAAAAAGTAGCCTTTTAAGGCCGGGAGTGGTGGCTCACGCCTGTAATCCCAGCACTTTGGGAGGCTGAGGTGAGCGGATCATGAGGTCAGGAGTTCGAGACCAGCCTGGCCAATATGGTGAAACCCCATCTCTACTAAAAATACAAAAAGTAGCCTCGTATGGTGGCACATGCCTGTAGTGCCAGCTACTCGGGAGGCTGAGGCAGGAGAATCGCTTGAAGCCAGAAGGCAGAGGTTGCAGTGAGCTGAGATCATGACACTGCACTCCAGCTGGGCAACAGAGTGAGACTCCGTCTCAAAAAAAAAAAAAAAAAAGTGGTAGCCTTTCTTGTCCCTTCTTCCTTTCCCCCAAGAGGCTCTACTGCAGGTGACATTCTGTGTTTTTTTGTTTGTTTTTTTTTTTGGCGTTATTATTTCCAAGGTAGGTTAAAATAAGCAAAGAGGGGGTCTGATAAGAATCTATTCTTGTTATAAATCTGAGTGGGAGGCCTTCTATAGTTTGACAATATTCCACAAGTGACTCTGACATGCTGTCCCTTCTGCCCAACCAAGGACTACCCATTCAAACCAGAGATTCCCAACACTGTCTACGTATTGGACTCTCCTGGGGAACTTCTGAAAGCTTATTGGATGCCCTGGTCTCACCCCAGACTGATTGCATCTCCTAGGATAGGTTGGGAGCCCTGGTCTAACTGAACCATGATGCCTCCTGCCTTTCGTTTCACGTTTTATAATTTTCAAAGCTCTTTCTCCTAAAGATCCCATATGATTTCCAGAACAACTTTTGGAGGTACATGGAGGCAGGTAGATGAAGGCAGCATGTGAATGCTTTGTCCATTGTGTTATTATTGCATTCAGTGGATGAAGAAATTGATGCTCAGAGATGTTAAACAACTTGCCCAAGCCAGTACAGCTTGAAACATAAGGGTATGGCTTATAACATAAAGGAAGGAACTTGAATTAAAACCAGTTTTTCCAATTTTTAGCTAGTGAGTATTGTATTACAAGGCATTACTGGCTAAAAGGGCTAAGAAAATGAGATAGTAGAAAACACATATTGGAGGTTTTCTTTAAATTTATATGTATATGTAAATATGAAGTCAATAGAATAAAAATGTAAAAACCAACAAATTAATAGACTGTGTGTAAAAGACATAAGAACATTATCTAGTATGATTGTGGGCATTAAAGCCAAACACATTTCATCGGCCCAGAATGGCCATTTCACCTCTAGCTTCTGAGTAGGAGAGTCGTGAATGCTTTGTCCATTGTGCATGTAAACAAAAGTCATATAATCTCACTTTTAACAGGGTCAGAAGAACCTATTTCTTCTTAACTATTACAAATGCATTTTCCTGCATCGATTGGAAATCCAGGACATCACTAAAGATTTTTCCATTTTGGCATGTCTTTAGGAGGAAGAAATCGTGGACTGGTGGAGTAAATTTTATGCTTCCTCAGGGGAACATGAAAAATGCGGACAGTATATTCAGAAAGGCTATTCCAAGCTCAAGGTACCTGGATCTATGCTGCTATGGGTGGAGAATCAACATCCTTTGAAACTGGCCACAGGCAGAGCTAAGAGGATGACTAAAAGGTCCCTTGGGTGGGTGCTAATGAGCAGGGCCCAGGAAAACCTCTGTCTTCCCGGAGAGCCCTCTTGCATGAGTTTCGGCTTTGCCAAGATTCCAGGGACTTGAGGACAGCTATTGAGTTATGGTTACGTGACTGCCACATTGGGGCTTGGAGGCATCTGGCAGATGGTTGGGAATGGGCTGGCACCACACTAATTAGGCCACGATGATCCAGTTTGACTCAGGGAAACCCAGAAGTCATAGTGCTCTTTGCAGAATGACACAAGATGTCAACATGCTTTGTTGTGTACTTTGAACAGGGATTGGTTTCACAAGCTGAAAAGTTGAATCTGTCACATGTATGCAGCATAAAATCACAGCCGTGAGAACATGTATACAGCAGGAAGACAAGCGACTGAGCTAGGCACGGCTGACTAGCTCTGAGCTTTCTGTTCATGTTTTGAATTTTCTAATTCTTCATTCAATTTTCAGCCTGTAGTGTCCTCAAGCAGAAGCAGTGCTAAAGTTTTCAGAACAGTGTATATGAGAAAAAAAAACTTTAGAATGAGAAATATCTGGTCATTGAAATAATTTTCCCCATCAAAGCAAAAAAAAAAAAAACCCACACCTTTTCATGTTATTGTCATAACTTCTCAGTGTAGCTTAAGAAATACTAGCATATAAAGGACCATTCATTCAGAAAAATGATCCAATGAGGCTGAAGGATCAGCCTCACACTCCATCCTCCCTCACTCCCTCTTCCCTTCCTGCCTGCCTTCTTTTCCTCCTGCCTGCCTGTCTTCCTACCTTTCTTTCCTTCCTTCCTTCCTTTCCTTCCCTTCCTTCCTTTCTTCTCTTTCCTTCCTTTCTTCTCTTTCCTTCCTTTCTTTCCTTCTTCCTTCCTTCTTTTCTTCCTGCCTTCCCTCCCTTCTTCCTCCCTCCTACCTGCCTCCCTTCCTTCTTCCTTTTCTCCTGCCTTCTTCCTTCCTTCTCCTCCTTCATCCTCTTCCCTTCTTGCTTTTTAAATTGAGAAATATTTTACATACGATAAAGTGATCCATTCAACAAGTTGTGATTATTGTATATACCCTATGTGAACCACCACCCAAAACAAGACAGAACATTCCCATTCCCACAGAAAACTTCCCCGTGTCCCTTTCCAGTCAATTTTCCACTATCCTCATCCCTCCTAGGAGCAACTGATTGGATTTCTCTCACCACAAACTGATTTTGCCTGATTTTACACTTGCTCTAAATGGACTTGTATGATTTATGTTTTGTGTGTCTGGCCTTTTATCCCCACGTTGTAGTTTTGAGACTCATCATGTGGTTGTGTGTATTCATAGTTTTTCCCTTGTCATTGCTGAGTAGTATTCCATTGTGTGGATATGCCACAAGTTATTTTTCCATTCTCCTGATAATGAAGCTGCTGTGAACATTCTTCTACCATGTGTACGTGTTTTCACTTGTCATCAGTAAATGCCTAGGAATGCAATCTCTAGATCATAGAATAGGTGGCTACTTAACTCCAAAAGAAACTACCAGACATTTTCCAAAGTGGTTGTATCTGTCTACACTCCCGCCAGCGATTTGGGAGTTCCGGTCGCCCCATCCACAACCTCAGGCCCACTTGATACTGTCAGCCCTTTTGATTTTAGACCTTACCTGCATTTTAATGAGAAATTAAGACTCTGTTGGTGGTTTTCAGATATATAATTGTGAACTAGAAAATGTAGCAGAATTTGAGGGCCTGACAGACTTCTCAGATACGTTCAAGTTGTACCGAGGCAAGTCGGATGAAAATGAAGATCCTTCTGTGGTTGGAGAGTTTAAGGTGAGTAAGATGTGTGTTGGTCCCGTTTAAAATCCACCTTCATTTTCTATATAGGCCTAGAATAAAGGACAACCAGGCTCTAGGGAGGGGCACATCCTGCAGCCTCTGAGGGATGCTGGCATTTTCTATATAGGCCTAGGATAAAGGACAACCAGGGTCTAGGTAGGGGCACATCCTGCAGCCTCTGAGGGATGCTGGAAGGTGCCAGAAAGGAAAAGGGGGAGGGGGGCCAGAGCACTCGAGCCATCTCCGCATCTCTTCCTGCCTCCCTGCTCACGCCAAGCAGCCTTGACTGAGCCATCTCCGCATCTCTTCCTGCCTCCCTGCTCACGCCAAGCAGCCTTGAATCCTAAGATACAGTCTCTCCAAGATCTAGTTCCTCTCTTCATCCTACTGCCCCTACCATGCTTTCAGCAGGATCATCGTGACAACTTCTCACTTGACAGTCCTTGTCACCTTTCTCGTCACACTCCTCTCCAGCCTCCATGCAACCAAATCTGATCTTCTCTCTGGACTACTGAAAGGCTTTGCTTGGGTTTTCACAGTCAAGTCGCAACTCCTTTCAAAGGCAGAGCCAGTCTTTCCCAAGCTACATGGTCCCCTGCCTCCCTCCCCCTCACACACTCCACCCTCCTGCCTGGGAGAGCCTCGCCCAAGCCCCGGACACACCTTGTCCTCTCAATAAGTCGGAGGCTTGGGACAGGCTCTTCTTCCTTCCCTGGGTGCCCTTTCTACCTGCTTTGTGGTCTGACGAAGTCCTACTCATTCTTTTAAGCGCCAGCTCAAATGTCACTCTCTTTGTCAAGTGTTCCCTGATTGCTTCGGGCAGCGTGACTCACTCCTGCTCTGGGCTCCCACAGGTCTGGGTTCATGCCTCCATGAAAGCATCTTACACATGGAAAGTATCTGCTTTATAATTGCCCCTCCCTGCAACCACGCTTGGCAAAGTCATGGCAGATGTGCTGCTGCTGCTTTATAATCCTTTGCCTGTAGCAGACATTGCTAAGGGACGAGAGGATGATGCCTGATGTGTGGTCTCAAATCCTTCTCAGTACAGCCTCCCACCAAGCAATCACATATGGCACAAGAGCCAACCCTACTGAACATCGCTGTGCCAGACGGGAGTCTTTGAGTTCTTTTGTGGGTCCCTAGTACCTGGCACATAGTAGGTGCTTATTCCATGCTGCTTGACTGAATAAAGACCACTGGAACTAAGACCTGTATGTTCTGAATCCGGCTTCAGTGCTTTCTCCTGGTTTTAAGGCAAAATATGTGGCCTCTCCAGCAGGTCTTGTTGGCTCGCTCCTTCAAAATACAATTTTTGTGGCGTTACTATATGCCTAGTCCTGTGTTAGGCCCTGGAGATAGGGTGATGAACAAGACTTTATGCTCCCCTCACCCGTCTCTAGAAGCCCACAGTCTAATGAAGGATCTAGAGAATAAATAGATTATCTCAATGCAGAGGCCAGTGCTGTGCCAGGGGTGAGTATGGGGTTGGATGAGAGCACCCAGAGGACATACCAAGCCCAGGAGCAGTCAGGGAGGTTTCCTGGAGGAAGTGACACCTTTCAGCTGAGATTTGAAAGATAAACAGGAGTTTGCCTGGGAGTGGGAGGTGGAGTACAGAGGTGCTACAGGAAAAGCGGAATCACTGTTGGTATTTCGTTGGGTTTAAAATGTAATTATTGTTATTCCTATCTTCAAAGAATGTGCAGTATTTCACTCTTTCTCACCACCACCTCCTCCATCACACTGGCCCATGTTCTCCTCTTGACTCCCAGTTTCTGCTCTGCCCTCTCTTCTCCCCTGTGAGCTCTCAAATAATTACTTGAGAATCATTTCACTTTCCCTACTGGAAATATGCAAAGTGCAATATACATTATTTCTTTCACAAAAGGCAGCCTTCCATCCTTCAATCCCACACCCCTGGCGGAGGAGGGGACTTCCCAGGAGCCCTCTACCTGGGCCACCCAGGGCCCTGTGAGTCCTTCTGTCTCTCTCTTTTAGGGCTCCTTTCGGATCTACCCTCTGCCGGATGACCCCAGCGTGCCAGCCCCTCCCAGACAGTTTCGGGAATTACCTGACAGCGTCCCACAGGAATGCACGGTTAGGATTTACATTGTTCGAGGCTTAGAGCTCCAGCCCCAGGACAACAATGGCCTGGTAAGAGTTTGGGTGTGGGGCCTTCTCCTGTAGCAAGATAATTACAGTCATCAGCCACAATAATTGTCATGTTCTTTCTTTCTGGGCGTCTGTTATCTCACTAGGGGAAAGATACTCCATCAAAACAATGTATTCAGGAGGATTGTCCCCATGGGGATTTATCTAAGAGCTTGCGGGGGGCTTAAGGTCCCCTGGTTCATCCTTCTCATTTTACAGGTGTGAGCCAGGACTCCCCCCCGCCCCCTGCCACCACCCCTGCACCCACACAACTGGCTGCATGCCACCCAAAGGAGAGCATTGCTCCCTTGTCTTAGGCACGGGGTGCCATGGCGGCCACCTTGTCATCAGCTGGGAGTGGGTGTGGAGGCGAGCTGAGTCTGTCCCTGAACTTGACTTCACCTTGCGCCCTACAATGATGTAACATCCCGTCTATTTTGTCCCACAGTGTGACCCTTACATAAAAATAACACTGGGCAAAAAAGTCATTGAAGACCGAGATCACTACATTCCCAACACTCTCAACCCAGTCTTTGGCAGGTAATATACATTCTTAAATGTTTTTCTGGCCTTCATTTCTCCACGGAACATGCATGAAGACTCTAATATGTGTCCAACCCTGTCCTAGGCTCTGAAACTGTGTTTGTGAACTAGATAAACATTCTAGACAGGGGAGCAGGTAATAAATAGATAAACCCAAAATAAAAGAACTTCACAGAAGTGAAGAAGCTTGGTTCTGATAGCTTGCAGGGTAGACAGACAGCATTAGTACTAGTGTTATAGGAGCACAGGCCAGTTGGAGTTTTTCCGGGGACCCCCCTCCCACCTGGCTGTCTGCGGAGCTGTTTATATAAAACATCTCAAAAAAATCTCGCAACTCTGAGGTGCTATTATTATTCCTATTTTATTTTTTTTTAAGACAGAGTCTTGCTGTCACCCATGCTGGAGTGCAGTGGCGTGATCTCGGCTCACTGCAAGCTCCGCCTCCTGGGTTCACGCCATTCTCCTGCCTCAGCCTCCCGAGTAGCTGGGACTACAGGCAACTGCCACCACGCCCGGCTAATTTTTTTTGTATTTTTAGTAGAGACGGGGTTTCACCGTGTTAGCCAGGGTGGTCTCAATCTCCTGACCTTGTGATCTGCCCGCCTCGCCCTCCCAAAGTGCTGGGATTACAGGCGTGAGCCACCGCGACAGGCTGAGACTCAGTGTTTAATGTACTTAGCTTTTAAGAGAAGAGTGAGGGCCAGGCACGATGGCTCACACCTGTAATCCCAGCACTTAGGGAGGCCGAGGTTGGTGGATCACAAAGTCAGGAGTTCGAGACCAGCCTGGCCAACCTGGTGAAACCCCATCTCTACAAAATAACAAAAATTAGCTAGGCATGGTGGTGTGTACCTGTAATCCCAGCTACTCAGGAGGCTGAGGCTGGAGAATTGCTTGAACCTGGGAGGTGGAGGTTGCAGTGAGCTGAGATCGCGCCATTGCACTCCAGCCTGGGCGACAGAGCAAGACTCCGTCTCCCAAAAAAAAAAAATAAAAGAATGAGGATTTGAACTCAGACCATCTGACCCCAGTGTCTGTGTGGCACGCCACGGTCTGATTTCCATCTCCATGTCAAACTTATTAGCTGCTCAGGGCAGGGATTACCAACCCGACTGTACAGGTGCAGAAAACAGGGCTCCCAGAGCTCTATTAATAGAGGTGGGGTAAGTGATAGAGCCGAGATTTAGCTAGAAATTCTGCTGACTCCAAGCCCCATGCTTTTCCAACCGCCTTGGTGATGTTTCACATTTGTGGCAAAGCCATCACCTGTAGAAAAATGTTCTCTGTCTGAGACATTTGTGAAAATGATGTTTTGTTCTCAGAACCTTGCTGAGTGAGAGAATACTGTGTTCTTATTTGCTGCGTGGCATATATTTTTATTTCTGGCTTTATTATCTTGCCCATATGCTTCTTTCCTTCTCGGGTTTGTTGGTTTGTAGCCTTACGTATTCTTTCTCTGTCATGTGTCACACACACATACATGCACACACCTGCCCACCCCCCACCCCCCCTACGCCCCCCGCATGCTGCACACCCAAGGCCATGCACCCGGGCCAGGGAATGGAAGTAATCCTCTGGCACCGCAATATGATCGTTTTCCTTTTCTTCCACTGATCCAGCCCCGAGGTCTAGACAGGAAAAGGCACGCAGGGCAGGAAGGAGGGCTCCCGTGAGGGAGACAGGGAAGCAGGGAAAGCCAGCTTTGAAGGGAGAAAGGCAACCCTGTCTGAATTGCTCGTCTCAGAGGAGCCAGGCACAAGCTTAATTAAGTGGCAGGAAAAGTCTTGCTCGGAGGCACCCTGGAAGGAAGGGGTGCTGTAGGCTCTGCTCGGCCAATCGCTGTCTGGCGGATGGGCAGACTTCCCCTCATCCAGCAGGGTGGAGCCAAGGAGATGCCGGCTCTGCAGCCCCCAGATGGCTCCAGTCCATGGCCTCAGTCTTAGGGGGTAGCTTTCTTCTCCGCAGAGACTCTTGGGGACTCTGGAACAGGAATTCAGGAAGGAACAACCTTTCCTATGTGCGTGGCCGTTACTCAGAGTCCTATCCATCATGGCAGATCACCTTCAAAAGAATATCGGTGTCTTCCACAGGATATTAATTGATGTTCCAAGAAAAAAAAATATTCCTTAGTAAAACCAAGACACTTGGGTTTAAAAGTTATAATTGCAGGACTTCTCAGAACCTTTAGTTTGTCCAGAAGAACTGCAAAAGAAGTGGTTCTCAACCTTATTTGACTGAAGAATTCTTTCCAGAGACCACATATGATTTGCTTCTTGGAAGTTGGGATTGGAAATGTGATGTTTGGGGGCACATGTGGGTAAGGTGCTTCATGTGTCATGACTCAAGCACCTTTTCTCACATCTGTTTTCTGCTCAAATGGATCAACATTCCTGGCTCTTTGGGCAGGGACCAGTCCACACACCAGAGTGCAAGGAGAAGGGGAGGAGGCAGAGAGGAGGCCTCTCACAGCTTCTCCTTCAATAGAACATATTGAGCACCTTCTCCGGGACTGTCCCTCTGTGGATAGTGCAGATACAGAGCCCAAAGCCCACCCTCTAGCATACATCGCCCACCCACCACAGAAGCACTGTCTGACTCTTTCTCTTCATCTCAGGAGTGTTTGCATTTTCATATGGGTTCTATAGAAAAGCCTTAAAGAACTGGAGCCAAGGGCATACCCAGTGGGTCTGGGAGAAGAGGGGAGCCTTTGGGGCACCCTACATATCACACCCTATGGTGAATCACACTCACTCCCCTCCCCTGTGCTTCTGTGGGGTGAGTCAAAGATGTTCCATGGGGCAGTGGTCTCTATTGAGGCAGAGGAGGGAACCTAGGAGGGGCACAGGTAGGGGGCTATAAGTCAGGGTACTTGTGCCTTACTCATCTCTGAGCTGGGTGGAGGTGCTCTGGTGAACAGCTAATGGGCATGTGATGATAAAGTTAATAATATAATACATCATTATTATTATACTGGCATTGGAGCGATGCACTCATGTCAGATGCTCTCTAAATATTTCTTCACTTGACACTTATAGCGACACTGATGGGAGGGATTATTATCACCACTTTACAGATGAGAAAACTTAGCACAGAGAAGTAACTGGTCTAGAGTCCCACAGCTGGTAAGCAGCAGAGGTAGGATTTGAAGCTAGGCATTTAAAGCCCACAGGTTTCCCTGAGCAAGCATATGTTCTCTTCTTGTTCTTATTTCTAGTATGTACTATTTATCAAGCCACCCACCACCACCCACCCTGGTTATCCTGCTCAGATGTCCTCCAGCAGCCATACTACACACAGCCTGGGAATTCTGTGCACAGAGCCCCAGTTTTTGTGAGGTACTCAGATGGATCATGAAGATTCTGACCTTGCATTTGTTTATTTAGGATGTACGAACTGAGCTGCTACTTACCTCAAGAAAAAGACCTGAAAATTTCTGTCTATGATTATGACACCTTTACCCGGGATGAAAAAGTAGGAGAAACAATTATTGATCTGGAAAACCGATTCCTTTCCCGCTTTGGGTCCCACTGCGGCATACCAGAGGAGTACTGTGTGTAAGTTGCTTTGACTGTACAAGAGGCACTTTGCTGCCTCTGACATTGGCACCTGGGGAGGCCTAGGCCCTCTACCTTAGTGCCTTCCTTCACTGAGCCACTGCTCCTATCACTCAGGTATGGATTTCAATCGCAGGATTATTCTAGGGAATCTCCGGGCCACCTCATGGCCCCTATTCACATCACAGTGTGTGTAAAATGGTGGCAGCTGGAGCAGTGCTGTGCGCTGGGGAATGGCACAGTTAGCAGCCCAGAGACCAGTTCCCTTGCTCCCCGTCATTGAGCCCCTCCTGGATGTCAAGGACTGAGGACTGGCAACGTTTGATAGCAGGGATTTCCTGTCCTTGGGAAATAGGGATTCTTTGTGCCCTCTACTTAATTTTGTGACTCCCTCTTCCCCTGCCTGGTATACAGTGTCTTTCCACAGTATCTGATTAAGACATAGCTTGCAATTTCTAGTTTATGAGTTTGCCTATTATGACTAGAGTGATCTCAACTCCTCACTTTTATGGAGGAGGAAACTGAGGGCTAAATAATATTAAATAAATAAATACATTTGTTTCTCTGAGGCCAAAATAGCATATGGGTTTTTAGGACTCTGAAATAGATTTCTAGGCCAAAGTCAGAGTGTAGCGCAGATTTTCTGCACCCACTATATGGGAGCACCTAAGAGTACATGAGCATGTATGTGTGAATCTGAGAAGAACCTGCAGGCTCCTCCGTAACTCCGAGCCACGTGATGCTATTCACAGTTCTGGAGTCAATACCTGGCGAGATCAACTGAGACCAACACAGCTGCTTCAAAATGTCGCCAGATTCAAAGGCTTCCCACAACCCATCCTTTCCGAAGATGGGAGTAGAATCAGATATGGAGGACGAGACTACAGCTTGGATGAATTTGGTGAGCACCTAGCTGTGGATTGTAAACTGGTACAAAGTATAGTAACCCATATATATTGCTGGGTTTGGGGGAGTGAATAGACAGAGCCAGTACCCTAATTATACCACATGAGACTGTGCACGTGACACTAACAACAGCCACGTCAGAGTTCTGCTGTCTTGTCAAGTGTCAAAGTGGACACATTTTCTTGTCTGCTGTTTCACTTGCCCTTTTTAGATTATAGCCATTAGAGCTTTATACAAAGTACTAGTAATGAACTAATTTCCATGTAATGCATAATTAGCTAAAAAAATGCCCATACAGTAGTGCAGGAATTTCCCTTCCAGGTTTATCCCATCATTTGTTCTGTCCCTTCTCCCAGAAGCTTCAGGGATGTTATGGTTGGCTTGAAGAGCCTGCTATGTTCCCATTTGGCTCATGTTCAAGCTTGGGGTCTTGCTCTTTCCCAACCAGCAATTTATAATCCGACCTGTCCTGACGCATCAACAGCTAGCTACACTATGACAAAGACTGCAGTAAGCATCATAGAGCATGCGAACTGTGCTTCCATATTTTGCACGGGGGAGGGTTACCCAGAGGGGGCGGTGGCAAGGGCATGGGATATCCAGGGGGAGCTGAACAAACGTGCACAGGAAGAAAAGTGCTTTCTGCTCCTCAGCTTGATTCGTGACATTGTAAAAAACGATGTTTTGAGGCCGGGCACAGTGGCTCACACCTGTAATCTCAGCACTTTGGGAGGTCGAGTCGGGTGGATCATTTGAGGTCAGGAGTTCAAGACCAGCCTGACCAACATGGTGAAAGCCCAACTCTACTAAAAATACAAAAACAAACAAACAGAAGAGCCGGGTGTGGTGGCATGCACCTGTAATCCCAGCTACTCAGGAGGCTGAAGCATGAGAATCGCTTGAACCCAGGAGGCAGAGGTTGCAGTGAGCTGAGATCGTGCCTCTGTACCCCAGCCTGGGCGACAGAGTGAGATCCTGTCTCAAAAAACAAACAAACAAAAAAACTTATGTTTTGTCTTTCCATTTTAAAGAGGACTTGGTATCAGGGATGATTAGATGTTTAAGAAATGTTGATGCTGCTTCTAACGTGAACTTGCAAACAGGATTGGAAATAAATTGGGAAGCATCATGGTCTAATGGTTAAGGGTACCCCCAAACAATCAAACAACTCCCCCGTCATGGGGATTGTTCCAGTTACTATTGATATATAACAGATCACCCCAAACTTAGTAACTGAAAACAACCATTTTGTTTTCCTCACAGTTTTGCGGGGTCAGGAATTCAGGACGGGCTCAGGTGAACAGTTCTGGCCGAGGCTGGCCATGAGCTTGTGCCACAAGAGTATATACAGAATGCTCCCACTTACCGGATCTGGAGTTCTGGTCCCTTTGCTATTGGCAGTCCACAAGTTAGGTTTGAGCCTGGGTGGCTCATCTCCTGTGGTTGCAGTCAGATGTTGGCTGAGGCTGCAGTCATCTGAAAGCCCTGCTCGGGGGAGCAGTCAGGTGGTCCACACACACAGCTGGCAGTTGTGTTGGCTCTCGGCTGGGGCTGATGACCAGAGCACCTACACAGGCCTTTCCAGCAGGGGAGACTGCAGACCCAGGCTCCTTACATGTGGATGGTGTCCCCCAGAGTGAGGGTCCCCAGAAAACCAGGCAGGAGCTGTGTGGCCTTTTGTGTCTAAGCCTTGGAGTCACACAGCATCTTTTCTCCATACTCCAGTGTTTGACTACGTCTCCAGATTCAAAGGGAAATGACACAGACCCCACCTCTTCATGGGAGAAGTGTCAAGAGAATCTGGGGCCTATGTTTTTAGAATATCACAGTGGTGGCCAGATACAGTGGCTCACACCTGTAATCCCAGCACTTTGGGAGGCCGAGGAGGGCAGATCGCCTGAGCCCAGGAGTTCGACACCAGCCTGGCCAACATAGTGAAACCCTCTCTCTACTAAAAATACAAAAATTAGCTGCGTGTGGTGGCACATGCCTGTAATCCCAGCTACTCGGGAGGCTGAGGCACGAGAATCGCTTGAACCCAGGAGGCAGGGGTTGCAGTGAGCCGAGATCACGCCATTGCACTCCAGCCTGGATGACAGAGCGAGACTGTCTCAAAAAACATACAAAAAACCCAGAATACCAGTGATGCCAGCTGCTGTAAAAACTGAACCTCCAAATTTCCGTGTTCTAACACAAAAAAAGTTTATTTCTCATTGATTCTAAGTAGGTATTCCTCCAGGTGGGTAGCTGTCTTCCAAGCAGTGCTCCATGAACCCAGGTCCCTGCCGTCTTCTAGCTCTGCAGTTCTTAAGTGCAGGAGTCTGAGGCTGCTGTTCCTTTTTGCAGCCAGAAGAAAAAGGCACATAGAGACTCCTACCCAGGAGGGATTTATGGGCCAGGTCCGGAGGAGATACACATGTCACTTCTACCCATGTTACCCTCTGGCTGAACTTGGTCACATGGCCTCCTCTAACTGCAAGGGAGGCTGAGAAACAGGCAGGCCATGAGCTCGTGCCACAGAAGTAAATATATAACGCTCCCACTTACCCGTTCTGGTGTCCTGGCCCCTTTACTATTGGCAGTCCACAAGTTAGGCTTGAGCCTGGTTGGGACAGGGCTCCTGGTCAGAAGCTCTTTCTGTCAACTCTTCCTTCACAAGTCAAAGTTTGCATGTTGGCACTGCCTGTCCATTTTGGCAAAGTCTGGGATGAAGTGCTGGAAGCAGCTCTAGGCAATCTGGCTGAACTATTCCCAAATACTCATTCCTGCTTCAATGCTGCTTTCCATTGCAGAAGCCAACAAAATCCTGCACCAGCACCTCGGGGCCCCTGAAGAGCGGCTTGCTCTTCACATCCTCAGGACTCAGGGGCTGGTCCCTGAGCACGTGGAAACAAGGACTTTGCACAGCACCTTCCAGCCCAACATTTCCCAGGTAAAGGGCCTTCCCTCCCTTGAAGACCATTATCCCTGCCCCAAATGCAATGGCAGTAGTTGACATTTTTGCGCCTTTTATCTTCTTTGAATACTTTGAGATGCACAGAAATAGAAATGAGACTCAAATTAGCGTCATATCAAAAGGGAATTTTTTTGTAAGAATTTTCAGGTAACTCTCTAAATCTAGATAGGAGATTGGCCATGACTCAGAACAAACCAGAACCAGGGTCTCTCTGTGTCTCATCTGTTTCTCTGAGTCTATTTCATCTGCCCTCTTGCTGTGATCACCTTCCTATGAGTCCAGATATTACAGAGAGTCCTTGAGTGCTTGTGTGTTGTAATGCAGCCCCATCTACTTCTAAATGCATAGGGATTTGTTGCCCAAACTTGGCTCCTTTGCCCACCATGGGACCACTGAGCTCCAGCGAGGTGGGCAGGGTCTGGGAAAGTGATTGAGCTCGGCCCGGTTCAGGAGGTGCCATCTGAGACTACAGTATCAGGGAGGCGAGGACCATGTGGATAGCAATGGGGGACATTCCACTCCAGAAGATGGAGAGCAGTTTCCACAGAAGCAAAGCAAGACATGGCCACTGACAAAATAATCTATGTGGAAGCTTGTTATAATGAAGATGTCCAGGCCATGTCTGCAGAGATTTGGATCCAGTAGGTCTAGGGTGGGTCCAGGAATCTGAATTTTAACAAGTACCTGAAGAGGTTCTGATCACACTTTAAGAAATATTAATCTAGGCCGGGTGCGGTGGCTTATGCCTATAATCCCAACACTTTGGGAGGTCGAGGCAGGTGGATCACGAAGTCAGGAGTTCGAGACCAGCCTGGCCAAGATGGTGAAACCCTGTCTCTACTAAAAATACAAAAATTAGCTGGGCGCGGTGGTGGGTGCCTGTAACCC